>NC_000011.10:100202727-100505757 GCF_000001405.40 Homo sapiens | reverse complement strand
GTTCTGCTATAATTACTAGTTCTTTTTTTTTTTTTGAGACGTAGTCTCATTCTGCCGCCCAGGCTGGAGTGCAGTTGTGCAGTCTCGGCTCACTGCAACCTCTGCCTCCAAGTTCATGCGATTCTCCTGCCTCAGTCTCCCAAGTAGTTGGGATTAGAGGCCAATGCCACCTAATTTGACAGGGTTTCACCATGTTGGCCATGGTGGTCTTGAACTCCTGACCTCAGGTGATCCGACTGCCTCGGCCTCCCAAAGTGCTGGGATTACAGGGTTGAGCTACCACACCTGGCCACTGGTTCTTGATATGAGGAACTAAGTCTTTCTCTAGCAGGCACTGCTCTCTGTGTGCCATGTCTGCTGACTTTATTAGGAATGAGGGGCCTGGCTTGATAACACAAACCAATTTCTTTTTTGAACCTGTCTGGGGAAATAAATTTGAGTCAGCAGACTTAAAAGGCTTAAAGCCTGATATTTATTTATTCCATGTGATATTTATTCTATATTATATTTAGAATACAGATGAGAATTATAACAGAGAAATTATAACATGTCATTTATTGATCAGATATACTTATCAAAACTGCCTAATGATTAATATAAGAAAGGAAAAGAGATTTTTAGGGATCTTAGCTGTTAAGTGCTATTTTAATGACTCAGATTTGATATTAGTTATTCTGCTTGTTTCCTGGATACTGAAGGGAGAAGAACATTTTCATTATCACCTTCCAGAGTTTATCTTAGAAGCCTCCTGGAACCACAGCTGTGTAGAGATTTGATTTAGGCTCAGAGGTGCTAAGGTTTTACCTTAAAAACTTCTTTTTTTCTAAACCCAACTCTATTGAAGTATTAATTTGCATGCCATAAAGTTCACTCGTTTTAGGTGTGTAATTCAATAATTTTTGTAAATTTACCAAGTTGTGTGCCATTATCCCAATGCAGTTTAAGAATATTTCCATCACCCTGTAACAACCTTCATGCCCTTTCATAGTTAATCCCTGTTCCTATTCCCAGCCCTAGTCAACAAACAATGAACCTGCTTTCTGTCTCTACAGATTATCTAAAGTCATTTTTTACTTGTAAAAATTGTTTTCAGCTTTATTGAGGTATAATTGACAAATAAAAATTGCACATATTTAAGGGGTACAATGTGATATTTTTATATACACATACATTGTGAAATGATTACTATAATCAAGTGAATTACTATATCCATCACCTTACATAGTTATCTTTTTTTGTGTGCTGAGTCTACTTAAGTTTACTTTCTTAGCAAATTTCAAGTGTCTAACATTTGTTAAAGATAGTCACAGTGCTCCACATTAGACCACCAGAACTCATTCAACTTATAACCAAAAGTTTATAGCCTTTGACCAACATTTCCCTACTTTCCCTCCAACCCTCCACCCAGACCCTGGTAACAACAATTCTACTCTGAATTTCTGTGAATTAGATTTTTTAGATTCCACATATAAGTGATATCATGTTGTATCTATCTTTCTGTGTCTGGCTTATTTCACTTAGCATAATGTCATCTAGGTTCCTCTGTGTTGTTGCAAATGGCAATATTTTCTTCTTTTTTAAGGTTGAATAATATTCCATTGTGTGTGTGTGTGCATGTGTGTATGTGTGTGTGAAAAGTTTTCTTTATCCATTTATCCATTGATAGATACTTAGGTTGATTCTATATCTTGGCTATTGTGAATGATGCTGCAGTGAACATGGGAGTGTTGATATCTCCTCTTCAACATATAGATTTCATTTCCTTTGGATATATACTCAGCAGTGGAATTACTGGATTGTATGGTAGTTTTATTTTTAATTTTTTGAGGAACTTTTATACTGTTTTCCATGACTGCTGTACTAATTTACATTCCAATCAAAAGTGTACAAGGGTTTCCTTTTCTCTACAGCCTTGGCAAAACTTGTTATCTCTTGCTTCTTTGGTTATAGGCATCCTAACAGGTATGAGGTGATATCTCATTATGGTTTTGATTTGAATTTCCCTGATGATTAGTGATGTTGAACATTTTTTCATATAACTGTTGGCCATTTAAATGTCTTCTTTTGAGAAATGTCTTTACTTTTGCCTATTTCCTTTGCCCATTTTTAATCAGGTTATTTGTTTACTTGCCTTTGAGTTATTTGAGTTCCTAGTGTATTTTGAATATTAGCTCATCAGATGTATGGTTTGCCAATATCTTCTCTGATTCTTTAGCTTGCCTTTTCAGTCTGTTGACTGTTTCCTTTGCTATGAGGGACCTTTTCTGTGTGAAGTAAATTCCACTTGTTTATTTTTGCTTTAGTTGCCTGTGCTTTTGGGGTAATATCCAAAAAATTATTATCAAGGCCAATATCATGGAATTTTCTCCTATGTTTTCTTCTAGGAGTTTTAAGAGTTTCAGCTCTTATGTTTAAGTCTTTATTCCATTTTGTGTTAATTTTTGTACATGGTGTAATACACGTATTCAACTTCGTGAATATCCTATGAATATTCATTTCAACTAACGCCATTTATTGAAGAGAATATCCTTTCCCTGTTTTGTATTCTTGGTGCTTTTATCAAAGACTAGTTGACTGTATATGTGTGGGTTTATTTCTGGCCTTTCTATTCCATCATATTGGTCTGTGTGCCTTTTTTTTTAATGTAAGCACCATACTATTTTGATCTATAGCTTTGTGCCTAATGGCTTTTGTTGTTCTGAGGTCTTGTAGATGCACTCTGTAATGACTGAGGGCTAAATTATTCTAGAATTGTTGAGGTACGGTAGAAAATACACATGGTGCAAAGATATCTCCTATTCTAAATGTAAAATGTGCTTTCTACTAGGTTTCAGACAATTCTGGTGGGGCAGGACTGCTAGGCATCTTCTGGCAAGAAATGAAAACTTATAGTAGGAAAAAAAGTGATTCTGGCTCATGATTCTGTGACCATCACAATTTCTGCTTCTCACATTTTCCTACTGCCTCAGTTCCCCCCTGCACTCATGTAAAACTGAATTACCTCGATTATTTGAATCACATAAGAGGGGTATCAAAATATAAAATTACAAATAGTCTACATTCTACCCAACTTCCCTTGTCCCCTTCAAGTTATGTGCTGTGCAATTCAAAATTTTTATTTCCTGCACAAGTATGAGTAAAATAAAATGTGAATATGATGGCCTTTTCCTCAAATCTCCTAAGCTATGTTCCTAGGTTAATTCTAGTTGTAATGGCTTTTAAAGTGAATTTCATCATCAGTTCAATTCAATAATATTTGAAAAAAATGTCTAATAGTCTACTTTATTCTGATCTATTCCTCCTACTGCTAAAGGTTAAGTCAGGAATTTACTTAACTGACTAGCTTGTCCATTGTTTTATAGATAATTATTACTTTGGCTACCCTTGATGTAGTCAAGACTGTCAGATGATATAAAGAAAGTCTGGCAAAGTCTACTTCTTAAAAGTGAATTATCACTTCTTATTTTTAAGAACTGACAACCTTTTGTTATTGCTAACATTTATAAGGGGACAAATGAGTAGTCTAAGAAAATTCATTGTATTACTTTGGAAATGGAAGCTCAGTATTTTTATTTCAGTAAGTTTACCAAATGGTCATCACATTTAAATATTTTTTTTCTAAGAGGGTGCTTTCTGCCTATTCCTTTGTATTCTCCATGGAAGGAAAAATATGTAGTTTATTACAAGAATGAAATGTGAAAAAGCTGAGGTAATGCTGTGGTTCGAAAGGACATGAGCTTTTCTTTACTGTATAATTGAAATATAAAATAGTAAACATGAATCATACATTTAATTGTATGCTGTCAAAATCAGACTGAAAATGTTATTTAGAATATTCTTGTATCTATTCTTTAAGTACTTCTAAGGGATTGTGGCCACATGCAGTTTATAGTCTTTTTGTTTGTTTTTTGTTTTTTACTTTCCACACAGGTTAATTATATTCATGTAGTATTTCCATGTTGTTTATCAGAATGTTTCCGATTATATCATCCACATCAGCATTTATAGCTCATGAAGCCATGATAAGTACAATACTTATGGGTAAAAAATTATTGAAAACCTTAGCACTGAATATGCGCACATGAATCACTGTAGACAGATTTTTCTTTGCATATGCTAAATTAAGCAATGCAGGGAGCAAACTGCTTCTCTTTGGATAGCTGATTAAAATTCAGATTCATGACTGGAATTTCATAGTAAATAAGATACCCTAAGTCCTGGTATGAAGTACCAGGACTTCATTAGGTTCTTTGTATTATACTATAAATCAGTGTCAGACATTATGTACATTCCATGAAATTTACTTGTTTAATTTCTTAATCCAGTTAAGCAGGGATCAGAAACTGTCCAGTGATTTATGATCAATGATTTTACCAAATGGGGTTAAAAAAAGTCTGTACTCAGTTATAGATCAATTATGGCACTATAAGAAGGGTCAAGATTTGACTAGGTCTACCCTATCTTATGGCAGATAAGGATTTTTATTCCCTTTTTGTAGATAAAATAACTGAGGCCAGAAAAAGTTAGCAATTTGTTGACTTAATGCAACATCTTTGATTTGAATCAGTACTGGAAGTATCTTATTTACTATATGTATACCCTATGGGTCTGAGCTAACTAAGATGAGAAGGTTGGTGATTAGGAAGGAGCTGGTGAAAGTAAGGAGGGAGAAGTGATTTTCACAGAACTATTTAGAAAAATTCAAATTTCAGCAAGGAAAATTCAGCAGGATCTACACATGGATAAGGTCAAGTCCCACTTGTCCAACAGAAACTATTTGCCCTATGCTCTCTGTTATGTTGTAGTCCTAGTGCTACAGGTAAGAAGACTAAAGAAAACTTGGCTCTGATTAAGGCACAGATAAAAAATCTGGGCTTAAATTTCAACCGGGCTCAAATATAAAGAATTAAAGCATTTTTTTCCATCTTTTTTCTTTTTCCTGCTCTTTAGTTCTGATCCCTGACTTTTGGGATGCAACTTCTATTAGTGCTGAATCAAGTTTAATTTAATCATGTGAAAGAAGTTTCCTAAATGCAGGGCAACAATTTAACTCTTAAGATAAAGTTAAGTTTAGGAAGTTAGTTTCTGTCTAGAAGATTGGTGAATAGTGCTCGTGAAGGTAGAATGTTTCCTTAATATTTTAGTAAACTCTATTAATAGCCCATGCCGGAAAGTTGGGAGTCATTTGGCCACTAAATTCTGTTGATGCTTTTCCATCTCCACCATATTATCTGAAGTCCAGTCCATCTCTATATAGTTCCTAAATTGTTTAGCTTCCTAACTAGTCTGCTTGCCTCCAAACCATTCTTCAAAATGAGAATGATCCTTCTAAAATGAAAATCCAGTTATGTTACTTTTCTATTTTAAGTCCTTCAGTGATGCCACAGTGTTCTCAGGGTAAAAATCCCTACTATTTGCCATGTCATATCAGGGTTTTGGGGATCTAACTCAGGAACCTCTCAAATTGCATTTATCTCCACTGTCTCATACACAGCCTGTTCTCCTGCTGCTCAGAGCTACTCTGTGATTTTGCTCGGCAATATGCTTTTGTGTATACAGTTGCTTCTCTGTAATTGCTTTTATTCACCTTATTTTTCTCACAAGCATTCACTTGTGTTTAAAATTCCACTAATTTCTTCTTAGGAAGGCAGGTTGTCCACTTCACTTGAGATATTTAACAATTTGTTTTTGCTTTATCACTTGCTTTATTCTTCTATTTATCTTCCTACCAGATTGTGAACCCCTCAAGAGGAGGTAGCAGGGTTTGGTACACAATAAATGCTTACTAGATGTTTGTTTACTGAATAAATGGAAATACCTATCTATAAGTAGTTATAAATCTAGCTACCTTTTAAGGAATACTAAGCACTGGGCTTTGATATAAGCATTTATATTTTAGCACTTTAAAAGTGGTTTCTGCCTCGCATTGCTTCTGATAAGAAGTCAGCATTGCTTCTTATATGCGTTCCTCTTAATCTAACCTTTCTTTTCTCTCTGGCTGCTTTTAGAAATTTCTCTTTATGACTAGCTTTCATTGATTCTGTTATAATATTCTTATGTGTAGTTAATTTTATCTTGCTTGGGTTCATTCAGATTCTTTCATTTGTGGATTCAGAGTTTTCATCCAATTTGCAAAATTTTCAGTCATTAGTTCTTTAAATGTTTTTCGTCTCCTCTTTCTCTTTGCTTTTCTCATGAGCCTCCAAACAAGTATATGTTAAACCACTGAATGCCTCACTGGTCATTTAGATTTTTTTTTGTTTTACTCTCTGTGCTTCAGCATATTTATTTATATATATTTCAATAGCTTTGGGGCTACAAGGGGTTTTTAGTTATGTGGATGAATTGCATAGCGGTAAAGTCTGGGCTTTTAGTGTATCCATTGCACAAATAGTGTAAATTGTACCCAATAGGTAATTTTCCATCCCTCACTCTTCTTTATACCTTCCCCCATCTGAGTTGATAATGTACATTATACCACTCTGCATGCATCTGTGTACCCACAGCTCACCTCTCACCTATAAGCAATAACATGCGGTATTTGATTTTCCATTCCTTAGTTACTTCACTTGGGATAATGGCTTCAAGTTCCATCTCAGTTGCTGCAAAATACAATATATTGTTCCTTTTTATGGCTGAGTAGTATTCCATGAAATATACATATATACACACACACACCATACGACATATATATCACATATATATCTATGTAAATATATCATGTATATATTATCTATAAATAAATGTGATATATATATGACGTCATATCACTTTTTTAGGTCAATCATTGGTTGATGGGTACTTAGGTTGATTCTATATCTTTGCAATTGTGAATTGTGCTGCAATAAACATATGGGTGCAAATGTCTTTTTGATATAGTGACTTCTTTACTTCGGGTAGATACCTAGTAGTGGGATTGCTGGATCAAATGATAGATCTACTTTCATTTCTTTGAGAAATTTCCATACTGTTTTCCATAGAGGATGTACTAATTTACATTTCTACCAACAGTGTATAAGTGTTCTCTTTTAACCATATTTGCACCAATATCTATTGATTTTTTAAAAAATACTTTTTATAGTGGCCATCCTGACTGGAGTAAGGTGATATCTCATTGTAGTTTTAATTTTCATTTCCCTGATGATTAGTGATGTAGAGCATTTTTTTTGCATATATTTGTTGGTCATTTGTATATCTTCTTTTTTATTTATTTATTTTACTATACTTTAAGTTTTAGGGTACATGTGCACAATGTGCAGGTTAGTTACATATGTATACATGTGCCATGTTGGTGTGCTGCACCCATTAACTCATCATTTAACATTAGGTATATCTCCTAATGCTAGGTCATTTGTATATCTTCTTTTGAAAAATGTCTGTTCATGTCATTTGCCCATTTCTTATTTGAGATTATTTGTTTTTTTTCTTGCTGATTTGAGTTCATTGTAGATTCTGGATATTAGTCCTTTGTCAGATGCATAGTTTGTGAAGATTTTTTTCCCACTCTGTAGGTTGTCTGTTTACTCTGCTGATTATTTATTTTGCTGTGCAGAAGCTTTTTAGCTTAACCAAGTCCTATTTATTTGTTTTTGTTTGCTTTTGGAGTCTTTGTAATAAATTCTTTGCCCAGGTCAATGTCCAGAAAAATTTTTCCTAGGTTTCCTTCTAGAATTTTTATGGTTTCACATTTTACATCCAAGTCTTTAATCCATCTTGAACTAATTTTTGTATATGGTGAGAGAGATAAGGATCCAGTTTCATTCTTCTGCATGTGGCTGTCCAATTCTCCCAGGACCATTTATTGAATAGGGCTTTTTTTCTCCCCCAGTGTATGTTTTTGTCTACTTTGTCAGAGATCAGTTGTTTGTAGGCATTTGGCTTTATTTCTGGATTCTCTATTCTGTTACATTGGTCTATGTGTCTAGTTTTGTGCCAGTATCATGCTGTTTTGGTTACTATAGGCTCGTAGTATAATTTGAAGTCAGGTAATGTGGTGCCTCTAGCTTTGTTCTTTTTGCTTAGGATTGCCTTGGCCATTTGGGCTCTTTTTTGGTTCCATATGAATTTTAGAATTTTTTTCTAATTCTTTGATAAATGATGTTGATATTTTGTCAGGATTTGCACTGACTCTGAAGATTGCTTAGTCTGTTTACTCTGCTAATTATTTCTTTTGCTGTGCAGAAGCTCTTTAGCTTAATTAAGTTCCATATATTTATCTTTATTTTTGTTGCATTTACTTTTGGCTTCTTGGAAATGAAGTCTTTGCCTAAGTCAATATCTAGAAGCGTTTTTCTGATGTTATCTTCTAGGATTTTTATGGTTTCAGGTCTTAGATGTAAGTCTTTGATTCATCATGAGTTGATTTTTGTGTAAGGTGAGAGATGAGGATCCAGTTTCATTCGTCTACATGTGGCTTGACAATTATCCCAGCACCACTTGTTGAATAGGGTGTCCTTTTCCTACTCTATGTTTTTGTTTGCTTTGTTAAAGGTTGGTTGACTGTAAGTATTTGGCTTTATTTCTGGGCTCTCTATGCTGTTCCATTAGTCCATATACCTATTTGTATACCAGTACCATGTTGTTTTGACATGGCCGTAGAATATAGTTTTTGACTATGGCCTTATAATATAGTTTGAATTTAGATAATGCCTCCAGATTTGTTCTTTTTGTTTAGTCTTTCTTTGGTTATGTGGGCTATTTTTTTGGTTCCATATGGATTTTAGGATTTTTTTTCTAGTTCTGTGAAGAATGTTGGTGGTATTTTCATGGAAATTGCATTGATTTTGTAGATTGCTTTTGGCAGTATGGTCATTTTCACAATATCGCTTCTATCCATCCATGAACATAGGATGTTTTTCCATTTGTTTGTGTCCTCTATGATTTCTTTCAGCAGCATTTTGTATTTTTCCTTGTAGAGGTCTTTAACCTCCTTGGTTAGGTATATTCCTACGTATTTTATTTTCTTTTTTGCAGCTATGGTAAAAGGGGTTGAGTTCTTGATTTGATTTTCAGATTGGTCACTGTTGGTGTATAGCAGAGCTAATGATTTGTGTACATTAATTTTATATCCTGAAACTTTGCTGAATTCATCCGTTCTATGAGCTTTCTGGAGGAGTCTTTAGGATTTTTTAGGTAAACAGTTATATCATCAGCAAGCAGTGACTATTTGACTTCCTCTTTACCGATTTGGATGCCCTTTATTTCTTTCTCTTGTCTGATTTTTCCAGCTACTACTTCCATTTCTATGTTAAATAGAAGCGGTGAGAGCGAGGATCCTTGTCTTGTTACAGTTCTCAGAGGGAATCCTTTCATCTTTTCCCCATTCAGTATTATGTTGGCTGTGGGTTTCTCATAGATGGCTTTTATTACCTCAAGTTATGTCCTTTCTATGCTAATTTTGTTGTGGGTTTAAATCATAAAGGGATGCTGGATTTTGTCAAATGATTTTTCTGCATCTATTGAGATGATTATGTGATTTTTAAAATGTTATGCATATGTGGTGTATCACATTTATTGACTTGCATATGTTAAATCATCCCTGCATGCCTGGTATGAAACCCACCTGATCTTGGTGGATTATCCTTTTGATATGCTGTTGGATTCGTTTAGCTAGTATTTTGTTAAGGACTTTTGCATCTATGTTCATCAGGGATATTGGTCTGTAGTTTTTTGTTGTTGTTGTTATGTCATTTTCTGGTTTTGGCATTAGGGCAATATTGGCTTCATAGAGTAATTTAGGGAGGACTCCCTCTTTATCTTGTGGAATAATGGCAGTAGGATTGGTATCAGTTCTTTTAATGTCTGAGAGAATTCATCTGTGAATCCACCTGGTCTTGGACTTTTTTTTGTTGGTAATTTTTTTTTTTTTTTTTTTTTTTTTTTACCATTTCAATCTTACTGCTTGTTATTGGTTTGTTCATGGTTTCTAATTATTCCTGATTTAAACTGAGCAGGTTGTATATTTCCAGGAATTTATCCATCTTTTTTAGGTTTACTAGTTTATGCATTTAAAGGTGTTCATAGTAGCCTTGAATGATCTTTTGTATTTCTGTGGTGTCAGTTGTAATATCTCCTGTTTCATTTCTAATTGAGCTTATTTGTATCTTCTCTCTTCTTTTCTTGATTAATCTGGCTAATGGTCTATTCATTTTATTTATCTTTTGTATTTTTTTGTTTTTGTTTCAGTTTCATTTAGTCCTGCTCTGATCTTGGTTATTTCTTTTCTTCTCTTGGGTTTGGGTTTGGTTTGTTCTTGTTTCTCTAGTTCCTCAAGATGTGACCTTAGAATGTCAGTTTGTGCTCTTTCTGTCTTTTTGATGTAGGCATTTAAGGCTTTGAACTTTCCTCTTAGCACTGCCTTTGGTGTGTTCCAGAGGTTTTGATAGATTGTGTCATTGTTATTCAGTTTGAAGAATTTTTAAATTTCCTTCTTGATTTCATTGTTGACCCAGTGATAATTCAGAAGCAGGTTATTTAATTTCCATATAGTTGCATAATTTCAAAGGTTCTTTTTCGAGTTGATTTCCAATTTTATTCCACTGTGGTCTGAGAGAGAACTTGATATAATTTCAACATTATTAAATTATTGAGAATAGTTTTGTGTCCTATTATATGGTCTATCTTAGAGGAAGTTCCATGTGCTGATGAATAGAATGTATATTCTGTGCTTGTTGGGTAGAATGTTTTGTAAATATCTGTTAAGTTCATTTGGTCTAGGGTATAGTTTAAATCCATTGTTTCTTTGTTGACTTTCTGTCTTGATGACCTGACTAGTGCTGTCAGTGGAGTATTGAAGTCCCCCATTTTTACTGTGTTGCTCTCTATCTCATTTCTTAGGTCTAGTAGTAATTGTTTTATATATTTGGTAGCTCCACTGTTAAGTACATATATATTTAGGATTGTGATATTTTTCTGTTGAACTAGTCATTTTATTATTATTATTATTTTATTATACTTTAAGTTTTAGGGTACATGTGCACAACGTGCAGGTTTGTTGCATATGTATACATGTGCCATGTTGGTGTGCTGCACCCATTAACTCGTCATTTACATTAGGTATATCTCCTAATGCTATCCCTCCCCCCTCCCCACAACAGGCCCCGGTGTGTGATGTTCCCCTTCCTGTGTCTGTGTGTTCTCACTGTTCAATTCCCACCTATGAGTGAGAATATGCAGTGTTTGGTTTTTTGTCCTTGCGACAGTTTGCTGAGAATGATGGTTTCCATCTTCATCCATGTCCCTACAAAGGACATGAACTCACCCTTTTTTATGGCTGCATAGTATTCCATGGTGTATATGTGCCACATTTTCTTAATCCAGTCTATCATTGTTGGACATTTGGGTTGGTTCCAAGTCTTTGCTATTGTGAATAGTGTCGCAATAAACATACGTGTGCATGTGTCTTTATAGCAGCATGATTTATAATCCTTTGGGTATATACCCAGTAATGAGATGGCTGGGATAAATGGTATTTATAGTTCTAGATCCCTGAGGAATCGCCACACTGTCTTCCACAATGGTTGAACTAGTTTACAGTCCTACCAACAGTGTAAAAGTGTTCCTATATCTCCATATCCTTTCCAGCACCTGTTGTTTCCTGACTTTTTAATGGTCACCATTCTAACTGGTGTGAGATGGTACCTCATTGTGGTTTTGATTTGCATTTCTCTGATGGCCAGTGATGATGAGCATTTTTTCATGTGTGTTTTGGCTGCATAAATGTCTTCTTTCGAGAAGTGTCTGTTCATATCCTTCGCCCATTGTTGATGGGGTTGTTTGTTTTTTTCTTGTAAATTTGTTTGAGTTCATTGTAGATTCTGGATATTAGCCCTTTGTCAGAGGAGTAGATTGCAAAAATTTTCTCCCATTCTGTAGGTTGCCTGCTCACTGTGATCGTAGTTTCTTTTGCTGTGCAGAAGCTCTTTAGTTTAATTAGATCCCATTTGTCAATTTTGGCTTTTGTTGCCATTTTTAGACATGAAGTCCTTGCCCATGCCTATGTCCTGAATGGTAATGCCTAGGTTTTATTCTAGGGTTTTTATGGTTTTAGGTCTAACATTTAAGTCTTTAATCCATCTTGAATTAGTTTTTGTATAAGATGTAAGGAAGGGATCCAGTTTCAGCTTTCTACATATGGCTAGCCAGTTTTCCCAGCACCATTTATTAAATAGGGAATCCTTTCCCCATTTCTTGTTTTTGTCAGGTTTGTCAAAGATCAGATAGTTGTAGATATGTGGCATTATTTCTGAGGGCTCTGTTCTGTTCCATTGGTGTATATCTCTGTTTTGGTACCAGTACCATGCTGTTTTGGTTACTGTAGCCTTGTAGTATAATTTGAAGTCAGGTAGCATGATGCCTCCAGCTTTGTTCTTTTGGCTTAGGATTGACTTGGCAATGCGGGCTCATTTTTGGTTCCATATGAACTTGAAAGTAGTTTTTTCCAATTCTGTGAAGAAAGGCATTGGTAGCTTGATGGGGATGGCATTGAATCTGTAAATTACCTTGGGCAGTATGGCCATTTTCACGATAAAGATTCTTCCTACCCATGAGCATGGAATGTTCTTCCATTTGTTTTTATCCTCTTTTATTTCATTGAGCAGTGGTTTGTAGTCCTCCTTGAAGAGGTCCTTCACATCCCTTGTAAGTTGGATTCCTAGGTATTTTATTCTCTTTGAAGCAATTGTGAAGAATGGGAGTTCACTCATGATTTGGCTCTCTGTTTGTCTCTTATTGGTGTATAAGAATGCTTGTGATTTTTGCACATTGATTTTGTATCCTGAGACTTTGCTGAAGTTGCTTATCAGCTTAAGGAGATTTTGGGCTGAGAAGATGGGGTTTTCTAGATATACAATCATGTCATCTGCAAACAGGGACGTTTTGACTACCTCTTTTCCTAATTGAATACCCTTTATTTCCTTCTCCTGCCTGATTGCCCTGGCCAGGACTTCCAACAGTATGTTGAATAGGAGTGGTGAGAGAGGGCATCCCTGTCTTGTGCCCGTTTTCAAAGGGAATGCTTCCAGTTTTTGCCCATTCAGTGATATTGGCTGTGGGTTTGTCATAGATAGCTCTTGTTATTTTGAGATATGTCCCATTAATACCTAATTTATTGAGAGTTTTTAGCATGAAGTGTTGAATTTTGTCAAAGGCCTTTTCTGCATGTATTGAGATAAACATGTGGTTTTAGTCGTTGGTTCTGTTTATATGCTGGATTACTTTTATTGATTTGCATATGTTGAACCAGCCTTGCATCCCAGGGATGAAGCCCACTTGATCACGGTGGAAAAGCTTTCTGATGTGCTGCTGGATTTGGTTTGCCAGTATTTTATTGAGGATTTTTGCATCAATGTTCATCAGGGATATTGGTCTAAAATTCTCTTTTTTTGTTGTGTCTCTGTCAGGCTTTGGTATCAGGATGTTGCTGGCCTCATAAAATGAGTTAGGGAGGATTCCCTCTTTTTCTATTGATTGGAATAGTTTCAGAAGGAATGGTACCAGTTCCTCCTTGTACCTCTGGTAGAATTCGGCTGTGAATCCATCTGGTCCTGGACTTTTTTTGGTTGGTAAGGTATTAATTATTGCCTCAATTTTAGAGTCTGTTATTGGTCTATTCAGAGATTCAACTTCTTCCTGGTTTAGTCTTGGGAGGGTGTGTTGAGAAATTTATCCATTTCTTCTAGATTTTCTAGTTTATTTGCATAGAGGTGTTTACAGTATTCTCTGATGGTAGTTTGTATTTCTGTGGGATTGGTGGTGATATCTCCTTTATCATTTTTTATTGCATCTATTTGATTCTTCTCTCTTTTCTTCTTTATTAGTCTTGCTAGCGGTCTATCAATTTTGTTGATGTTTTCAAAAAACCAGCTCCTGGATTCATTGATTTTTGAAGGGTTTTTTGTGTCTCTATTTCCTTCAGTTTTGCTCTGATCTTAGTTATTTCTTGCCTTCTGCTAGCTTTTGAGTGTTTTTGCTGTTGCTTCTCTAGTTCTTTTAATTGTGATGTTAGGGTGTCAATTTTAGATCTTTTCTGCTTCCTCTTGTGGGCATCTAGTGCTATAAATTTCCCTCTACACATTGCTTTGAATGTGTCCCAGAGATTCTGGTATGTTGTGTCTTTGTTCTCATTGGTTTCAAAGAACATCTTTATTTCTGCCTTCGTTTTGTTATGTACCCAGTAGTCATTCAGGAGCAGGTTGTTCAGTTTCCATGTAGTTGAGCAGTTTTGAGTGAGTTTCTTAATCCTGAGTTCTAGTTTGGTTGCACTGTGGTCTGAGAGACAGTTTGTTATAATTTCTGTTTTTTACATTTGCTGAGGAGTGCTTTACTTCCAACTATGTGGTCAGTTTTGGAATAGGTGTGGTGCGGTGCTGAAAAGAATGTATATTCTGTTGATTTGGGGTGGAGAGTTCTGTAGATGTCTATTAGGTCTGCTTGGTGCAGAGCTGAGTTCAATTCCTGGATATCCTTGTTAACTTTCTGTCTTGTTGATCTGTCTAATGTTGACAGTGGGGTGTTAAAGTCTCCCAATATTATTGTATGGGAGTCTAAGTCTCTTTGTAGGTCTCTAAGGACTTGCTTTATGAATCTGGGTGCTCCTGTATTGGGTGCATATATATTTAGGATAGTTAGCTCTTCTTGTTGAATTGATCCCTTTACCATTATCTAATGGCCTCCTTTGTCTCTTTTGATCTTTGTTGGCTTAAAGTCTGTTTTATCAGAGACTAGGATTGCAGCCTCTGCCTTTTTTTGCTTTCCATTTGCTTGGTAGATCTTCCTCCATCCCTTTATTTTGAGCCTATGTGTGTCACTGCATGTGAGATGGGTTTCCTGAATACAGCACACTGATGGGTCTTGACTCTTTA
Organism: Homo sapiens; assembly: GCF_000001405.40. NCBI lineage: Eukaryota > Metazoa > Chordata > Mammalia > Primates > Hominidae > Homo > Homo sapiens. Next base: position 100,490,896 of record NC_000011.10, on the reverse strand, counting down.
TCCAATTTGCCAGTCTGTGTCTTTTAACTGGACCATTTAGCCCATTTACATTTAAGGTTAATATTGTTATGTGTGAATTTGATCCTGTCATTATGATGTTAGCTGGTGATTTTGCTCGTTAGTTGATGCAATTTCTTCCTAGCCTCGATGGTCTTTACAATTTGGTATGTTTTTGCAGTGGCTGGTACGAGTTGTCCCTTTCCATGTTTAGTGCTTCCTTCAGGAGCTCTTTTAGGGCAGGCCTGGTGGTGACAAAATCTCTCAGCATTTGCTTGTCTGTAAAGTATTTTATTTCTCCTTCACTTATGAAGCTTAGTTTGGCTTGATATAAAATTCTGGGTTGAAAATTCTTTCCTTTAAGAATGTTGAATATTGGCCCCCACTCTCTTCTTGCTTGTAGAGTTTCTGCTGAGAGATTAGCTGTTAGTCTGATGGACTTCCCTTTGTGGGTAACCCGACCTTTCTCTCTGGCTGCCCTTAACATTTTTTCCTTCATTTCATCTTTGGTGAATGTGACAATTATGTGTCTTGGAGTTGCTCTTCTCGAGGAGTTTCTTTGTGGCATTCTCTGTATTTCCTGAATCTGAATGTTGGCCTGCCCTGCTAGATTGGGGAAGTTCTCCTGGATAATATCCTGCAGAGTGTTTTCCAACTTGGTTCCATTCTCCCCATCACTTTCAGGTACACCAATCAGATGTAGATTTGGCCTTTTCACATAGTCCCATATTTCTTGGAGGCTTTGTTCATTTCTTTTTATTCTTTTTGCTCTAAACTTCTCTTCTTGCTTCATTTCATTCATTTGATCTTCCATCACTGATACCCTTTCTTCCAGTTGATCGAATTGGCTACTGAGGCTTGTGCATTTGTCTTGTAGTTCTCATGCTGTGGTTGTCAGCTCCATCAGGTCCTTTAAGGACTTCTCCGCATTGGTTTTTCTAGTTAGCCATCCGTCTAATCTTTTTTCAAGGTTTTTAACTTCTTTGCCATGGCTTCAAACTTCCTCCTTTAGCTCGGAGTAGTTTGATAGTCTGAAGCCTTCTTCTCTCAACTCGTCAAAGACATTCTCCATCCAGCTTTGTTCCATTACTGGTAAGGAGCTGCGTTCCTTTGTGGGAGGAGAGGCACTCTGATTTTTAGAATTTTCAGTTTTTCTGCTCTGTTTTTTCCCCATCTTTGTGGTTTATCTACCTTTGGTCTTTGATGATGGTGACATACAGATGGGGTTTTGGTGTGGATGTCCTTTCTGTTTGTTAGTTTTCCTTCTAACAGTCAGGACCCTCAGCTGCAGGTCTGTTGGAGTTTGCCGGAGGTCCACTCCAGAACCTGTTTGCCTGGGTATCAGCAGCAGAGGCTGCAGAACAGCCGATATTGGTGAACAGCAAATGTTGCTGCCTGATGGTTATCTGGAAGTTTTGTCCCAGAGGAGTACCCGGCCATTTGAGGTGTCACTCTGCCCCTACTGGGGGGTGCCTCTCAGTTAGGCTACTTGGGGGTCAGGGACCCACTTGAGGAGGCAGTCTGTCCATTCTCAGATCTCCAGATGCTTGCTGGGAGAACCAATACTCTCTTCAAAGCTATCAGACAGGGACATTTAAGTCTGCAGAGGTTTCTGCTGCCTTTAGTTTGGCTATGCCCTGCCCCCAGAGATGGAGTCTAGAGAGGCAGGTAGGCCTCCTTGAGCTGCAGGGGGCTCCACCCAGTTCGAGCTTCCCTGCTGCTTTGTTTACCTACTCAAGCCTGGGCAATGGCAGGCGCCCCTTCCCCAGCCTTGCTGCCACCTTGCAGTTTCATCTCAGACTGCTGTGCCAGCAATGAGTGAGGCTCCATGGGCTTAGGACCCTCTGAGCCAGGTGCAGGATACAATCTCCTGGTGTGCCGTTTGCTAAGACCATTGCAAAAGTGCAGTATTAGGGTGGGAGTGACCCGATTTTTCAGGTGCCGTCTGTCACCCCTTTCCTAGGAAAGGGAATTCCCTGACCCCTTGGGCTTCCTGGGTGAGGTGATGCCTCGCCCTGCTTCGGCTCATGCTCAGTGTGCTCCACCTACTGTCCTGCACCCACTATCTGACAATCCCCAGTGGGATGAACCCGGGACCTCAGTTGGAAATGCAGAAATCATTCATCTTCTGTGTCGTTCACGCCGGGAGCTCTAGACTGGAGCTGTTCCTATTTGGCCATCTTGGCTCCACCCCTGTCCTTTTATTATTACATAGTGTCCCCTTTTGTCTTTTTAAACTGCTGTTGCTTCAAAGTTTGTTTTGTCTTATGTAAGAATAGCTTTTACTACTTACTTTTGGTGTCCGTTTGCATGGAATATCTTTTTCCACTCCTTTACCTTAAGTTATGTGAATCCTTATGTGCTAGGTGAGTCTCTTGAAGGCAGCAGATATTTGGTTGGTCAATTCTTATCCATTCTGAAATTCTGTTTCTTTTAAGTGGCACATTTAAGTTATTTACATTCATTGTTAGTATTGAGATGTGAAGTACTATTCCATTCACTGTGCTGTTTGTTGCCTGTATACCTTGTTTTTTTTTAATTGTATTTTTGTTTTATTGGTCCTGTGAGATTTATGCATTAAAGAGGTTTTCTTTTGATGAGTTTCCAGGATTTGTTTCAAGATTTAGAGCTCCTTTTTAGCAGTTCTTATAGTGCTGTCTTTGTCGTGACAAATTCTCTCAGCATTTGTTAGTGTGAAAAAAAAACTGTATCCTTTCTTCATTTATAAAGCTTACTTTCACTGGATACAAAATTCTTGGCTGATAATTGTTTTGTTTAAGGAGGCCGAAGATAAAGTCTCAATCCCCTCTAGCTTGTAGGATGTACAGTAGGAAACCTGATGTTACTCTAATAGGTTTTCCTTTATGGGTTACCTTATCCTTTTGCTGCTCACCTCTTAAGAGTCTTTCCTTTGTCTAGACTTTAGATAACCTGATAACTATGTGCCTAAGTGATGATCTTTTTGCAATGAATTTCCTAGGTGTTCCTTTAGCTTCTTGTATTTGGATGTCTAGGTCACTAGCAAGGTTGGGGAAGTTTTTCTTGATTATCCCCCCAAATATATTTTCCAAACTTTTAGATTTCTCTTCTTCCTCAGGAATGCCAATTATTCTTAGGTTTGGTAGTTTAACGTAATCCCAAACTTCTTGGAGGCTTTATTTATTTTTTAAAGTTATTTTCTTCTTTGTCTTTATTGGATTGGGTTAATTCTAAAACCATGTCTTTGAGCTCTGAAGTTTTTTCTTCTGCTTGTTTGATTCTATTGTTGAGACTTGCTGGTACATTTTGCATTTCTCTAAGTGTGTCCTTTATTTCCTAAGGTTGTGATTGTTTTGTGTTTTTGCTGTCTATTTTACTGAAAAGTTCTCTCCTCATGTGTTGTATCTTTTTTTTTTTTTTTCCTTAATTTGGACTTCACCTTTTTTTGGTGCCTCCTTGATTAGCTTAATAATCAATTTTCTGAATTCTTTTTCAGGCAATTCAGGGATTTCTTCTTGGTTTGAATCCATTGCTGGTGAGCTGAGCTACTGTGATTTTTTAGGGGTGTTAACCTTGTTTTGTCATATTACCACAATTGTTTTTTCTGATTCTTTCTCATTTGGGTAGGCCATGTCAGATGGAAGATTTGGGGCTCAAGGCTGCTGTTCAGAATTCTTTTGTCTCACATGGTGTTCCCTTGAGGTAGTATTCTCTGCCTTTTTCTAGGGATGTGTCTTCTTGATAGCTGAACTGCAGTGATTGTTATTTCTTTCCTGGGTCTAGCCACCCACCAGGGCTACCGGGCTCCAGGCTGGTACTGAGGGGTGTCTGCCCAGAGCCTGTGATGTGCAGTCTTTGGGTCTTGCAGGTGTGGATGCCAGCATCTGCTCCAGTGGAGGTGGCAGGGGGGTGAAATGGACTCTGTAGGTATCCGTAGTTGTAGTTGTTTGATTAACTAGTTTTTGCTGGTTGGCCTCCTGCTAGGAGGTGGCACTTTCAAGACAGCATTAGTTGTGGTAGTATAGGTAGGATCAAGCGACGGATGGGACCCTGGAACTTCAAAAAAATATGACCTTTGTATTCAGCTATCAGAGTGGGTAGGGAAGAACCATCAGGTGGGAGCAGGGTTAGGCATATCTGATCTCAGACTCTCCTTGGGTGGGGCTTGCTGTGACTGCTGTGGGGGATGGGGGTGTGGTTCCTAGGTCAATGGAGTTATGTTTCCAGGAGGATGATGGCTGCCTGTGCTGTGTCATACAGGTTTTCAGGGAAGTGGGGGAAAGCTGGCAGTTACAGGCTTCACCCAGCTCCCATGCAACCTGAAATGCTGGTCTCACTTCCACCATACCCCCCAACAGCACCAAGTTTGTTTCCAGGCAGTGGGTTAGCAGGACTGACAACTTGCCCCAGCTACCAGCCACCTGGCTGAGAAAGTGAGCTGGGATTTTGTGCCTCCCTGTCTGTCGAGTCTGCACACCCTGCCCTGAGTTCTGGCCAGGGGATTTCATGTTCAGTTGGAATTGTTACAAAGTTCAGATGGAGGTTACATTCTTTATGTGGTCTTTTCCCACTTTCTCTGGCAGCCCTCCCCAAGGACCCCTGTGAGACAAGTCAGAAATGGCTTCCCTGGGGACCCAGAGAATTCACAGGGCTTTTTCCACTGCTTCTTCTTCCCCTGTATTTTGCTTGGCTCTCTAAATTGACTCAGCTCCAGGTAAGGTCAAATCCTTCTCCCACGATCTAGACTTTCAGGTTCCCCAGTGAAGGTGTGCGTTCAGGGGTAAATGATTCCCCTTTCCTCTTTTGGGCAGTTTGGGCCCTTGCTGCATTTGAGTTGTCTCTTGGGTACTGCAGGAGCAATCCATTTCCTTCAGAGGGTCTGTGGATTCTCTCAGCTTTTCTGGTACATTCCTGCAGTAGTTCTTGGATCAAAAAGGTCCGGATGCGAGTCTCCACATGCTGCTCTGTCTGTCTGAGGAGGGGCTGCAATTTAGTCCTGCCTCCTATCTGCCATTTTTCCTACAAAATCCATACCTGGCTAATTTTAAAGAAATATTTGTAGAGATGAACTCTCCATGTTTAAAGTTCTTATGTGATAATTTCATCATCTCTTTCATTTCTAAATCTTTTCCTGTTGATTGGGTATTCTTTTAGTTATGACTCACAATTTTCTGCTTCTTTTTATGTCTGGTAATTTTTTATCAAATGTTGGACATTGTGAGTTCTGAGCATATGAGTGTTTGAATTTGGGGACTTTGTTTAAATAGTTTCAAACTTTGTTTTTATAGATAGTTAAATTTGTTGATAACCAGCTTGATGATTTTGAGATTTGTTTTGAAGTTTTGTAAGGGTACATCTAGAGTGGCCTTTATTATAGGATTGCTTTTTCATTACTACTAAAGTGTTATCCTTGTGTCTCTACTGAATAACCCAGGATACCAGTGAAGTCTCACTACCCCGTCTAATTGGAACTTGTGAACCCTGGGAATTGAGTTTTCATCTCCTTGGTAATACAATGCCAGGCCTTGTGGATTATCACTCTGTGCATGCACCTCTTATTCAGAAAAAGAGTCAAGGAGAACCAACAAAGATTTATTTGCTCTCCTTTTCTGTGTAGTACCCTTTTCTCTGATTCTCTGCTTTGCAAATTCCGACTATTTTAGCTCCCTCATATTTATATCTCTCTTTCCTCAATGTAACAAAACTGTTGTTCTTTGGGCTTTCCTGCCAGCACTGTAGTTGAGAAATTGCCTCCAGGTAGAAAGGTGAAGTAACTATGACTCATATTTTTTATTTCCAGTCTCCTAGGAATCTCAGTCCTAGGCATTGTCTGGAAACAGATTCTCCCCACTACTCTGGTACTTTTTTTCCATCTTTCTAGTTATTTATGGTAGGAGGACATATCTAGGACTTGTTACTTCATCATAATTGGAGGAAAAATTTCTCCAAGCGTTTTAAATGTATTAACTTAATTTTTTTGTTTAAATGTTTTAATTTTGTAAATAGGTGCAAATAAGTTTCTGATCACCAGTTTATTAAGAAACTCATGAAAATATTATCCATACAGGTAGAATAGGCATAGTTGACTGAAGATAAACCAGATTTTAAAAAATAACTTGAAATAATATTAAACTTACAGAAAAGCTCTAAGAAGAGAAGAAAACCATTTACTTTTCCTGAGCTGTTGAAAATAAGTTGCTGACATAGTGCTTCAACATCCCTCAGTGCTTTAGTGCATATTTTCTACAAATAAGAATATTCTTCTATATAACTAAATGACAGTCATCAAATTAATACTGGTGTGTTACTACCATCTTAACCTCAGACCCCATTGAAGTTTTACTAATTGTCCCAATAATGCTCTTTATGACAAAAGGATCCAGTTCATTGCAGCATGTCTCTTTATTCTTTGTGTGCCTGGCAAGTTTCTCAGTCTTTCCTTGGCTTTCTTGATGTGATAATTTTGAAGATTACTATCCAGTCAGTTATTTTAGAAAATGTCCTGTAATTTCAGTTTATTTTCTATTTCTTCATGATTAGATTTGATTATGCATTTTGGCAGAAATACGACAAAAGTGATATTGTGCTCTTTTTATAATCTATTGAGCTGTACATCAATTTATCTAATTACTGGTAATGTTAATTTTGATAATTTGATCAAGGTGGCATCTGATAGGTTTTTCTGCTATAAAGTTATACTTTCTTGATTTGTAATTAAGTAATTTGTTGAGGAGTACTTTGAGAAAATGCAAGTGTCCTCTTTCTCAAGAAACTTTCACCTGCATGCTAATTTAGCTAAATTAATTATTAATATGATGCCAAATGGTGATTTTCAAATTCCACAATTCCTTCCATACTTGTTAGCATCTTTGTACCATAGGAAAAATCGTCCTCTTTTCCACAATTATTTATTCATTGTTAGTATGGACTCATAGGATGCTTTTATTATTCAGTAAATAATATATGTTTTGACCATTGTTTATTTGATGCTCAGGTTGTCCCAGATTTGGCTAGTGAAAGCCCCTTTAGGTTGTTAATTTCTTTTAAGCAATTCCATTTGGAGGATGTAGAAACTGAGGTATAGAGAAATTAAGTAAATTTATTAAGTTCACATAGCCATCATCTTAGTAGGATTTCATCAGAAGCAGATTCCGAGAAGAGGATTCAAAAGTAAATAATTTAATAGGAGATTTAAAAAAAATACTATACCCTACTGGTGGAAAAGTGAGACAAAGAAGGGGAGGCAACCAGTAAAGAGTGAATTATTAAGCTAGTTCCATGTAGGCAATTAGATTTTAATCTTGCTGAAGAAATTCAGGGAGCCCATGTGGAAACACACCTTAGTTTTCCCACTCAAGGAGCAGTGGAGATGGGATATTTTTTATAGCGACTCATGCCAGTCATATATTGAAGAATAATATCTGGGGGAGAGTACTTCCAGTATGCTGGATGGGTGGGCAAAGTAGGGTTTGCCAGGAAGAGAAAGCCCTCAGACAAAGAGTAAAAAAAGGAAGGGGCAGGGCAGGTAACAACTAGCTGGTGATTGTATAGATCTTTCTTACCCAAAGTCTGTGCTTAGAGCCATCCTGCTGCTGTGCACAAATGCTCACAGCCATGTAAATCCTGTCACTGTAAGATTTTTAAGCCATCACCACCAACACAGAGTCCACATAATGTTTGTATAAAAATAAAGTAGAGATTCCATTCTCACCTAACGCTGTGAGCATGCACTCTGTGTTTAGCCAAACAAATCAAAAGGGTTTCTATCTTTCCGTATTTTAAGTTTGCTATGAGAAAAACTAAACCCCAGCACATCCCTTGAATTTCTCATAAGTAAACACCCATCTTTCAAAACGTAGGACAACTTAGCTCAACCAAACTTTGTTATACAATAACCATTTTTAAATATCTTAATCCTGAGAGAAGATCTTAAAAGCAGCTGTTTTGTTGGTTATGAAAGTCCTGAGTAGGAGGAGAATAAATTATGTCAGTGGAAAGACTTGAGAGAGAGGGAAACCATAGCTAATGTCACTTTGAAAATGAAGAGAAGGAAAGTGTAGTTGTTAAAATAAAGAAGTTCTGGAGGCAGTTGTCTGTGTGCCAATTCCTGGATGCCCCACCGACCAAGGTGTTATGGGTGGAATTGTGTCCCTCCAGAAGATGTTAAAGTCCTAACCCTCAGTACCTGTGATATGATCTTAATGGAAATAGTGTCTTTGCAGATTATTAAGTTAAGATGATGCCATTATGGTGGACCTAATCCAATATGACTGGTGTCCTTATAAAAAGGGGAAATTTTAACACAAAGACACACAGGCACAGGAGAATGCAATGTGAAGATGAAGGCAGAGACGGGGGCCATACATTAATCAAAGGAATGCCCAATATTGCTAGAAAACCACCAGAAACTAGGAGAGATGCATGGAACAGAGTCTCTCCCATATCCCTAAGAAGAAGTACCCCTTCTGACACCTTTATCTTGAAATTTTCACCTCCAAATAGTGAGATAATAAATTTTGGTTTAAACCACCCAGTTGCAGTACTTGATTATGATAGTCCTAGCAAATTCATATGAAAGCTTTTAATTAACCTCTCTGTGTCACAGTTTCTTCATTCATAAAGTGACAGTGATAATATTTCTCTTCTAGGTTTTTGTGAAGATTAAATGAATTAGTATAATATGTTTAGAATTGTGCCTGCCACATAGAGGCATAGGGCAGATGTTGCTGGTTAGTTGACTCAACAACCATTCCCTAGTTCTTCTCTTTTGTTGAATACCAAATAGCACTATGTTTGTAAGTTGGGCTTTCTGCTTACTTGCTGATCATTAGTTATCTATGGATACAAGGGAATAGAAAACAAAGATTTTGGCTTAATCTGTTGGAAGTCACAGGTTGTAAGAAAAAAGATACTGTAAAACAAAGTGACTAGTTTCAGAAGGCTAGAGTTTTTGTTTTTTTCCCAGGAGGTCAGTGCTGTAAAAGAGAGAATAATAATTCAAAGAGAGAATAATAATTCAAAGGGCCTAAGAGGCCATATGCCAATATTTTTATAAAAAGAGCAGAGTTGTTAGTCATCTGTGTGGTGTAAGCCAAAGGATGAAATTCTTTATAGTTGCCGCCCATTCTTCATCCCCTATGATCATGGGGGCTTTGGGTTAAGATATTGGTTTTTGGGGGGGAGGAGCCAAGATGGCCGAATAGGAACAGCTTCGGTCTACAGCTCCCAGCGTGAGCGACGCAGAAGACGGGTGATTTCTGCATTTCCATCTGAGGTACCGGGTTCATCTCACTAGGGAGTGCCAGACAGTGGGCGCAGGCCAGTGGGTGCGCGCACCATGCGTGAGCCGAAGCAGGGCGAGGCATTGCCTCACCTGGGAAGCGCAAGGGGTCAGGGAGTTCCCTTTCCGAGTCAAAGAAAGGGGTGACGGACACACCTGGAAAATCGTGTCACTCCCACCCGAATATTGCGCTTTTCGGACCGGCTTAAAAAACGGCGCACCACAAGACTATATACCACACCTGGCTCGGAGGGTCCTACGCCCACGGAATCTCGCTGATTGCTAGCACAGCAGTCTGAGATCAAACTGCAAGGCAGCAGCGAGGCTGGGGGAGGGGCGCCCACCATTGCCCAGGCTTGCTTAGGTAAACAAAGCAGCCAGGAAGCTCCAACTGGGTGGAGCCCACCACAGCTCAAGGAGGCCAGCCTGCCTCTGTAGGCTCCACCTCTGGGGGCAGGGCACAGACAAACAAAAAGACAGCAGTATCCTCTGCAGACTTAAATGTCCCTGTCTGACAGCTTTGAAGAGAGCAGTGGTTCTCCCAGCACGCAGCTGGAGATCTGAGAACGGGCAGACTGCCTCCTCAAGTGGGTCCCTGACCCCTGACCCCCAAGCAGCCTAACTGGGAGGCACCCCCCAGCAGGGGCACACTGACACCTCACACGGCAGGGTATTCCAACAGACCTGCAGCTGAGGGTGCTGTCTGTTAGAAGGAAAACTAACAAACAGAAAGGACATCCACACCGAAAACCCATCTGTACATCACCATCATCAAAGACCAAAAGTAGATAAAACCACAAAGATGGGGAAAAAACACAACAGAAAAACTGGAAACTCTAAAACGCAGAGCGCCTCTCCTCCTTCAAAGGAATGCACTTCCTCACCAGCAACGGAACAAAGCTGGATGGAGAATGACTTTGACGAGCTGAGAGAAGAAGGCTTCAGACGATCTAATTACTCTGAGCTACGGGAGGACATTCAAACCAAAGGCAAAGAAGTTGAAAACTTTGAAAAAAATTTAGAAGAATGTATAACTAGAATAACCAATACAGAGAAGTGCTTAAAGGAGCTGATGGAGCTGAAAACCAAGGCTCAAGAACTACGTGAAGAATGCAGAAGCCTCAGGAGCCGATGCGATCAACTGGAAGAAAGGGTATCAGCGATGGAAGATGAAATGAATGAAATGAAGCGAGAAGGGAAGTTTAGAGAAAAAAGAATAAAAAGAAATGAGCAAAGCCTCCAAGAAATATGGGACTATGTGAGAAGACCAAATCTACGTCTGATTGGTGTACCTGAAAGTGATGCGGAGAATGGAACCAAGTTGGAAAACACTCTGCAGGTTATTATCCAGGAGAACTTCCCCAATCTAGCAAGGCAGGCCAACGTTCAGATTCAGGAAATACAGAGAACGCCACAAAGATACTCCTCGAGAAGGGCAACTCCAAGACACATAATTGTCAGATTCACCAAAGTTGAAATGAAGGAAAAAATGTTAAGGGCAGCCAGAGAGAAAGGTCGGGTTACCCTCAAAAGGAAGCCCATCAGACTAACAGCGGATCTCTCAGCAGAAACCCTACAAGCCAGAAGAGAGTGGGGGCCAATATTCAACATTCTTAAAGAAAAGAATTTTCAACCCAGAATTTCATATCCAGCCAAACTAAGCTTCATAAGTGAAGGAGAAATAAAATACTTTACAGACAAGCAAATGCTGAGAGATTTTGTCACCACCAGGCCTGCCCTAAAAGAGCTCCTGAAGGAAGCGCTAAACATGGAAAGGAACAACCGGTACCAGCCGCTGCAAAATCATGCCAAAATGTAAAGACCATCGAGACTAGGAAGAAACTGCATCAACTAATGAGCAAAATAACCAGCTAACATCATAATGACAGGATCAAATTCACACATAACAATATTAACTTTAAATGTAAATGGACTAAATGCTCCAATTAAAAGACACAGACTGGCAAGTTGGATATAGAGTCAAGACCCATCAGTGTGCTGTATTCAGGAAACCCATCTCACGTGCAGAGACACACATAGGCTCAAAATAAAAGGATGGAGGAAGATCTACCAAGCAAATGGAAAACAAAAAAAGGCAGGGGTTGCAATCCTAATCTCTGATAAAACAGACTTTAAACCAACAAAGATCAAAAGAGACAAAGAAGGCCATTACATAATGGTAAAGGGATCAATTCAACAAGAAGAGCTAACTATCCTAAATATATATGCACCCAATACAGGAGCACCCAGATTCATAAAGCAAGTCCTGAGTGACCTACAAAGAGACTTAGACTCCCACACATTAATAATGGGAGACTTTAACACCCCACTGTCAACATTAGACAGATCAACGAGACAGAAAGTCAACAAGGATACCCAGGAATTGAACTCAGCTCTGCACCAAGCGGACCTAATAGACATCTACAGAACTCTCCACCCCAAATCAACAGAATATACATTTTTTTCAGCACCACACCACACCTATTCCAAAATTGACCACATAGTTGGAAGTAAAGCTCTCCTCAGCAAATGTAAAAGAACAGAAATTATAACAAACTCTCTCTCAGACCACAGTGCAATCAAACTAGAACTCAGGATTAAGAATCTCACTCAAAACCGCTCAACTACATGGAAACTGAACAACCTGCTCCTGAATGACTACTGGGTACATAATGAAATGAAGGCAGAAATAAAGATGTTCTTTGAAACCAATGAGAACAAAGACACAACATACCAGAATCTCTGGGACACATTCAAAGCAGTGTGTAGAGGGAAATTTATAGCACTAAATGCCCACAAGAGAAAGCAGGAAAGATCCAAAATTGACACCCTAACATCACAATTAAAAGAACTAGAAAAGCAAGAGCAAACACATTCAAAAGCTAGCAGAAGGCAAGAAATAACTAAAATCAGAGCAGAACTGAAGGAAATAGAGACACAAAAAACCCTTCAAAAAATCAACGAATCCAGGAGCTGGTTTTTTGAAAGGATCAACAAAATTGATAGACCGCTAGCAAGACTAATAAAGAAAAAAAGAGAGAAGAATCAAATAGACACAATAAAAAATGATAAAGGGGATATCACCACTGATCCCACAGAAATACAAACTACCATCAGAGAATACTACAAACACCTCTACGCAAATAAACTGAAAATCTAGAAGAAATGGATACATTCCTCAACACATACACTCTCCCAAGACTAAACCAGGAAGAAGTTGAATCTCTGAATAGACGAATAACAGGAGCTGAAATTGTGGCAATAATCAATAGTTTACCAACCAAAAAGAGTCCAGGACCAGATGGATTCACAGCCGAATTCTACCAGAGGTACAAGGAGGAACTGGTACCATTCCTTCTGAAACTATTCCAATCAATAGAAAAAGAGGGAATCCTCCCTAACTCATTTTATGAGGCCAGCATCATTCTGATACCAAAGCCGGGCAGAGACACAACCAAAAAGAGTTTTAGACCAATATCCTTGATGAACATTGATGCAAAAATCCTCAATAAAATACTGGCAAACCGAATCCAGCAGCACATGAAAAAGCTTATTCACCATGATCAAGTGGGCTTCATCCCTGGGATGCAAGGCTGGTTCAATATACGCAAATCAATAAATGTAATCCAGCATATAAACAGAACCAAAGACAAAAACCACATGATTATCTCAATAGATGCAGAAAAAGCCTTTGACAAAATTCAACAACCCTTCATGCTAAAAACTCTCAATAAATTAGGTATTGATGGGATGTATTTCAAAATAATAAGAGCTATCTATGACAAACCCACAGCCAATATCATACTGAATGGGCAAAAACTGGAAGCATTCCCTTTGAAAACTGGCACAAGACAGGGATGCCCTCTCTCCCCTCTCCTATTTAACATAGTGTTGGAAGTTCTAGCCAGGGCAATCAGGCAGGAGAAGGAAATAAAGGGTATTCAATTAGGAAAAGAGGTAGTCAAATTGTCCCTGTTTGCAGACAACATGATTGTTTATCTAGAAAACCCCATCTTCTCAGCCCAAAATCTCCTTAAGCTGATAAGCAACTTCAGCAAAGTCTCAGGATACAAAATCAATGTACAAAAATCACAAGCATTCTTATACACCAATAAGAGACAAACAGAGAGCCAAATCATGAGTGAACTCCCATTCACAATTGCTTCAAAGAGAATAAAATACCTAGGAATCCAACTTACAAGGGATGTGAAGGACCTCTTCAAGGAGAACTACAAACCACTGCTCAAGGAAATAAAAGAGGATACAAACAAATGGAAGAACATTCCATGCTCATGGGTAGGAAGAATCTTTATCGTGAAAATGGCCATACTGCCCAAGGTAATTTACAGATTCAATGCCATCCCCATCAAGCTACCAATGACTTTCTTCACAGAATTGGAAAAAATTACTTTCAAGTTCATATGGAACCAAAAAAGAGCCCGCATCGGCAAGTCAATCCTAAGCCAAAAGAACAAAGCTGGAGGCATCACACTACCTGACTTCAAACTATACTACAAGGCTACAGTAACCAAAACAGCATGGTACTGGTACCAAAACAGAGATATAGATCAATGGAACAGAACAGAGCCTTCAGAAATAACGCCGCATACCTACAACTATCTGATCTTTGACAAACCTGAGGAAAACAAGCAATGGGGAAAGGATTCCCTATTTAATAAATGGTGCTGGGAAAACTGGCTAGCCATATGTAGAAAGCTGAAACTGGATCCCTTCCTTACACCTTATACAAAAATCAATTCAAGATGGATTAAGGATTTAAACGTTAGACCTAAAAGCATAAAAACCCTAGAAGAAAACCTAGGCATTACCATTCAGGACATAGGCATGGGCAAGGACTTCATGTCCAAAACACCAAAAGCAATGGCAACAAAAGCCAAAATTGACAAATGGGATCTAATTAAACTAAAGAGCTTCTGCACTGCAAAAGAAACTACCATCAGAGTGAACAGGCAACCTACAACATGGGAGAAAATTTTCGCAACCTACTCATCTGACAAAGGGCTAATATCCAGAATCTACAATGAACTCAAACAAATTTACAAGAAAAAAACAAACAACCCCATCAAAAAGTGGGCGAAGGACATGAACAGACACTGCTCAAAAGAAGACATTTATGCAGCCAAAAAACACATGAAAAAATGGTCATCATCACTGGCCATCAGAGAAATGCAAATCAAAACCACTATGAGATATCATCTCACACCAGTTAGAATGGCAATCATTAAAAAGTCAGGAAACAACAAGTGCTGGAGAGGATGTGGAGAAATAGGAACACTTTTACACTGTTGGTGGGAATGTAAACTAGTTCAACCATTGTGGAAGTCAGTGTGGCGATTCCTCAGGGATCTAGAACTAGAAATACCATTTGACCCAGCCATCCCATTACTGGGTATATACCCAAATGACTATAAATCATGCTGCTATAAAGACACATGCACACGTACGTTTATTGCGGCATTATTCACAATAGCAAAGACTTGGAACCAACCCAAATGTCCAACAATGATAGACTGGATTAAGAAAATGTGGCACATATACACCATGGAATACTATGCAGCCATAAAAAATGATGAGTTCATGTCCTTTGTAGGGACATGGATGAAATTGGAAATCATCATTCTCAGTAAACTATCGCAAGAACAAAAAACCAAACACCACATATTCTCACTCATAGGTGGGAATTGAACAATGAGATCACATGGACACAGGAAGGGGAATATCACACTCTGGGGACTGTGGTGGGGTGGGGGGAGGGGGGAGGGATAGCATTGGGAGATATACCTAATGCTAGATGACGAGTTAGTGGGTGCAGCGCACCAGCATGGCACATGTATACATATGTAACCTGCACAATGTGCACATGTACCCTAAAACTTAAAGTATAATAATAATAAAAAAAAAGATATTGGTTTTTATGGAGTCATTTTTAAATGAAAATGTTACATAACTGTGTGCTATTGATTTCTAAATTAGCACACCAGTTTATCTTATTAATAGAACATTGAACAGGCTGTGGATAATGAAGTACTACTTAGAATCATTTTGACAGGAAGTAGATCAGTGGTCAAGACTGCAGTTAGACTGAGTACCCATGAACACAAAGAAGGGAGCAGCAGACACTGGGGCCTGCTTGAGGGTGGAACGTGGGAGGAGGGTGAGGATTAAAAAACTACCTTTTGGGAACCATGCTTATCACCTGGGTGAAGAAGTAATCTGTACACCAACCTCCCTGACATACAATTTACCTGTATAACACACCTGCATGTGCACCCTTGAACCTAAAGTAAAAGTTAAACAAAGATAGCAGTTTGTCAGAGTCAGGGGAGAATTAGGCAATCTAGGGAAGACTGCTGGGTAGTTAAGGATTGAAGGTATAGTGGGGCATGAGGGTTGGAGGCAAAGTAAAAGAGAGGAAACATGTAATGCAGTCTATGCCACTTATAAGTTCTGTTATCTAGGATAAGTTATTTAATATTAATGTGAGCATTAGCGTATTAATTTGCTAGGGTTGCTGTAACAAATTAACACAATCTATGTGGCTTAAAACAGCAGAAATATATTCTCTCACAATCGTGGAGGCCAGAAGTCAAAAATCAAAGTATTAGCATGGCCATGCTCTCTCTGAGGCTGTAAGGGAGCTCTGTCCTTGCCTCTTCCTAGCTTCTGGCGCTTATTTAGTAGACACATCATTCCAATCTCTGCCTCAGTTTTCAAATGGCATTCTCCCTCTTCCTGTATCTGTGTCCAAAATTTCCTCTTGTAGGGACCTTAATTATGAGATTAGGGCTTTCCCTAATTCAGTGTGACCTCAACTTGATTACACTGACAAAAGTCCTGTTTCCAAATAAGGTCTCATTCATAGATTCTGGATGGATGTGAGTTTTGGGAAGGCACTATTCAACCCAATACTCTTAGCTTTGTCACCATAGAAGTAGAGAATTATAACATAGACTTTGGCTTCACTTTCCTCATGTGTAAAATGGAGAAGATAATGGTTTCAACCTGGAGGTTATTGTGAGAAGATGTTTGTCATTCTTTGACCTCCCATTTTATTTATCTTATAATATCCTGAATTCCTTCGGAGGAATCATTGCTTCCTCAGTGAATTGGTAATCAACCCTTCCTGAGATAATGGGAATATGTGTCACCCTGTGAATACCAACTGGATAGGCCCTTTGGAGTCTGAACTTGACCAGAGAAATAAAATGACTAAAAGTGGATGAAATTATAGTATGGTGGTTAAGGGCACAGATTCTAGGGATACACCATACACTGCAACTGCATGACTTTGGGAATTATTTAGCCTTCCTGTGCATGCTTCGTCATGTGTAAAATGGGAGTGTTAAGGGTACCTATCTTATCCTATATGCTGACTACATCCTTGGCGTTAGGTATGCATCAGTAAATACAGTACACATGATTTCTGTCCACATGGAGCTTTCAAGCTTTGAGATAGACAGACACCAAACAGAGAAAAATGGATATCTACTATACATTGTGATATGTGCATATGTATTATGTGAAATGCTTGGAACATTATCTAGCACACAATTAGCAACATGTAAGTGTTAGCATTTACTTGTTGATTGTACTATAGTTCTCATCACACATTATCCCTATAATTTTGGATTCCTAGTTCTCTGGAGATGCCTTAGCTTCTGCTCATTTCTAAGCTTGGCTTTCTACCCTTCCCATTGGTAATGAGGACTCCAGTATTTTTCCAGTAAGTTTCCTTTTGCTTAATTTAGCTAAAGTTGATTTCCATTGCTTGCAATCTGAGAACTCTGATATGGCACTTCATAGGGTTCTTGTAAGGATTAAATAAGATTATGTATATTAAGCATGTACATGCTCCATTAATATTAATTATGAGAGGGGTGGCCTGGGCATACTGAGTGGAAAGGATAGCATTAGGTGACTGTGAGCTGATAAACAGAAGCGAACAGAAAATTATTAGCAAATGTATTTAGTGTAAGGGAGACTCAGAGGACTTGGCATAGTGATAAAGGAGGGCCAGCTTTCATTTACAGGGTTAAAAGTTGGAAAGTGGCTGACAGGTTAATTGGAAAAACTGACAGAATTGAGATCTTGAATGAAATAAAGGTATTGTTTACTGTTGACAGTAGTGCTCAGGGGATTTAATCCAATGTATGCAGTCCTATTCAGAGGCAAGCTCTTCTTTTTCTGTATCACCTGAGAAAGGATTCTATAAAAACAACCTTCAAAGAATATGGTGTTTGTTCTTGGCATAAAGTACTATGAAAGGAAAACTAATAAAGAATGGTAGAACCGTTTGTTTGACACCAATCCATGTAGACTCATTATTCTAAAGTGCAAAAGGTATACATTTTAAACGCAGGAGGAAAGGTAATATTGTGCTGATGGATGCAATATCATAAATATGCACATGCATATTCATATGTTGCCAATTATTCTTTTGAAGCTGTATAAAGTACACATTTGAAAACTAAGAACTGAAAACATGATACATATGGAAAACCCTTCAGCATTCTGAGATAAAAATGGCATAAAAGAGGATTACTGCAAAAGCTCTTTTCCTGTCAATTTTCTTCTATTTCATTGCTAATCACCAAATTCTACTCAGTCCTTTTAACTATCCCTATAACCCAATTATTCTTTAAGCATCAGGGAACAAGAAGTACTGCAACCCTTATCTGGTCCTGGTGCCAAGCTCAGACTTGGTGTTTGAAGATAAGCTCCTGTTCTGAATTAAAGGGCCAAAACTATAGTTGGCTCCAACACTTTTCACCATGTCATCAGCATTCATTCAATCATTCTACCAGTATTGGTGAAGTCTATACTACTTTTGTCAAATACTGTTTTTTATTTTTGTCATGATGGTGAATAAATACAGTTACTGTTGTATGGAGCTCTCAAGCTAGTGAGGGAGACTGACAGTAAAAAGGGAAACAAAGGAATACATACATATTTTCAAGTTGTGGTGTGTGTTATGAAGAAAATGAACTGGGTTTAAGTAGAGTGGTAGAACAGGGGGAGGTGTGGTGCTGGGGAGGATGGGCTCATTTAGATGGGGACTACTCAGTGCTAAGACCTTCTGTGTAAGGCGAGGGATGCAAATATGAGTGATAACTGGTTCCAGATATCAGGAGGATCATTCTTAGGAGGTGGAGAGGCAATTACGGTGCTTGTGGCTATGGTGCTGAGGTCACAGTCACATTATGGGTGTGAATTTGAGCTGTTTTTGTGGTTGGTGGCTCCTGTGCATTTTTTTTTAACAGTTCTTCAGTCTTCCTGCTTTTATGAGGAGATGTCTTGAAGTTTGTGAAGTCAGGATAAGGCTGGGATTTAGTGTCTGGTCTTGAATGACTGGGTTTCTTGTGGGGCAGTGGTGGTGGGGGGCATTGCCCTAACTGGAGACCCTGTGGCCAACCATCTGGATTCTCTGAGGGCCATGTTCTTTGTTTCCTGACTCCTCCTTGCTCTGTCCCGGGCTCCAGACAGAATGAACTGTAAACCTTTCAGTGGGAAGATCTTTCTCCTTTCCTTGTTGCTCTTAGGCATTCCAGGCATAACCTTATTGTCCCCTGAATAGTCCCACTCATGTCTCTTCGCTATGCCCATGCTCTGTTTGTCCTGTTCCTCTTCATTTAAACCAAAGTAAAAAGTATTTAAAAAGTAAAAAAAAATTGGATAGAAAATACTATCAGTTATTAGGGAAAACTTACAGGCGGAGGACACAGAAAGCACCTACAGAAACTGTCAGGGCTGTAAAATAACAATTCCAGTATCTAGGGGTAAGCATCAGGGTACCTTTTCTCAGATATATCCCTGTCCTCTATATCCTGTGCAGAGGGATCCTAGCTAGTAGGCTCCTCATGCCTGATCTTAGTTCTCTGACTCTATTTCTATAGAACCAGCATAGACCTTATCTAGGGAGAGGAATAAGCCCACCAGGGATGCTAGAGAAGTAGCAGGAAGATGGGGAAAGGATATTTGTTATGAGCTCTGTTAGGTTGGGCACCCTAGAAGTAAAGCTTGAGACAGAGATTGAGATGTGGGACTTATTGCTGGAGTGCTCTTCTGAAAGACCAGTTAGGGACAGAGCAGAGGAGGAAAGGCAAGGACAATTTGCTGAGTAAGGATGTGCTCTCAGATCAAGTCTAGTCTCAGTTTGAACTAGGGATTGGGGTTGGGGACTGTGGTCCATAAACTTCACCAAGCCAGCAAGGTAGCTTTTCTACCCCAACGTAGGCTAGTCATTGGTTATGGGATAACCCCACACACCATGGGGTAGGGATATGTGTAAATCCTCAGAGTGGCAGCTCCATCAGCTGGAGGCAGCCATCCAATACTTACATCAGCTAGGGATGGGAGTACAGGTCTGATAAAGGGAATCTGAGGGGCATGCATCACCCAACATTGACCTCAGGGATGCCTAAAAGTTGGCACAATCTTTAAAAACAATTGTAATTTCTTAAATTGTGGTACATTGAAAAAGAGCCTTCAGTAACTCTCCTGTACCTCTCCTGCCCTTCATAGCTCTGAAACAAATGAAACTTTAGGTGGAGACAAATTAGATAGAGGCAAAAGGAACTTTAACACATCAAGTCTCTTTTCCACCACATTCAAGTTCAAGGTCTAATAGCTAAAGCTGCAGTGAAGAGGAAGGACCCACAAAAATATAGATGGATGGGCAGCAATGGAACATAAACAAAAGTGAAGTGCTCTCTGAGGAAGGTTGCCCTACACCAAGAACTTGATTTGTCCCTTTTTATGGTGGATAAATCTGTAACGCAAGAAAGATCCATAAGCTTGGCCTCCACTCATAAATACTAGCCTCACTTCACCAACTCCCTTAACTCGGATTCTGTGCTCACTAAGCAATCGTGTGACTGTAATTTGGTTTCCCAAACAGATCTTCCTGTGGTGAGAGAATGTTTTGTCATACTGACAGATACATTTCAGATGAACATAAGAGTTATATTTCTCACGGTAAATGAACAAATTGGGTCCCTGTTTGTACTTCAGTCAGTTGTGAGTTTGGTTTACTGGAGTCATTTTCCCCACGCCTAATCAATCCTGTGACAAGGATATAACAAATCACTTTCAAAACTGAGAATTAGAACTGGAGCCATGGTAACCTCCCTCAGTTTCTGTGCCCTCCTTGTGGTACATATCTTTTTAGTTTCAACACATAGATGTTCAAAGGATGATGGAAAAGTCTTTGAAACTTTGGTTATTTGCAGAGAAGATAGAAATTTACTTTGGTCTTTCTGAGTGCCTGTGTCAGGGAAGCACGCTGACCTCATAGAGGATGGTCAGGAGTAAATCTGCCACCATGCCATAGGCACTGAAAGCAGGTGATGAGACAATGGATGAAGGTAAGAACTTAAATCTCACAGCACAGGAAAGGAATGTAAATTATCTGTTCTTCTGCCTGTAAGTCCCACAGGGAGAGGCAATGAGCCCAGATAGAAGCAGTGCCTGTGGTAGGTCGAGTTGTTCTTAAAGTTTGGCACACTCAGCAATAATGTGCATGGATTCTTAGGGCCCCTGGAGGACAGCCTTTCCCAACAGTGCAGATTTCAGAGAGTTAGGATAGAGGAAGGTATTTCAAGAAGGAGAACAGCTGTGTAACTCATGTGAAGTAGAATTAGTTTGGCTGCAGAGGAAGTTCACTCAGAGGAGTCGGAAAGACACAGCCAGACAGGAAGCTTAGGACCAGATTTCAAGGGACCACAATCATCTGAAGAGTGCTGCTGTCCAAAGAGTACTAGAGATTCATATTATGGAGTCTTAAAAGCAGATTTTAGAGGTCTTTTATTCCAATTCCCTTATTTTACAGAAAGGTAATGGGCACAGGGAGGTCTATGACACTGCTGTGATCACATAACCAATTAATTAGTGGCAGGACTGGAAGCAATTTTAATTCCTGAAACAAAATAATTGGTTAATTCGTAGCGGCTGTTACTATTTTTTTCCTTTTTTCCAACTTTTATTTTAAGTTTAGGGGTACATGTGTAGGTTTGATACATAGGTAAATGTGTGCCATGGTGCACATGGCTGCACAGATCATCTCATCACCTAGGTATTAAGCCCAGCATCCATTAGCTATTCTTCCCGAAGCAGCTATTATTTTGAATAACATGACTTTTTCAAAATAAATGCCGTAAGTCTGCATAGTTAAAGATTTAGAACTTGAGAATCTGTAGAGGTTTTAGGAAATGGACATTTTAATTTCCCTTCTCCTCAACTCTAAGTCCTGGGACTGGTTACATGTCTCTCCTAAGGCAAGCCACACTCAGACTTGCAATGATCTTGTGTGGATAAAACTTTGGGCTGTGTTGAGGTTTTTCCAAAGAGAATTGAATTGGCTTCCCCAACCTCTGTCTTCCACAAATGGGTGGACCACATGACAAGCAGTGATGGAGCCTAGGGATGAGGACTGAGTAGGCAGAGGATGAGTATGCTAGGTCTCCTGACCCCAGGAGGTGGCCAAAGCCTGTTATTACACCATCGGATCATTAGACAAGATACTTTTCTAATCTTTTTTAAGGTTTAAGTCTTACCACCTTAAGATTCCAACACCAGACCTGACTCTTTTTTTTTTTTTTTTTGAGACGGAGTCTCGCTCTGTTCCCCCGGCTGGAGTGCAGTGGCGTGATCTCGGCTCACTGCAAGCTCCGCCTCCCGGGTTCACGCCATTCTCCTGTCTCAGCCTCCCGAGTAGCTGAGACTACACATGCCTGCCACCATGCCTGACTAATTTTTTGTATTTTTAGTAGAGACGGTGTTTCACCATGTTAGCCAGGATGGTCTCGATCTCCTGACCTTGTGATCCGCCTGCCTCGGCCTCCCAAAGTGTTGGGATTACAGGCATGAACCACCACGCCCAGCCCAGACCTGACTTCTAATGAGAAAAAATGGCCTGCCTATCTGAGTGGCTCCCAACCAGAGAGCTCAGAATTAGAGTAAACAATAAGAACATGTACCAGTGAAATAGGATTACTAGAGAATTAAAAGAACAGAGGATATATAAGGAGCAATAATAAGATGTAAACATCTTCTAGTATTCTCTGTATATCTACTGAAATGTGAGCAATCTGATTATAAGAAATATCCCGTGAACAGTGGGACTAATTTCTTGCCTGTGTGTCCCAGTAGGGTGAAACCTCCGTTAGGACAGGGATGTGTCTCTGTCATTCACCAACATATCCCCCAAACATCAAGCATATTGCCTGGCACATAGTAGGCAGTAACTGGAAGATGTTGAGTACATAAACAAATGAATGGACCATCACTTTCTCTTGGCTACTTTCTCTCTGCTACTTTCACTTTCTCTCTGCTACTTTCTCTTTCTCTCTGCTGCCTCATGTCTTCTTGTATTTATTTAGAACTTCCACATCCTATTAGATACCTTGCTCTCCATCTACAATGAGTTTTCCTAGAAAAACAATTCCAACACTTTACATTTCACTGCTATATTTCATGGCACCTTAAACAAGTTCTAAGAAACACTGACAAAATTTCTGGAAACTACATATGTCAAGCTGAATGCCCCGAGCTTATCTTTCTTATGGAGGGGATTAGCAAAGCTTGTGAAATCTGTGCAAAATCTCCATTACAAATGAACCTGGTCTGGCCAGAGGGACCTGAAAAGCACAGGAAAATCCTATGAGAATTTTTAAAAAGTTTAGCTGTCATGTCTGTCTTCTAAGCAGACAAGACATAGACATTGAGCCGTTGCCTTAAGATGTCTTAGAGATTGCAGAAAATTGGTTTGATTGGATCAATAATCCCATTTAAAATTATAAAGAAAGTATACATTTGGCTTCAAGGCAAAACTTTAAGAAGAAATTAAAGCTTTTGAGAAAGAAATGAGAAACAGAGATACAGGCCTTGGCAATCAGAGCCTTGGACGTTAAAGTAACAGGATATGTCTGAGTTACCTTTTATGCCCTTAAGATATTCCTCTTTTTTCAGCAGGAATTCAGTCTTCTGGGGGATTCAGTTCTCCACTATTTTTCTTTTGATTTGGTCCCAGTCTCTATTAAAGGTCCTTTATGACATATAATTTAGAATAGTATTTCAGAATGATACTTTCATCCACCATGCCTGGCTAAGTTTTGCATTTTTGGTACAGATGTGGTCTTGCTGTGTTGCCCAGGCTCATCTCGAACTCTTGGCCTCAAGTGATCCCCCTACCTTAGCCTCCTAAAGTGCTGGGATTACAGGCGTGAGCCACTGCACCTGGCCTAGACTTAAATTCATCTAACATTTATTGAAGCATCTTTTAGGTGGCAGGCATCTGCTTAGGATTAGGGATTAAAAGGTGAATAAGACAGACATGATTCTTGTCCCCAAGAATTTATAATTTAGTAAGAATATGACAAACTCACAATCATATACTGTGATATGGTCTGAGATAATGAAAGGGCAGGGTTCTGTGAAAGCACAATAGAGGGATACGCATGACTGCCACTTATGAATTGAAAGTGAAGAAGATTTAGATGAAGGAGGAGGGCTAGGAGTGAGGCCGGGTTGGGGGACCATAAATAGGGAAATCACACATACAAATTCAGATGCAAAAGTGGCAAGTTTGGGTAATGGATCCAGGAGATTGTGTGCATAGGCATAGCCACTGCACGTCTTTATGGCAGCTGTGTTCTCTGGCATAAGGTTGAATCTGCTCAGAGAAAGGGGTGTCTTTTCTCATTTGCACGGAAGTGTTATTTGGGATAGCTGTGGCTCTGTGAAGAGGTGAACTGGCACCAAATTATGAAGTACCTGTAAATTTTGAGTCCTGAGAGATTAGATTTCACTGGGGAGCCCACCAGTACTTTCAGCAGGAGAATTACAGATCATATGTGCATTTTAGACAGATCACTAATGAGACTGTGGAAGGTAAATTACATGAGGGGTAGGGAGATGGATGGGAAGAGTGTAGTAGTAGCCCAGAGAATAGATAAGGGAGGCCATATGGAGAAAAGTAATTGGTGAATCATCCGGATTATGGAGGTATGAGTGCAGGTTGATTGAGAAAACATTCACAATTGCTACAAAGAAAATAAAAGACATAGGAATACAACTTACAAGGGATGTGAAGGATTTCTTCAAGGAGCGCTACAAATTACTCCTCAAGGAAATAAGAGAGGACACAAACAAATGGAAAAATATTCTTTGCTCATGGATAAGAAGAATCAATATCATGAAAATGGCCATACTGCCCAAAGTAATTTATAGATTCAATGTTATTCCCATCAAACTACCACTGGCTTTCTTCACAGAACTAGAAAAAACTACTTTAAATTTCATATGGAACCAAAAAAGAGCCTGTATAGCCAAGACAATCCTAAGCGAAAAGAACAAACTGGGGGCATCATGCTACCTGACTTCAAACTACACTACAAGATTCCAGTAACCAAAACAGCATGGTACTGGTATCAAAACAGATGTATAGTCCAACAGAACAGAACGGAGGCCTCAGAAATAACACCACACATCTACAACCATCAGATTTTTGACAAACCTGACAAAAACAAGCAATGGGGAAAGGATTCCCTATTTAATAAACGGTGCTGGGAAAACTGGCTAGCCATATGCAGAAAACAGAAACTGGACCCCTTCCTTACACTTTATACAAAAATTAATTCAAGATGGATTAAAGACTTAAAACCTAAAACCGTAAAAACTCTAGAAGAAAACCTAGGTAATACCATTCAGAACATAGGCATGGGCAAAGACTTCATAACTAAAACACCAAAAGCAATTGCAACAAAAGCCAGTGTTGACAAATGGGATAGAATTAAACTAAATTAAGCTTCTGCACAGTAAAGGAAACTATCATCAGAATGAACATGCAGCCTACAGAATGGGAGAAAATTTTTGCAATCTATCCATCTGACAAAGCTTCTGCACGGCAAAAGAAACTATCATCAGAGTGAACATGCAGCCTACAGAATGGGAGAACATTTTTTGAGTCTATCCATCTGACAAAGGGCTAATATCCAGAATCTACAAGGAACTTAAACAAATTTACAAGAAAACAAACAACCCCATCAAAAAGTGGGCAAAGAATATGAACAGACACTTCTCAAAAGTGGCCAGTTGACATGTGAAAAAAAGCTCATCCTTCAATTCCCACTTATGAGTGAGAATATGCGGTGTTTGGTTTTTTGTTCTTGTGATAGTTTACTGAGAATGATGATTTCCAATTTCATCCATGTCCCTACAAAGGACATGAACTCATCCTTTTTTAAGGCTGCATAGTATTCCATGGTGTATATGTGCCACATTTTCTTAATCCAGTCTATCATTGTTGGACATTTGGCTTGGTTCCAAGTCTTTGCTATCGTGAATAATGCCGCAGTAAACATACGTGTGCATGTGTCTTTATAGCAGCATGATTTATAGTCCTTTGGGTATATACCCAGTAATGGGATGGCTGGGTCAAATGGTATTTCTAGTTCTAGATCCCTGAGGAATCGCCACACTGACTTCCACAATGGTTGAACTAGTTTACAGTCCCACCAACAGTGTAAAAGTGTTCCTATTTCTCCACATCCTCTCCAGCACCTGTTGTTTCCTGACTTTTTAATGATTGCCATTCTAACTGGTGTGAGATGGTATCTCGTTGTGGTTTTGATTTGCATTTCTCTGATGGCCAGTGATGGTGAGCATTTTTTCATGTGTCTTTTGGCTGCTAAATGTCTTCTTTTGAGAAGTGTCTGTTCATGTCCTTCGCCCACTTTTTGATGGGGTTGTTTGTTTTTTTCTTGTAAATTTGTTTGAGTTCATTGTAGATTCTGGATATTAGCCTTTGTGCACATGTACCCTAAAACTTAAAGTATAATAATAATAATAATAATAATAATAATAAATTTAAAAAAAAGCTCATCATCACTGGTCCTTAGAGAAATGCAAATCAAAACCACAATGAGATACTATCTCATGCCAGTTAGAATAGCAATCATTAAAAAGTCAGGAAACAACAGATGCTACAGAAGATTTGGAGAAATAGGAACACTTTTACACTGTTGGTGGGAGTATAAATTAGTTCAACCATTGTGGAAGACAGTGTTGCGATTCCTCAAGGATCTAGGACCAGAAATACCATCTGACCCAACATTGACTTCAGCTTTGGATGTGCTTGAATTTTTATAGTGATGGTGAATCCAAGTAGAGAGAGCTACAGGTAGTTGGATATGTGAGTCCACAGCTCAGGAAAAGATTGGGCTGAAGACACATATTAGGGTGTTATCAAAATATAGATGAAAATTCATAGGAATAGATGAGATTACCCAGAAGAAGTCTCAAAAGTTAAACGATAAGTGGACACATAATGGAATCTTGAGAGATTCTAGGGTTTAAAAGATGGATGGAGAAAGAATTGCCATCAAAGGATACTGAAAAATAGTAGCTAGAGATGCCAGTAGGCTCATTGGTCTAAAACGGGAAATCCCACTTTTTTGCTAGTGAATGGTTCTGGAGTGAGGATGTGACCCTCTTCAGGCTAATGACTTGCAGAGAGATTTCACTCTCCAAGACCCAGGGAGGAATAGAAAAATAAGCATATCTTAAAGAAAATAGGGATTAAAGCAAAACTTGTCAAAAATTGTAAATGTTTATGTCTACAAATGTCTCTTTAATGCTGCTTTTTTTTTTTTAAGAGATGGAGGTCTCACTTTGTTGCCCCCATCAGTGAGGAGATCATAGCTCACTGCAGTCTCAAACTCCTGGGATCAAGTGATCCTCCTGCCCCAGCCCCCTGAGTAGTTGGGGCTACAGGCATATGTATTTTTTTGTGTATTTGTATTTAATTATATAAAATAATAAAAATAAATTTATTTTTCTGTATATTTTTATCTAACCTGTTTTAATATAGTAAGTCATTGGTATCATTTGTAAATTACAATACAATTGACATATAGAATATGAATCTATTACAAAAAAATTTCAAACTTTGCCGTCAGCTTGGAATTTGTTCTTTACTTTTCTCCTTTGAAAGGAAACTTGTCAAAAGGTTTTGTTAAGTCCTTGCTCTCGTCTTGTCTGGACTGTGCTCCCAGCTTTTAGTTGAAGCAGGGCCATTGCTTGGGCTCATAGTCAGAGATGACTACCCTTCTGTCAGATGTAAACTATCTTCTGGTCCAGGGTGTAATAACTGAGAAGGCTCTGTTAATAAAAGTCTTTAGTTTAGCCTGTTATTGCTGAATGATTTTTTCATGGAGTACTTATTCTCCACATTCAAGAAATCAGTAACATTGTCATTTTAATATCTTCTTTTTATGGCAGATGCCATAAGCATATTTCCTTTCCCTTCCAGCACACTGCCTATTATGCAGATACAACTTTAACCAAGCAAAGTTGTAAGAGGTATAAATAAATAATTTTGCATTTTCCTCATAGGACAAATGACTAAATGCTAATTTGGAACCTGACAAACTTGGCTTGCTTGTTAGAAAATTTTAGAATAATGTGCCCCCTTACTGCAATTCATGCCATATATCCTATTTTATATGGCGAATCCCCAAATGAATAAAATGAATTGTGCTTCTCCTAATGCTATTTTCTGGAAGACAGGAAACTTATGTGTGGCAGAGACAGAAATTTAGTGTTGCTTCCACTGACCGAATCCTATTTTTCATTTATATATTCCTAGCATCTTAGGTTGAAATGATGTTATTTCTGTAAGTTTGTCTATATCATGACCCAAGATATCACCTCTGATATTTCATGAACCACTTTATTTCCTGAGGTTAAAGTGTCTGTATTTTTAGCAGGTACAGAGAGACATGGTCTTCTGTTGATGCTGAGAATTCTGTGCATACTAGGATGCCTACATTAAATGCAGTCTCTTTTTAAAGTTAGTAGAATTCTGTTTTTCTCTGATTCATTTAAAATTCTTGAAGAACTACTTAGTATTCAAAACCTAAGTAGCAAAAAGTGATAATGTTGCAGTTTGACCTCTAAAAGCTTCTACTTTTGATCCAAAGGTACTTTTCCACAAATATTTACTGAGTACCAGTTATTTGTTGGGCACTGA
The DNA here is from genome assembly GCF_000001405.40 of Homo sapiens. NCBI lineage: Eukaryota > Metazoa > Chordata > Mammalia > Primates > Hominidae > Homo > Homo sapiens. Next base: position 100,462,592 of record NC_000011.10, on the reverse strand, counting down.
TGTAGGGTCTGAGATAACACCAGTGAAAAGAACAAAGTTAGTGCTTTCATGTAGCTTATATTCTAGTTAAAAGAGAAAGGCAATACACAAGTAAACTCATAAATGTATTATATATCATGTGTGCTTTAGAGAAGGTAAAAATTAGAGAGTGGCAATTGTTGGGGGGTATTGTTAATATACATGAACTGGTCAGAAATGGCCTCTCTGATAAGGGCACATGTAAAATGAGGAACAAGAAGTAGATTTAGCAATTAAGAGGCCAGGTGACTGTAGATTTGGCAACTAAGAAGCCAGGTGACTGGAAAAACCATCTACATGACAGACGAATAGTCAGCTAATACATAGTCATTAACTACTGGTTGGTACCTGTTTCATACTAGTGATTAAATATTTTGAATATCTTCCCTATCCATGATGGCAACAAATTTTGACAAGAATATTTCTGTAGAAGGACACAGTAAAACAGGTGCTAAGTTCTTCGAGGAACAAGGGGGAATGAGCTGGAGGTGTGGATATGAATATGACAAGGAAGGACAGGTGATGGTGTGGCTTAATGGCTTGAGCTTCCAAATTGCTGAAGGGTTTTAGGGAGGAGGCAGAGATAACAGTCCTTGAGCACCAATGAGGAATAAGGTGGGCAGCCTCATACCCTCCACACCCAGTGAAACAAGTTGTGTGGGATAGAAAGACACCACTTGAGTTGGCTACATGTAAAGCAGCATCCTCAGAGGACAGCCAGATTTCAGTTAGACAGAAGTAGAGGAAATATTCAGAGAATAAATTAAGGATAAAGGGTGTTTTGTCAATGACAGGTGGCAATTCTCAGAGGGTATAGTAGAAGGTCAGAGAGGTCAAATATCAGTGGAAGCTCAAGTCAGATTAGGGGATATACAGACCTATATGGGGATAAGAGCCCGGGGGGTGGGGGATCATCAAAGGAGCACTCAGGTAGGGCAGGGAGTGATATGTTCTGAAGGCTTGTCACAGTGAGTGTGAGGAAGATGGATGTGGCATCTTTCTGGTGTGGGCATAGCTCCCTAGGTGGTTCAGTCATAGTAACAGTGGAGTGGAGGCAGCTGAGGCACTGTGACATCTGTAGGGATGTGTGACTCCATGGGCCCTCTCTGTGAGCTCTGCCTAATGCCACATCATGGACACCCCATATCCAATTAACCAGGTAAGTGCCACAGCTCTGCTTCAACCATACACATGACATCAAAACATCTGAGTCCAAATGGAAAACTTCATGTAATTATCCAGATGGTTTTTAAATATTCAGATGGTTTCATTACATTGAAAAAAAACTTTGTATGGCTATTGGTAGATTTAACTTTTGATTTCTTGCACTTCATATTTTAAATGTGCTTCTTTGTCTGTTTTGGCCAAAATTACCTACATCTGATATTCTGTAGATGTAAAGCCACTTCTTTACAAAGGAGGGGAGGCAGATCCTATATGAAGTTAATTCCTGAGTTTGATTAGAACTCACCAACGTATATAATTTCTTTTTCAAACAGAACAACACAGAACTTCTGAAAGAGTTGATCTCTGGATTCACCTTTTTTGGACAGTGAAGTTTCTCATCCAGCACTTTGCTTTATATATCAGGTTCAAGAGCATTTTGCAAAAAGAAGAAAGCATTGTAGAATTCTAGAGTCACTGGACTGGATTTTAACTCTTGTTGTGGCTTCTCAGGCTAACCAGTCCCTGCACAGATGAGGAAATAGACATGGTCAAGGCCCCAAATTACACTAGTGGCACACGCAGGACCAGATCCCAGAGACCTAGACTGTTGAATTTTGTTTTTCTTTGACATCTGGAGCAACAATCTCTCTGTAACTTTGTCAAATAACTCCCATTTCTCTTCAAGCTATTTCTGTTATCACACAAGGGTAAAACCGCAGAGGCTGAGAAGGCCGAGTCTCACAGTACTCAAATGAACCTATGAACAGATTTGGGCCTCTCTCCTCTCAATGAACTCTGCTCTGAGTGCTGGAATGGGGGCCAGGAAATTGAGGAATAAGTTGGCATTTGCTTAGTAGATACTATATTTCTTTCATCAGTTTCCTCAAGCATAAAATGAATACATAGGAGCCGATAATCTCCAAGGGCTTTTTAAACCCAAACTGTAGATAACCCTATGAAAGTCTTAGCAATCTCAGTTTTGCAGATGTGGACCAATAAGGATTTCTGAAATATTTTACTGAAAATAAGTCTTTAGCTGCAGCCTGTGAAGAAAATAATTGTTGAACTGTTACATGCATTTGTTGAAATTTTATTAATACATAGGCATCAACACAACTAGTTTGTATGCACCTTAGGAAAAAGAAACACATCCCTTATGATTTAACTTTTTTAGTTTTATTTCCACAAAGGAGACAAAGGCAGTTCACTTATTCTGCAATTACCGTAGGTGGAAAGCTATCAATAAAATCCCATGGTTTCCCCAGTGGTTATGCAATCCTAATAATTAAATCTACACATCTGCTAAATAACAGCAGATTCAAAGTCTAGCAATTTACATGGAAGAAAACAGATGTCATTCCAGTATAATCTCTTCACTTTCACCATGAGTGCTGTGAACGCTGCATACCCCACAGTGATTAATCTATCAAAATACTCTACTCCATTTACTCCATTTTATTACATCCTGTGTCACAGGAGATGGAGCAGCTGTTTCTGGATAGAAAGCAAAGAACTGGTACAAAATAAAGCATTCTCTGAATAGGTGCAGCAAACCGATTTCCTGAATTATTAAAAAAGAGAGATCAAGTGTCTACAATAGGGTGATTTTCAGAAACGCTGGTGGAACTACTGTCTCAATCAACAGCAAAAATTGAGAATGATCTGAAGCATACAATGAATAGGTACATTTTCCCTTCACAGAGAAATACTCTGCAATGCAATGCAATTCCATCCTTCTGAGTTAAAAACCCAAGTCGTATCCTCTGTGAAACACAGCAATTCTATTTGAAGAGCAGGTTCTTTCTTAATTTAGTTGCCATTAAATAAAACCCCATCATAAGGGAAAAATAACAACATGTGAGATAATCCGAAATTCTGAAAACTTATGCTGAGAAGTTTAGAAAGAAAAAAGTAGGGTTTGTTATTCTAGGCAAATTTATTTGGTTATGAAAATTGTTATCAAAAAGGACATTGAATATTTGCTGGGAAGTTACCAAATAAATTTTCTTTGATGCAAATGAGATTAAAAGAAAAGAAGGTGGAGAAATTTAAAAATGCATATATTTAATGTATTCTTAGAAAGAAACATCGTATTTTATTAGATGAACAACTGAAACTTTGGTTCACATATGAATTTCTTGGAGTGCTAAAATCCCCAGAGATTTTGATTCAATGAATCCCGGATGAGGTTCAGGAATCTGAATTTTTAAGATGCCAGCTAGTTAATTCTGATGCAAGTCATCCTTGGATGATTCTGAGAAATGTGATCTAAATCATAGTTCAGATAAACACGTATTGGTACTCTCATGTAGTATGTATACATTGTAGGGACTCAACGCATGTTTACCAAAAGCATGGGACAATGAAGAACTTTATCTTTGGAGTCAGACATTTGTGCTTAGGTCGTAGTTCTTCCTTTTGCTAGCATTTTCATTTTGGGCTAAATCTTTATTCTTTCTCAACCTTAGTCTTATCATCTGTAAAAGGAGTGCACACAAACTTACCTTCTAGAGTTATTTTGAAAATTTGTAATTAATAATTAACTCCTTGCAGGATCAGTCTACAATCGTCACCTTTCATTCCTTTCCTCCAGTTCTTTTTTCAACTCTCTTATATCACGCTTCTGCCCCCACAGAAACAAAAACCATCAATACTGCTCTTGTGATCACAAATGACCTCCACCTTGTTGAATCCAATGGCCAGGGATTAGTCTTCATCTTATCTGACCCATTAGCAGGATTCATATAATTGTTTGTGCCTTTTTCTTCAATAGAATTTCTTTGCATATCTTCTGAGAATCAAATTTTCATGGCTTTCCTCACACCTTGCCTGTTGTTCCTTCTTGGTCTCCTTTGCTGGCTCCTCCTCTTCTCACTGACCTATCCGTGTTGGAGTACTCCAGGGCTCTGTCCTTGGTCCTCTTCTCTATCTATATTCACTCTCTGGTTTTAGATATCACATCTGACGTCTACCGAATTTATATCTCTGGTATAGACTTTTCCCCCTGAACATACCAGAATCATATATCAAACTGTCTCTTTACTATATCTACTTGGATGTCTACTAGACATTTTGAATTGAACACAGCCAAAACTGAACAGCTGATTTTTTCCTCCACTCCCCCAAACCTGCTGTAGGTATAACTTTCTCCATCTCAGCCAATGACAAATTCATCCTTCCAGTTGCTCAGGACAAAACCTTGGAGTCATGCTTGATGCCTCTCTTCATCTCATACCCCATATCCAATCCCTCTGGAGATCCTTATGACTCTCCCCTATTTTCCCACCTCCATGGCTATCATTCTGATGAGAGCCACCATGATCTTTTTCCTGAAATAGTGCAAAACCCTAACTAATTGCCTAACGACTTTCCCTGATTTCACCTTTGCCTCTCTGCAGTCTATCCTTTACAAAGCAAAGAAAAATCCTTTTAAAGTGTGAGTCAGATCATACTACTCTGCTACTAAAAACCATTCAATGACTTTCTTTTTTATTTATTTATTTATTTATTTATTTATTTATTTATTTATTTATTATACTTTAAGTTTTAGGGTACATGTGCACATTGTGCAGGTTAGTTACATATGTATACATGTGCCATGCTGGTGCGCTGCACCCACTAACTCGTCATCTAGCATTAGGTATATCTCCCAATGCTATCCCTCCCCCCTCCCCCCACCCCACCACAGTCCCCAGAGTGTGATATTCCCCTTCCTGTGTCCATGTGATCTCATTGTTCAATTCCCACCTATGAGTGAGAATATGCGGTGTTTGGTTTTTTGTTCTTGCGATAGTTTACTGAGAATGATGATTTCCAATTTCATCCATGTCCCTACAAAGGACATGAACTCATCCTTTTTTATGGCTGCATAGTATTCCATGGTGTATATGTGCCACATTTTCTTAATCCAGTCTATCATTGTTGGACATTTGGGTTGGTTCCAAGTCTTTGCTATTGTGAATAATGCCGCAATAAACATACGTGTGCATGTATCTTTATAGCAGCATGATTTATAGTCCTTTGGGTATATACCCAGTAATGGGATGGCTGGGTCAAATGGTATTTCTAGTTCTAGATCCCTGAGGAATCGCCACACTGACTTCCACAATGGTTGAACTAGTTGACCGTCCCACCAACAGTGTAAAAGTGTTCCTATTTCTCCACATCCTCTCCAGCACCTGTTGTTTCCTGACTTTTTAATGATTGCCATTCTAACTGGTGTGAGATGGTATCTCATTGTGGTTTTGATTTGCATTTCTCTGATGGCCAGTGATGATGAGCATTTTTTCATGTGTTTTTTGGCTGCATAAATGTCTTCTTTTGAGAAGCATCTGTTCATGTTCTTCGCCCACTTTTTGATGGGGTTGTTTGTTTTTTTCTTGTAAATTTGTTTGAGTTCATTGTAGATTCTGGATATTAGCCCTTTGTCAGATGAGTAGGTTGCGAAAATTTTCTCCCATTTTGTAGGTTGCCTGTTCACTCTGATGATGGTAGTTTCTTTTGCTGTGCAGAAGCTCTTTAGTTTAATTAGATCCCATTTGTCAATTTTGTCTTTTGTTGCCATTGCTTTTGGTGTTTTGGACATGAAGTCCTTGCCCATGCCTATGTCCTGAATGGTAATGCCTAGGTTTTCTTCTAGGGTTTTTATGGTTTTAGGTCTAACATTTAAGTCTTTAATCCATCTTGAATTGATTTTTGTATAAGGTGTAAGGAAGGGATCCAGTTTCAGCTTTCTACATATGGCTAGCCAGTTTTCCCAGCACCATTTATTAAATAGGGAATCCTTTCCCCATTGCTTGTTTTCCTCAGGTTTGTCAAAGATCAGATAGTTGTAGGTATGCGGCGTTATTTCTGAAGGCTCTGTTCTGTTCCATTGATCTATATCTCTGTTTTGGTACCAGTACCATGCTGTTTTGGTTATTGTAGCCTTGTAGTATAGTTTGAAGTCAGGTAGTGTGATGCCTCCAGCTTTGTTCTTTTGGCTTAGGATTGACTTGGCGATGCGGGCTCTTTTTTGGTTCCATATGAACTTTAAAGTAGTTTTTTCCAATTCTGTGAAGAAAGTCATTGGTAGCTTGATGGGGATGGCATTGAATCTGTAAATTATCTTGGGCATTATGGCCATTTTCACGATATTGATTCTTCCTACCCATGAGCATGGAATGTTCTTCCATTTGTTTGTATCCTCTTTTATTTCCTTGAGCAGTGGTTTGTAGTTCTCCTTGAAGAGGTCCTTCACATCCCTTGTAAGTTGGATTCCTAGGTATTTTATTCTCTTTGAAGCAATTGTGAATGGGAGTTCACTCATGATTTGGCTCTCTGTTTGTCTGTTGCTGGTGTATAAGAATGCTTGTGACTTTTGTACATTGATTTTGTATCCTGAGACTTTGCTGAAGTTGCTTATCAGCTTAAGGAGATTTTGTGCTGAGACAATGGGGTTTTCTAGATATACAATCATGTCATCTGCAAACAGGGACAATTTGACTTCCTCTTTTCCTAATTGAATACCCTTTATTTCCTTCTCCTGCCTAATTGTCCTGGCCAGAACTTCCAACACTATGTTGAATAGGAGTGGGGAGAGAGGGCATCCCTGTCTTGTGCCAGTTTTCAAAGGGAATGCTTCCAGTTTTTGGCCATTCAGTATGATATTGGCTGTGGGTTTGTCATAGATAGCTCTTATTATTTTGAAATACGTCCCATCAATACCTAATTTATTGAGAGTTTTTAGCATGAAGCGTTGTTGAATTTTGTCAAAGGCTTTTTCTGCATCTATTGAGATAATCATGTGGTTTTTGTCTTTGGCTCTGTTTGTATGCTTGATTACATTTATTGATTTGCGTATATTGAACCAGCCTTACATCCCAGGGATGAAGCCCACTTGATCATGGTGAATAAGCTTTTTCATGTGCTGCTGGATTCATTTTGCCAGAATTTTATTGAGGATTTTTGCATTAATGTTCATCAAGGATATTGGTCTAAAATTCTCTTTTTTGGTTGTGTCTCTGCCAGGCTTTGGTATCAGAATGATGCTGGCCTCATAAAATGAGTTAGGGAGGATTCCCTCTTTTTCTATTGATTGGAATAGTTTCAGAAGGAATGGTACCAGTTCCTCCTTGTACCTCTGGTAGAATTCGGCTGTGAATCCATCTGGTTCTGGACTCTTTTTGGTTGGTAAACTATTGATTATTGCCACAATTTCAGCTCCTGTTATTCGTCTATTCAGAGATTCAACTTCTTCCTGGTTTAGTCTTGGGAGAGTGTATGTGTCAAGGAATGTATCCATTTCTTCTAGATTTTCTAGTTTATTTGCGTAGAGGTGTTTGTAGTATTCTCTGATGGTAGTTTGTATTTCTGTGGGATCGGTGGTGATATCCCCTTTATCATTTTTTATTGCATCTATTTGATTCTTCTCTCTCTTTTTCTTTATTAGTCTTGCTAGCGGTCTATCAATTTTGTTGATCCTTTCAAAAAACCAGCTCCTGGATTCATTAATTTTTGGAAGGGTTTTTTGTGTCTCTATTTCCTTCAGATCTGCTCTGATTTTAGTTATTTCTTGCCTTCTGCTAGCTTTTGAATGTGTTTGCTCTTGCTTTTCTAGTTCTTTTAATTATGATGTTAGGGTGTCAATTTTGGATCTTTCCTGCTTTCTCTTGTGGGCATTTAGTGCTATAAATTTCCCTCTACACACTGCTTTGAATGCGTCCCAGAGATTCTGGTATGTTGTGTCTTTGTTCTCATTGGTTTCAAAGAACATCTTTATTTCTGCCTTCATTTCATTATGTATCCAGTAGTCATTCAGGAGCAGGTTGTTCAGTTTCCATATAGCTGAGCGGTTTTGAGTGAGATTCTTAATCCTGAGTTCTAGTTTGATTGCACTGTGGTCTGAGAGATAGTTTGTTATAGTCTCTGTTCTTTTACATTTGCTGAGGAGAGCTTTACTTCCAAGTACGTGGTCAATTTTGGAATAGGTGTGGTGTGGTGCTGAAAAGAATGTATATTCTGTTGACTTGGGGTGGAGAGTTCTGTAGATGTCTATTAGGTCTGCTTGGTGCAGAGCTGAGTTCAATTCCTGGGTATCCTTGTTGACTTTCTGTCTCGTTGATCTGTCTAATGTTGACAGTGGGGTGTTAAAGTCTCCCATTATTAATGTGTGGGAGTCTAAGTCTCTTTGTAGGTGTATAAGGACTTGCTTTATGAATCTGGGTGCTCCTGTATTGGGTGCATATATATTTAGGATAGTTAGCTCTTCTTGTTGAATTGATCCCTTTACCATTATGTAATGGCCTTCTTTGTCTCTTTTGATCTTTGTTGGTTTAAAGTCTGTTTTATCAGAGACTAGGATTGCAACCCTTGCCTTTTTTTTGTTTTCCATTTGCTTGGTAGATCTTCCTCCATCCCTTTATTTTGAGCCTATGTGTGTCTCTGCACGTGAGATGGGTTTCCTGAATACAGCACACTGATGGGTCTTGACTCTTTATCCAATTTGCCAGTCTGTGTCTTTTAATTGGAGCATTTAGTCCATTTACATTTAAAGTTAATATTGTTATGTGTGAATTTGATCCTGTCATTATGATGTTAGCTGGTTATTTTGCTCATTAGTTGATGCAGTTTCTTCCTAGTCTCGATGGTCTTTATATTTTGGCATGATTTTGCAGCTGCTGGTACCGGTTGTTCCTTTCCATGTTTAGCGCTTCCTTCAGGAGCTCTTTTAGGGCAGGCTTGGTGGTGACAAAATCTCTCAGCATTTGCTTGTCTGTAAAGTATTTTATTTCTCCTTCACTTATGAAGCTTAGTTTGGCTGGATATGAAATTCTGGGTTGAAAATTCTTTTCTTTAAGAATGTTGAATATTGGCCCCCACTCTCTTCTGGCTTGTAGGGTTTCTGCTGAGAGATCTGCTGTTAGTCTGATGCGCTTCCCGTTGAGGGTAACCCGACCTTTCTCTCTGGCTGCCCTTAACATTTTTTCCTTCATTTCAACTTTGGTGAATCTGACAATTATGTGTCTTGGAGTTGCTCTTCTTGAGGAATATCTTTGTGGTGTTCTCTGTATTTCCTGAATCTGAACGTTGGCCTGCCTTGCTAGATTGGGGAAGTTCTCCTGGATAATATCCTGCAGAGTGTTTTCCAACTTGGTTCCATTCTCCGCATCACTTTCAGGTACACCAATCAGACGTAGATTTGGTCTTTTCACATAGTCCCATATTTCTTGGAGGCTTTGCTCATTTCTTTTTATTCTTTTTTCTCTAAACTTCCCTTCTCGCTTCATTTATTTCATCTTCCATCGCTGATACCCTTTCTTCCAGTTGATCGCATCGGCTCCTGAGGCTTCTGCATTCTTCACGTAGTTCTCGAGCCTTGGTTTTCAGCTCCATCAGCTCCTTTAAGCACTTCTCTGTATTGGTTATTCTAGTTATACATTCTTCTAAATTTTTTTCAAAGTTTTCAACTTCTTTGCCTTTGGTTTGAATGTCCTCCCGTAGCTCAGAGTAATTTGATCGTCTGAAGCCTTCTTCTCTCAGCTCGTCAAAGTCATTCTCCATCCAGCTTTGTTCCGTTGCTGGTGAGGAACTGCGTTCCTTTGGAGGAGGAGAGGCGCTCTGCATTTTAGAGTTTCCAGTTTTTCTGTTCTGTTTTTTCCCCATCTTTGTGGTTTTATCTACTTTTGGTCTTTGATGATGGTGATGTACAGATGGGTTTTTGGTGTGGATGTCCTTTCTGTTTGTTAGTTTTCCTTCTAACAGACAGGACCCTCAGCTGCAGGTCTGTTGGAATACCCTGCCGTGTGAGGTGTCAGTGTGCCCCTGCTGGGGGGTGCCTCCCAGTTAGGCTGCTTGGGGGTCAGGGGTCAGGGACCCACTTGAGGAGGCAGTCTGCCCGTTCTCAGATCTCCAGCTGCGTGCTGGGAGAACCACTGCTCTCTTCAAAGCTGTCAGACAGGGACATTTAAGTCTGCAGAGGATACTGCTGTCTTTTTGTTTGTCTGTGCCCTGCCCCCAGAGGTGGAGCCTACAGAGGCAGGCTGGCCTCCTTGAGCTGTGGTGGGCTCCACCCAGTTGGAGCTTCCTGGCTGCTTTGTTTACCTAAGCAAGCCTGGGAAATGGCGGGCGCCCCTCCCCCAGCCTCGCTGCCGTCTTGCAGTTTGATCTCAGACTGCTGTGCTAGCAATCAGCGAGACTCCGTGGGCATAGGACCTTCTGAGCCAGGTGCGGGAAATAATCTCATGGTGCGCAGTTTTTTAAGCCGGTCCGAAAAGCGCAATATTCGGGTGGGAGTGACCCGATTTTGCAGGTGTGACCATCACCCCTTTCTTTGACTCGGAAAGGAAACTCCCTGACCCCTTGCACTTCCCAGGTGAGGCAATGCCTCGCCCTGCTTCGGCTCACGCACGGTGCGCACACCCACTGACTCGCGCCCACTGTCTGGCACTCCCTAGTGAGATGAACCCGGTCCCTCAGATGGAAATGCAGAAATCACCCGTCTTCTGCTTCGCTGACGCTGGGAGCTGTAGACCACAGCTGTTCCTATTCGGCCATCTTGGCTCCTCCCCCCAAAACCATTCAATGACTTTCTATGTCACTTAGTAGAAAAAGCCAAGTTCTCATTATGACCTACCAGTTCCTATGATGTGGTCCCCATTTTGTCTTTAACCTTATTTCCTCATCTCCATTATCCTCCAGCCAAACTGACTTCTGCTATTCCTGAGCCTAGCGTGACTGCACTGACATTTCAACCTACCTGGAATACTCTACTCCTGGCTTTCTCGTGGCTTTCTCCCTCACCTTCTTCAAGTCTTTGCTCAAAAGTTACCTTCTTAGTGAGTCCTCCCCTGACCACCCTACTTAAAACTATACCCTCTACCCTTTCCTTGACTCTTCCTGTCTCCTTCCCCATTTATTTTTATACATAATATATATCATTTTCTATATTATATAATTTACTTATTTTTATTACTGGTTGACTGATTGTAAGCTCTATGATGACAGGGATTTCTTTTCTTCTTTTATTCACTGTTGTGTCCCTAGCACCCAAAATATTGCCTGACACATGGTAGATGCTCAATAAATATTTATTGAATAAAGTAATGAATGACCCTGATTTTTATTAATATAATCCATTAGTGCATTAAATACTTTTATAGATATTGAGATAGTCTTCCTGAAATAAAACCAGTTTGAAAATGACTTCATTTGATATATAACTCATATGCTTCTTTTTAAAAATTGATCATAATAGATGACAGGTAGAAGGGCTTAGAGTGTGCAAAATGTTCTACATGCCTTACATACATCCCTTCGTTTAACACTTATAAATGACCATGAAGATGACATTATAATTATTATCTCTATTTTGCAGATGAGGAAAGTGATGAATAGAGAGGTCAAGTGATTTGTTCAAGGTTACACAGCTATTAAGCTTCAGAGCTGGGATTCAAGAGTAGGGAGACTTCTCCAGACTCTGCTTTGACAACATCCTGGGAAAATAGCCACATGGGGTCACAGAATAACTCAGTGACTAGTTGTGTTCAAAACACTGTCTGTTTGATGGTTTAAAATTACTTTTCAACAGTTGTGTGTCAGATGTAGTCGGCCTTTGATTCACCTTTTGGATAGTCCCTATTGCTTTGTTCCTAAGACTTAGAACTGTAAATTGCTAAGTATTTATCTGTATTTCTTGCATTTTTGACTGCTAGAGGCTAATCAAGTACATGCCCTATCTGAGAAAAAATTTTATAAGTATATGTTATAGGCCTATTGGGTACTCCTAGCTTGGTCCGTTTTCTTTTCTTCAGTAGAAATAACAGCTTGGCCTCAAACAAGCTTTCAAGGAGACCCAGATGGTGAATAATAATTTTAATGATCCATTGTTCAGTTTTAAAAAGATATCAGTCTAGTCATTAACGAAAGTCAGGAAATTGCTTTACTGTAGTAAAGTACTGTCAAAAGACCATTTATAAATTGTAAGGATATTACTTTTTCAATTAAATTTAAATATGATAATGAATGAAGAGAGAGGTGTACCAGTTCATAATTAGAGGAACTTGTATAAACAGAAAGATGAGAAAAAACATGAAGATTATCAAAGTACTCATAATTTCTATGAGCAGAAGCCTCAAGAGCTCTATCTAAGGGGTCAGTGCTAAATGACTGCTATTATATTTTAACCTAGTTTGCTTGGGTTATTTTTAAACTTTTGACTTTTATTGTAGAGATGTGTTATCTACTAGAGACCAAATCTGTAAAAGATTTGGTTCAAATTCTGATTGAGGTCATCAGTGATTATGGGAGAACTCATAAATAATATTCCTTACCTTCTGGATAGAGATTGGGATTTCAAGAGCCCATTAATAATGGTTATTCTTTACTATTCTCTGTAGTTGGATAGAAGCAAGGTTAGACTGCCCTGAGGAAACAGGAAAAAAAGTTTATGCATGAACTTTCTGATAACCTGGAGAAAGTTAACTGAAAATCTATGGTCAAAGTGCTAAAAGTAGTAAATAATTTACTATAAAACTTTAGACTTCTTTTGGTTTTCAGTTGAAAATGACAATGCTTTTGGCTTTAGAAGTTTATTTATAACTTGAAGTCATCTTTGCAAGAATATAATTATATTCTAAGTCATGGTATGTGAAATCTGATGGCTTTTCATTGATACATTAATATATGTAAACATTTTTAGGCAGTTATTGTTCTTTTGAAAGTTATTCAGTATCTTCCACAAACTGGGGACCTTAATGAATCCCAGAACTTGAATTCATACATAAAACTGAACCTTGATTAGAGTTAGATATACCACTGTGCAGTGGATAATGTTGTTACCCACCTGGTATTTATTCCCCTTTTCCTCTTTTCTGACAGAACCTAAGTTCAGATATCCACCTCAGCCTTCTAGTCCTGGGAAAGCTGACTCCACTGCAGAGGAGGTAGAACCTGATTAGTTTAAGCTATTTAACCTATTTAACATAAGACCTTCCTTTGAAGACTACTATTGGATCAGGGTTGATACATGACTTATTTTGACAATTCAGATTGTAGAAAAGGACATATATTCCATGAGTGTGGGAGAGGTCTTTCTTTCTCTTTTCTGTTCAGTATAAACAAGAAAGTGTGAAGTTCTAATGTCCAAAGATGGTTAACTTGAAGTAATTAGAGATCACTTTCAGGATGAAACTGATACTGAGGATTGCTGAGTAGAGGGAAAGAAAGAACTTCAAGCCTTGATAAAATAATTGAACTCTCTGATTGAACTGAACATAGAGTTCTCACACTTTTGGGCTTCCCTTAATGGTAGATATTCAATATCCTATTATTGTAACTACTTTGAAGCCATACTTCATAACAAAATACAATAGGCTGGGTGGCTTCAACTACAGACATTTATTTCTCATAGGTCTAAAGGTTGGAAAGCCCAAGATCAAGGTTCCAGCAGATTTGGTTCTTGGGGAAAGGCATTCTTTATGGGCTGTAGATGGCCACCTTCTTGCTGTATCCTCACATGGCAGGAAGAGGAAGCTCTGATGTGTCTTTCTCTTATAAGGGCGTTAGTCCCATCATGTGGATTCCACCCTCATAATCTCATACAAACCGAATTACCTCCCAAATGCACCACCTCCTAATAACTCACATTGGGAGTTAAGGCTTCAGTATATGAGTTTGGGGGGAACACAAACATTTAGTCTATAACATTCTACCTGGGCTCCCCAAAATTCATGCCTTTCTCACGTGCAAAATACATTGATTCCATCCCAACAGTCCCAAATGTCTTAATTGTTTCAGCATCAACTCTAAAGTCTCATCTAACATTATCTACATCAGACAACAATGAGACTTGAGTCACCATTCATCCTGAGGGAAAATTCCTCTTTAATGGCAAACCTTCAAATCCAGATAAATTATGTGCTTGCAAAATGCGATGGTGGGACAAGTATAAAATAGACATTTCTATTCCAAAAGAGAGAAATTGGAAGGAAAAAAGGAACAAGTTCCAAGCAAGTCCCAAACCTATCTTGACAAATTCCACTAGATCTCAAGGCTCCAGGATAATCCTCTCTGGTTTGATGCTTTGCCTTTTGGACCCACTGGGGATGCAGTCCCACTTCTACAGTAATGCTTTGTGGAGGGTTGCACCCTCAGGACTCTGCTAGATGGAGGTTGGGTAACCAAGGCTCAGGGAGCCTGCCTCCACAGTTCTAGGTGGCTGCCCTCTGGCCTGTTGAAATTGAGGCAATGGCCCTACCATATTGAAACTGAAACATCAGAGATGTCTGATGATTTCTGAATCATCTTCGGGGTTGTTTTTCCCTTGTCTCAAAGATCAGTGCTTATTCACATCCATATAGCCTTACGATACAGTTCTGTAGGACCTAAGAAGTCCAATAGCTTTCTTCCATTTTATCCCATCTGCATTCTCTTCAGTTATAACTGGCAGTGTTTACCCTTAGGTGGTTGATGATGTCTGTGGCTCACACTCATACTAATCTCCTTATCAAACAGTTGTTCAGCCCCACTCTTGGTATTCTCTGCAATATGGATAGACTGAGAATTTTACAAATCTTTAAGTTCTGGTCCTTTTCTTCTTAACAATTCCTTCTTCAATTTATATCTTTTCCTTTGTTTTATGATAAGCAGTCAGGAATAACTAAGCTGCATGTTCAACATTTTGCTTAAAAATCTCTTTGGCTAAATATCCAGTTTCATTGCTCATAAGTTCTACCTTTCACAAAACATTAGAACACAAACACAATTCAGCCAAGTTCTCTGCCACTTTATAACTAGGATCATCCTTTGTCCATTGTCCAATAATAGGTTCTTCATTTCCATCTGAGGCCTCACCAGAATGGCCTTTATCATCCATAGTTCTACCAACATTATGTTCATGATTATTTATGTGCTCTCTTAGAAGATGGACACTTTTTCTATAGTTCTCCTTTTCTTTCTGAGTCCTCACCAGAATCAACTGTAGCACTCTCTTCACAGCCATCTTGGCCTTTTCTAGCAGACACCCAAAAACTCTTCCAACCTCTACCCATTACCCAGTTCCAAAGCTGCTTCCACACTTCTAGCTCTTTGTTACAGTGCACCTCACTTCTTGGTATCAATTTCTATCTTAGTCAGCATGGACTGCTATAATAAAATACCGAAGATTGGGTGGCTTAAATAACACTTATTTTTTCACAGTTCTGGAGGCTGGAACTCCAAGATCAATGTGCTAGCATGGTTAGGTTCTAGTGAGGCCCTCTTGATGGCTTGCAGACAGCCACTTTCTCACTATATGTTCACATGGCCTTTCCTTGGTGTGTGCATGTGGGGGAGAGAGATAGAGAGAAAGACAGAGAGAGAGAGAGAGAGACAGAGAGAGAGAGAGAAAGATCTTCCTCTTCTTATAAGGGCAGTAATCTCATCCCGGGGGGCTCTACTGTCAAGAGCTCATCTACGCCTAGGTACTTCCCAAAGGCTCCATCTCCTAATACCATGGGGGTTAGGGCTTCTCCTCTTTGGAGAAGAATAAACTTTCAGTCCATAGCAGAGGGCTTATAATTTTATCTGAGACTTGGAGTTTCAGAGCCACCTACCATTGTCTGCATGGTCTGAGATGTAATGGCCATAATCAATCATCCTGCTGGAATGCCCTTCACACTTGGGAAAAATTCTCCTTGGGCAGCAGGAGGGAAGTAGGAAACAAATCCTGAAGCAAGACCAACGCTTATTTGTCTTCTAGCTTTCCTGGGAGGTAGAAAAGAACCTGCATAGGGGAGGTTAGATGAAGAAAACTCCTAAGAAAGAGACAAAAAGCTGGGAGCAGAAAGTAATTTGTGTCTTTATAGGCATACCTAGTAGTCTTGTAGAGAATAAAAGGGTGGGATACTGCACACTGACCTATTTGCTAGCACTATATAGAGAGAGTGATTTCCACATAAGAGTCAGAGTCTAAGACTTTTGGATCAAGAGCAGCAGCAGATGCTCAGGGCTTCACGGCAGAGCTAAAAGAAATTTATCTTCAGGAGAAGCTTGTGAGCAGACAACTTGGGAAATGTAAGAAAAGCTTCACTTTTCAAAGTATTTTAGAGGAAACTGACCCATGAAATGGGGATTGAGGTGGCACTGGATATTGATGATTATGTTACATTTATATGTAACACAACGTAAGTGGCAAGACTCTCTTCCATTTTTGTTCCTGAAGGAGAGAATCTTTGCTAGCCTTTACTGTGACCAGCACTCAAAATCTACTTTGCAACCTTCAAAGAAAGGAGGGAGTATGTCAAACCATTGCAGTTGTAACGCACATCCTTCCATTGGAAATTTCAGACTTTTTACTGGAGGTATTGCAAACTCGAGTGCCACTTGAGCACACCAGGAATCTCTCCATTAGACCAGGGTTTGGCAAATCTTTTTTGAAAAATGTCAAGGAGAAAAAAATTTAGGCTTGGGGGGCCATATGCTTTCTGTTGCATCTACTCAGCTCCACCACTGAGGCAGAAAGCAGCCACAGACAATACATAAATAAATGAGTATGGCTGTGCTCCAATAAAACCTTATTTATGGTCACTGAAATCTAACTTTCATATAATTTTCAAGTGTCACATTATATGTCACATATTTTTTTAATTGTGTTTTTCTACTATATAAAAATGTAAAAACTATTTTTAGCTTGTGAGCCACATAAAAACAGGTGGTAGGTTTGACTTGGCCTGTGGGCCATAATTTGCTGCCTCCTGCACTAGACAGTAGCCAGCCATAGAGGGCAATGGACCTCTTTCCCGTGAAGAAGGGTGAATGCCAGTCTCTTAACACCAGTTCAGCCTCTTCACCTTTGAGAGCAGTTTCCCTTCAATAAATCACCTGTAAAGTACATCCTTCTCACAAAGACAAGCATTAATTTTCCTCTGAAAAAATGCAGGCTTGCCTGTAATGAGGAAAGGACATTTTTCCTATCAGCTTGGGTTTTGTGTTTTGTCCTTTGTGAACAACAGACTGCTCTATTGCTATGCTGAGAAGCATTTGGCTCTGATTTTGCCAGACCTGAAACTTGGCTGAATCACAAGAACAACCACGCTGGTTGTCAATGACTGTTCTTTTTGGTGCCAGAAGGAATGGTGCCAACTATGATTAAATTCTTTTGATTTCTGGCCTCCTGCTGATGGGGACAATAAGAGGAGGTACCTGCCAGTTCTCCCAACCCATATATACATTTTTAAAAGCAAAAATACCACTATATTGTACATGTTGTTTCTCTTTAAGAAAAGACAATATAGCCAACATTTTTCCATATTATCTATAATATTATTGTAAATGGCTATTCACTATTTCATCATACATTATAAAATGACTTGACTAAGTTCTCCATTTTTGGTATTAAGTGTTGATAATTTTAAAATCTTAAAAAATCGTGTGATGAAATTTCTTTAAGATATATCTTTGTGCTGATTCGTGATTGTGTTTTCAGGCTGAGTTCCTGGAAATGAAATTGCTGGAGTAAGCATGTATTAAAGGCTTTTGATAAGTGTCACAAAAATACACTCTAGATTTAGCTCAATCAATTTATATTCCCATCAGCAATACATGAAAGTTTCAATTTCTCTGTACTCTTGCCATTAAAAATTTAATTTGTTAGGAAGGCACAAAGCAAAATGTACTTTTAAGTAAAATGTTGTATTTCTATATATCTTTCTCAATATTGTGAATATTTAATGGGGCAAGGACACTGTCTTCTTGGATGTTAATTCTAGGTTCCTAGCACAATGCCTGGCATATAGTAGCTATTCAATAAATTTGGTTTGAATTAAACATGAAAGAAAAAGGAGATAATATTGCTTATATCTAGATATGCACTTTACATATTTTCCTCAATTTTTCAGACCAGTTAATTTGTTATAAATATGATCTGATTAAACTTATTGAGGTCTGCTTTTTATAAGCTATGCTTACTAATATACTTTTAAAAAATATGACTTAAAATGTAGAATAGAGGCCGGGCACGATGGCTCACTCCTGTAATCCCAGCACTTTGGGAGGCTGAGGCGGGCAGATCACGAGGTCAGGAGATCAAAACCATCCTGGCTAACACGGTGAAACCCCGTCTCTACTAAAAATACAAAAAAATGAGCCAGGCCTGGTGGCGGGCGCCTGTAGTTTCAGCTACTCAGAAGGCTGAGGCAGGAGAATGGCGTGAACCCGGGAGGCGGAGCTTGCAGTGAGCGGAGATCGCACCACTGCACTCCAGCCTAGGAGACAAAGCGAGACTCCGTCTCAAAAAAAAAAAAAAAAAAAATGTAGAGTAGAAGACAAAATTATTGTAGTAGATAGTTATGTAAATCTCCGATTTTGATCTTTATAGGAAACCTTTTGTTTCTATAACTTCATACTGATGGTAAGCTATCTGTCTGTCTCTGTTTCAAATCCAATTATGTAATTAACTGCATCAGGGGTAAACATCTTTTATTTGGGATGTGTATATATCCAAAGACTTAGAAACTTTTTTGGATACTTACACAGATTTGATAAAGCAAAAATAAATAGCCTTGGACAAGACATAAATGGAAATCTTGTTGTCACCTGAGTGCAACTAGGATTTTGCTATCATAACAGTAGTTGGAGCTGTACATTCAAATGAAGAAATGCCTGCAAGGGCAAGATTCTCTCTTCAGATTAATATGCTACTGTTACTTGATTGTCTCGGTTGACTTATAGACCCTGTAGTGTTGAGTAAAATAGTTGTCTATTTACAGAGACAAAGTAATTTCTAACTCCAAGGTCATTTGCCATTTATAGAAAAAAGAACTTTTCAAGTTTTATGGAAACAGCACTCAGGTGAGAAGCATGGGAAAAGTAACAGATTCTCTTAGCACAACACTTTCAGGAGCTCTTCCCTCTTCATCATGAGTTTTGTAGACTTAAAATGTTAACTCATGAGGAGATGCATCATTGTCTCTTGTTCACTAATATACTGCAAGAATCAAGATCAATGCCTAGTACATATCAAAAGCTCAATAAATATTTGTTAATTGGATAAATCTTGTATATTCCTTTTTTTTTTTTTTTTTTTTTTTTTTTTGAGACAGAGCCTCACTCTGTCGCCCAGGCTGGAGTGCAGTGTCATGATCTCAGCTCACTGCAAGCTCTGCCTCCTGGGTTCATGCCATTCTCCTGCCTCAGCCTCCCTAGTAGCTGGGACTACAGGCTCCCGCCACCATGCCTAGCTAAGTTTTTTGTATTTTTAGTAGAGACGGGGTTTCACCGTGTTAGCCAGGATGGTCTGCATCTCCTGTCCTCGTGATGTGTCCTCTTTGGCCTCCCAAAGTGCTGGGATTACAGGTGTGTGCCACCACACTCGGTCGTATTTTCCTTTTTTCATTATTTTTTCCTTTTTTCTGAGCATTTACAAAATTCCTTTTTTCTGAGCATTTACAAAATGCTTGGTGCTTTGGAGTTACACAGTTTGTCTTCAGGGAGCTTATAGTCTAGTTGGAGGGACAATACCCCAACACACATGGAAGTTTACTAGTTGAGATTGATGCAATATCTTAGCCACAAATAACCATCTTTACAACCAAGACATTGAAATTGGCTTCAACCCCCTCTGGAAGAAGCCAGTTAAAACATAAAAAGTAAAAATTCTGTGATAATGAGTGACTGGGCTTCCTTCCTGTAATTTTCTTCCTTCTCATATCCTGTTTCAGACTGCTATAACTCATACTAGTATGTCTCTCTCTAGATAAAAATCTTTCAGTAGCTCCCATTTACTGCAAGGTAGAATTCAAATTCTATCTGTTGGTTGTGATAGATCAATGATGATCGCCAAGGCTCTGATACTTCTCTCATTGAGAGGTGGTGTCTATGTCTTCTTCCCTTGAATCTGGGCAGAATCCATGACTGCTTTTTTCAATAGATATGGTAGAAGTCATACTTTGCCAGTTTAAAGGCCCAGGTTTTAAGAAACTGACAGAATCTACTTCCTGTCTTTTGGAGCACCCACTCTTGGAAACTGAGCTGCCAGATAAGAAGTTCAACTATCTTTCTGGAGAATCTGTGTGGAGAAACCCTGAAACAACCAGAAGAAGGAGAGTGGCCCAGCTAAGCCCTGCTTTGTAGCCTTCCCAACCAAGGTGCCAGATATATAAAAGAAGCAGCCTTTGATCCTCTTTTGCAGCCTAGCTACCAGCTGAATATCACCATGTGACTTTGAGCCAGTTGAGTCTTGCCGATTATATAACTCAGAGATTGTGAAATAACTTTGCTTCCGAGACATCAAGTTTGGAGTGGTTGGTTACATAGAAACAAGTGACCGTAACAATAGCTTATGAAGCTTCTTATATATCAACACCAATCTCTCTCTTCATCATTTTCTTCCACTTAAAAAAATTAATAAAATTAATAGACTTTATTAATTTTTTGAGCAGTTTTTGGTTTATAGAAAAATTGAGTAAAAACTACAGAGAGCACTTCATATACCCCTCTTCCCCCACCAATATTGCCTATTTTTTAATATCTTGCATTGGTGTGGTACGTATGTCACAATTGATGAGCCAGTATTGACATATTATTAATTGAATTTCATCATTCACATTAGGATTTATTCTTTCTGTTTGCATTCTATGGAATTCAACAAATATATAATGACATGTATCCACCATTATAGTGTCATACAGAATTATAGTTTCACTGCCCTTAAATATCATTATCCTCCCTCTCCATAAACCCCGACAACCCCTGATCTAACTATCTCCATAGTTTTGCCTTTTCCAGAAGGTCATATAGTTGGAATCAAATGATAGAAAGCTTTTCAGATTGGCTTTTTTTTTCACTTAGCAATATGTATTTAAGGTTCTTCCATGTCCTTTGGTGGCATGTTAGTGCATCTCTTCTTAATCATTGAATAATAGTCCATTGTGTGAATATACAAGTTTTTAAATTTATTTTCCTATTGAAGGACATCTTGGTTGCTTCCAAGTTTTGGCAATCATGAATAAAGTTGGTATAAAAATTCATGTGCAGATTTTGGAGTTTATGTACATTTGCAGCTCATGTGGATACATACCAAGGAGTATGATTGGATCACATGGTAAGATTATGTTTCATTTTGTAAGAAACTGCTATAGTATCTTCCAAAGTGGCTGTACCTCTCGTATTTCCATGAGCAATGAGTAAAAGTTCCTTTTGCTCCACATCCTTGCCAGCATTTGGTGTTGTCAGTGTTTGGATTTCAGCCATTCTAATAGGTGTAGTGGTATCTTGTTTTAATTTGCATTTTTAGTGACATATGATGTTGAGTATCTTTCCATATGCTTATGTGCCATCTGTGTGTCTTCTCTGATGAGGCATCTATTTAGATCCTTTGCTCATTTTTAAATTGAGTTGCTTGTTTTCTTTAGTTGAATTTTAACTATTCTTTATATACTTTAGATACCATTTCTTTATCTGATTTGTGTTTTGTAAAGATTTTATCCCACTTTCCTCCACTTTTAGCCTTCATTCTTCCTCAAACACACTCTCATTAGACTCAAATCACACAAAAAATGACTTGCTTTCTCTTCATGTCATGCTGTCTCTAATTTCCATACCTTCGCACAAGCTATTTCCCTCCCATCTGACTCAAGATAGAGGAAACTTATACTTCAATTACAGGAAGATTAGTAATATGATTATATCCTATTCTCTATGAAACCTTGCTGCATTCCAGACAAATTTAGAATCTCTATTCTCTGAGCTTAGAGGTATATAATTGTACATACCTCAATTAAAACATTTAGTACCCTGTATTTTAACTCTTGGTTTATAAGTCTGTCAACTCGAATGGATTATGGACATCACAAGGACAGGGTCCATGCCTTTTACATTTTTATGTAAGTGTCTAGTGTTCCACATAAGAAAAAGGAGGCACAATAGACACTAACTATGTGAGGGAGTACACGCACTAAATCTATGTGGTGAGGTGTGGGAGGAGAGATCATGAGTTATGCTGCCATATATTTCATGTAGACACCACAGTCTTCAATATTAAGAAATAAAGAATAACATTTGCCTAGAAATGGATGATAAAGTTCAGTGGGAAAACATCTATTTTTGGCAAAATTTTTATTCTAGAGTTTTCTCTTCCTCTTGTTTCATCACAATAATCAATATGTAGCATGAAAGTATACTTTTATGTAGTAAAAATTTTAGAAAATATAAAAGACTTAGGAGAAAATAAACTTACCTATAACATCACAATTTAGACAGAATTATGGTTAATGTTGTCAATTCATCCAGACTTTTTCTAGTTGTTTATTTACAGTGTTCTTTTTGTAGCAAAGTAAATTTACTCTAAAAAATTATATTAAATCATCAGTCTTAAGAAAAAGAGAGAAATAAGGACTCATTACATGCTCAAAACCAATATTTACTTCTTACTGCTCTAGTTCAATTTTTACTTTCCTACAAGATCTATGCTCAGGAATTTGGCTGCATACTATTACAAACTTTAGTCATAAATCTGTTGCTTTCTATTACTGTGTTCCTTCCCAGGATCACTTTCTCAGTGGTATTGAATATAATGTTGACTGGTTTCATATCAGGAAAAAAACAAGTGGGAGAAAGTTGCAAATTTTCTGGAGAATAGTCTCATCACAATATGATTGTCCTTATTCTACATGAAGAAATACAAAGGAGTTACTTTAACCATTAGGAAGTGGTATATACTAGGTATTTTTTTTAAAACCAGACAGTGAGGTCTCTTAAACAAAGACTGTGTCTAAATATTTACTGAGTTCCAGAATTCTCTGTCCACCTCTAAGATGACTTTCAAATGATCCCCAGCTCCTAATATTCCCACCCTTGTATAATCTCTACTTTTTTGAGTATGGCAGGATATACTGATGCACCCTTAAAAAACAAAATGGCAAAGATAATGAGATGTTGCCTCAAAGTGTTTAATTTTCAAAAAGAAAAAAAAAACCCAATGGCTTCCATTTGAGGCCTGCTCTCTCTTACTCTTGGGTCACTAGCTCTGAGGGAAGCCAGCTGCTGTGTTGTGAGGCAACTGTGAAATGTTTCAAGTGGTGAGGGACCGAGGCCTTCCAAT
Source organism: Homo sapiens (assembly GCF_000001405.40). Lineage (NCBI taxonomy): Eukaryota > Metazoa > Chordata > Mammalia > Primates > Hominidae > Homo > Homo sapiens. Next base: position 100,439,353 of record NC_000011.10, on the reverse strand, counting down.
ACCCATGTGATTGAACTCAGAAGTAGACACCTCTCCCCTCAGCCAGCCTTCCTCAGATCTTCAGAAGAGGCTGCAACCCCAGCAGGCAGCTTGACTGTAAACTGGTGAGAGAACTCAAGAGATACCCAGCTGAGCAACACGTACACACATATTCCTGACTCATAGAAAGTGTAACATATTGTTTGTCATTTTTAGCTGCTAAATTTCAAAGTACGTTGTTATATAGCAATAGATAACTAATACAGCTAGTTTAGTTCACAACTCTGTGAAAGAGTTTTTGATGCATTCCACGATCAAATGATGCTACATATCAATGTGATCATGCTTTCCATGCTGTTTATTAACAGTTATTTTCACTGAACTGCACTTTGTTGTGCAGAGTGGGTTTTTGGTGCCATGGTTATAATTAAATGTTCTGACTAAAGAGAAGGAAAGGGAGAACCTGACTAGAAGTTCTGGGTGGTACAGGTCACTTCCTGAGAGACCGGACACAATCAACTCACCAGAGGCCACTCTTTCTAGTAATTAGCCCCATTCAGGAAGTCTTATATTCTAGTATGGGTCTCCTGGAGGTCATAACTTTCCACTAGATCACTTTCTTTGGTTTAGCCCTAAGGAATACTGGAACATGTTCACAATTCAAATACAAAAGCTGAAAGGATTTTCTGAAGTGTGTGGCAAACCTGTTTTACATCAAAGCTATCCCATTCTGATATGAGGCTATTTATAGTCTTTAGTCACTCCCATACTCCAAATGTGAACATTCTGAATTCCCTAAGCTAGTAATAAGACTTTTAAAGCACACGGTACACATGGTATTGGTATTGGCTCCTTCTAAAGCAAAGCTGTGTTTGACATCAGGTGGATACCTGGGGAGTGAGCTTAGGTTTGGGTACCATCCAGAACAATTCTCAGTTGTTGGAACACAACACCACATCCCCGGAGTCTGAGACTATTTTTATGTAGCCTTTTCCTCCTCTTTCTTTCCAGAAGCAAGGAGTGGTTCATTGTCCCCAAGGTTAATTCAGGGAAAATTTATTGATTTCATTTACTCCCATGGCCCAGACAATAAAATTGTACAGTCTCTTCTGATTGGCTTAAATATTAATCCAGCTTTCAAAACATTAAATTTGAGATTAACATCTCCAATTCGATGAATGAAAATCATACAGGCATAGGAAATATTAGCAGCATAACAGCTGGTATTTCAAGGAAATAATGACAACAGTTTTTACAAAGTTATGTTAGTTTTCACACCTTAATTTTTCCATCTGTAAAAAGTGATCATTCTCCTTCAAGTTGTTAAAAGTTTAAATGAATTAATACATGTAAGGCACTTGGAATAATGCCTGGCATATATGAATGATGCTGGCTCTTTTGTCTTACATCTTCTAAACTTGTCAGATTTGTCCTAAGCCTAAATTTACTTCTACCTTGTTCTTATACCATGAGATGGCCTTTCATCATTGCTATAACTTAATATATAATTTTATTTTTATAATAAATAACTTCTTCCTGTTGTCGAACTGAACTTTTTCTTGGTCCGAGCTAATTTTTTTCTTGCCTTATTTAACTTATTATTAGTTCATTCCTTCTTGTATTTCAATTAAATACATTTATCTTGTTTATTCCAGGGTGTTCTGGATTCAGCTTTATTATCAAAAATGTTTTCACATTTTCATTTTGATTTTATTTCTAATTACAGAATAAGAGGTTTCTCTTTCCTTCCTTCCCTTTCCCTTCACCTTGCCTTTCCTTCCCCCTTTCCTTTCTCTTTTGATGTCCTTTCTCTTTTCCTTTCTCCTTGCCTTCAAGTGAAGGACTTTATGTCATTAGTAAGCAGCAATTTTTTCATAGTATTTTGGGGATAAAAGTACTTTTTTGAGGTTCCTGAAGTCATATCTTATTGTGCCAGTGGGTAAAGTTTGCTCCAACTAGGGAACTAGGGAATTGCACTGTTTTGTTTGTTTGTTTTTTTCACCATTTAACTCAGGTGACAGCTGTGGCTATTTCCTCTTATGTTTGTGTATTGATACTCGATTTACACAGTTTTATATATGTAATCCCATGCGATATTTGCTGCACTGTAAGTGGAAGATCCAACTTTGAGTTGGGACAGATAGGTTGAGCAATTTGTCTAAATGAAACCACTCAGACATAGAATCTGGAGTGCCCCAGCCTTTTGACTCCCAAGTCCCAGGGTATGCATCTTATTCTCAATTCTCTCTTTGCAAAAAAGGATGAATGTTGATAGATGCCAATCACCTAAAGCATAAAGAGGTTGTGGTGTACTAATGTACCTTGAAAAAAAAGTTCTGTACACCTTCCCAATAACCATCCTAAGTAAATTCCTACATTAGAAATTTATAGTTCTTCTATTAAAGCCATCGTGGGAGGGAAGAGTGTTTTTTGTTAGGCAAAAAATGAAACTACCAAAGACAATGTAAAGCAGGTTGGTGAGCACTGATCTGTTAGCTCCATTCATCAATTCCAGTCTTTTGGTAAACTTTTTTTCAATCTGAGGGGAAGAAGAGTTTTATTTTTCTTGCAGAACCATTTTTTTTTGAAATTTATATTATTGATTTTTCTTTTAGTCACAAAACAAGTCTAAGAAACATCTCATAAAACAGAATTTATGTATGTAGATAAACTATGGAGTTTTGCCACCTATGCCTGTGCTCAGAGGCAAAGGTATTTTAAAATTGTTAAAAGAATTTACAAACTACTTGCCCTTAGCAACTCCAGCAAATCAGGTCAGCCTAACAGTGCCTGGTAAAATAAGGTACCTGGCAACGGAGTGTTTTGCATTACACCCAGCTAGGCTTTACCCAAGGATGGTTCAAATAGACTGCTGTTGCTGTTACTGTGTTATAAAATTTTTACTGAAGGAAACTCGAAATTCCACTTAGGTATGTAGCTTTGAAAATGGAGAATGAAAGTATTACCGGCGCAGAAAGATTTAAAGTTGTGGATATGACATCAAGATGAGTTAACTGAAATGTGTAAAACTCACATTATTTGAGGCCACTCTGGTGTAACTTTTGCTTATTAAGGTAACTCCGCAACTCAATTATTAATTCTTTGAGGAAAGACATTGAGTTTTATTAATCTCTGTATTCACAGATCCTAGCACAGAGCCTGGAACAGACCAAGTAACTCAGGAAACACGTGCCAAATAGATTAATCCAAAAAACCCCCAGAATTTGATAAATCTTTTTCTTTTATTATTTTTCTCCAGGGAAAAAAGATTATAATATGACTTTGTTGTTCAGCAAAGAATGCAAAGTAAGTGTCTGCAGAAGGCAGGGCAAGAGACTGAAATACCGATTAGAGGTACATGCAGGGCTCAGCTGGGTCACAGAGAAATATTTAACCTAGCTTGGGTAGACAGGGGTGCCTGAGGTGAGTTTTGAATGATATAGAGACATTAGCCAGGTACAGAAAATAGGAAGGTATTTCTCATGGTAGAAACAGCGAAAACCCAGAGGCATGAGATAGCACAATGAATGGGGAGGGCCCCTGTCTGTGCATGCTTCATTGTGGTTTCTGTACCTCCTCTTTCTAATATTTTCTCATCTATTCATCTAATTATAAAGCATTTTGTATGCGTTTTATCACAAACATTTCTCCAATCTTTTTTATTTGAGCGTTGTTTTTATCACAGATTCATATTTTGTCATCCTTAATTCCATCTTTAACTTTTACTTTTCATCTTACAGGTTTTAGCTTTTAACAATAACCTTTTCTGTCCTTTACTTTTATGGTCCTTGACCCACTAATCCTGTTTACCTTTATCTTTAATTTCACCTGTTTCATATTATTTAGAAACTCTTTGATCTTTATTTGCATTTATGTGTTCATTCTTACTTTCCACTTGATGTTTTTCTCCTGTTCCACTCTCAATTTCAAAGTTTTAATCTTTCTCTTTTAACTCACTCTCTATTTTTAGAAAGTATTGTTTCTCCTTCTCTCTTCCTGACTGTTAGGCCAAAGGTCAGGTTCCAGCCCATGCAGAGGTCCAAGTGGAGTGGGTGGATGGGCGTTGAATAGCTGAAAGAACACTCAGGGGGCTGTAGGCAGGTAAAATACGGTTTTATTCAGTGCCTTTCTCATCAACACCTCTCTTACACTGTTCGCCTTTATCTCGGCTGCCTGCTCCAGCTGCAGCCCCACTCAGCAGCCTGCTCTGCGGCTCCCGCCGCTCCTATGCTTACAGCTGCACTCCCTGGCCTGTAAGGAAGCTGGCTTTCCTTTACAGGGTCAGTAGCTTCACTCTCTCCCTCTGGGCACAAGCCATACGTAAAGCATCATCAGGGCAGTTATACCTTTTATAGACAATAGTGGCACCAAGCCAAGTATGAGCTTACACAAACAGGTTATATAACAAGTGAAGTTGTGCGCCAGTGGGAAGCCAATGTTCGGTGGGAGAAGTGGAGTGTGTGTTCCAGGAAGGTGTTCCTTATGTCTCAGAGCTTAAATGGAGAAGGATGCCCAGGGTGGAAGTCAGCTGTGTCATCCTGAGAGTTATAGAATGAAGCAATTGACCCCACAGCTCAGGTGTCTCGCATCTGCTCATGGCCTGTGTGCTACTCCACGATGTGTTGAGGGTGGTGCAGGGAGAGGACGCATGAATTCTTCCCATATGGGTCTAACTTCTTATGCCTAGATTTGTCATTTTTGCTTTTATAGAAGGCATTTTCCTTAGAAAGCCAACTTTCTTAGAATTCCTTATTTTGTGAGGTTCTGGATTGAAACTAAACAAAGTCTAAACTGTTACCTGTGCTGTGCGTCAGTTTTTCTGTAAGTATGTTCTAAAAAGGTCTGTGGCCTGGATAGGTGTCAAAATTCATATTAGATTATAATGTAGTTTATATTTATATACAGATTCACATGAATAAAAAAACAAATCCAGTCAATAGTGGCTTATTTAAAATACTGTCTGGATTAGTTTCCTAGGGTTTTGGTAATGAATTACCACAAATGAAGTGGCTTAATTTATTCGTGCTCTCACAGTTCAGGTGTCTACAAATCTGAAATCAAGGTTTTGGCTGGGTTGGTTCTCTCTGGAGGCACTGGGGGAGAATTCACTTCATTACCTGTGAAAGTTGCAAATACCAGCATAAAATAACTTTTTTCAAACCCAAACAAATTGGAGCTGGGAAAGCATGAAGGAGGAGAACTCATGCTTGCCTGTGTAAGGTAAGAACTGTTTCAAGGACTTTCTAAAATAACCCTGCAAGAAATTATTTTTTAAGGACTGCAGCAATTCAGCTAAGATGCTCTGGAAAGACCACTTGCCCCCTAATGGCATCTTCACCAATGAACTAATGCCAACTATATCTTTGACCCTGTAGGACCAATGAACTCTGTTTCTAAGCACCTTTCCTGAATGTCTCCTTTTTGCCAATAAAAGCTTCTATTTACCCTCCCCTTTTCAGATGTGCCTATGGCTTGCCACTGCTGTACCTCCCATACCTCCTGAATTATAATCCTTTTTGTTTACTTCTGAATAAACTCATCATATTAGAAGAAATTGTTCTCTTTTTTTTTTTTTTAGGTTGACAACTCTATTTTAGCTTCTGGTGGCCTCAGGCATTTCTTGGTTTGTGCAGCATTACTCCAATCTCTGCCTCCCTCTTCATGTGGCCTTCTGTGTATTTCTTTGTGTCTCTAACCTCTCTCTCTTCTTATATAGACACCAGTCATTGGATTTAGGACCCATGCTAAATCCAGGATATTCTCATCTTAAGATCCTTAACTTAATTACAACTGCGAAGACCCCTTTTTCAAATAAGGTCACCTTTGCAGGTTTGATGTATTGGAACTGATCACGTCTTTTTGGAGGCTAGTGCTCAACACGCTGCACTGTTAGTGTCATAGCTTTCTTAATTATTTTCTTTGCTGATGTTGCTAAGCAGGTGTTATGCCAGACTCCTATTAACTTCAATAGGGATGGCACCAGGTTTAAGAGATCAAAGAAGAGACCCAGAGCCAGCAAATGAAACACGGGGTTTATTTGGGGGAACTTACTGGGCAGTCCCATGGAAATGTGCTGGACAGGAGAACTGAACCACTTGTAAAAAGTATACAATTTACATAGCATTTTCACATAGCACCCTCCCCCTGGCAACCTCCACCTGGCAACCTTCATTTAATCCAAAACAATAACCTTGATTCCCTGTATGGCCTGCATTCCACAAGATGGACCACAAGTTCAGATGTTCCTTATAAATAAGGAATGAATTTCTGGATTGGTCACTCCCAGATTCCTTATCTCAAAATCTGAACACATATTATTCTTAGATCACGGGCTCATTCTCAGGGGTATGCTTAAGTTATTGCTGTCAAGAGTGTCTCTGCCATATAGCAGGAGTGAATAAAGCAGGGGTGCACTGGGTATTTTTGTGTTATTTAAGAATCCATGCCCACTCCAAAATGAGAGATTATTTATATTTTCTTCCAAAAGGTGTAAATTTGTAAAGTGACAGAACTTCAGGGCAAGCTCTTATGCCAAAACCAGCATCCTAATAAGGAAGAAGTGGGACCTGCTGACACTTAGGATGTCTGAATAGAGGCACTTGGAAACTGGGAATCTCTAAATTTCCCAAATCCTTTGGACCTGCAGAAATAGCCCACACATCCCTGTGGAAAATACAGGCCCTCTCCTTGATTGAAGACTATGGAAATTCCTTAAATGAGGCCAATACTTTGTAAGACAATTCCTCTCCTCCCTATTTCAGAAACTGACTTCACTTCCCCTCTGGCCACCAGACTATAGATCATATCAAGTCTTAGCATAAGCTAACTAGGGGAGTGCTGGGACTGCGAAGGGAGAGAGATTATACACCCCCAAAATCCTATAGTACCTGGTTAATATAAGGTGGCAAGAAGGAGGAGTTAACCTTGAGAGTGTTAGATGGCAGCAGAATATAAAGTTGGCTAAGAGAGAATGATAATACAAGAGCTTTGTTCTGTGATAGGATTCAACACTCTGGTCTGGATCCAAGTTTATTGCTTTAATATGTTGCTGAGATGGTTCTTGAGTATTTTGAAGAAGAGCCAATTCTCATAAATGAAATGGAGATGACAAAACTGTCATGAATAATTGTGGAGAAAGCAATCAAAAAAGGCTCAAGGCAATGGGCATGCTCTCAGTTGGGCCCATTAGCTGACAGTGTTCACTGGGAGGCTCCAATGGTTACTCTATTTTCCAAGGTGATAAGAGGGTCAACAGATTGCTGAAAGGCTTGGGAGTGGTTCATATGGCAGAGATGCTATTCTAGTAGTGGGGTCTTTAGGAACAAATGGAGTTGCTAGGATCCTGGAATAGCAGAGGGCATGTGGCAGCATTTTATTTTCATAACTAAGGTGTGTAGAATTCCTATAATGGGCAGCAAGTTCTTCCTTGCCTTTTTCCCAATTAAATTGTTCTTCCTCCCTCATCCCACTTTTGCTTCTGTACCACTTTGGGAACTATAAACTCTACATCGTTTCAGCAATTAGCTTAGAAATTTTAGTATGTACATGTTAAAATGTCTAAATATTTTTGCCTTCTTCTCAAAAGAATTTAGAACATTTGAACTCATCTCTCTCTTCCAAATTATATTTTCTTTTACCCCTAGGATTTTAATTATATATATTTCAAAGTCCAGGATAAATATCCATTTAGATTTTTCCATGTTTTTCACTTTCTTGTTTATCATTCCTTATTCTTCTTTGACCTCCTTTCTGTAACAATTATTTTCTTTCTTTTGTTTAATTATTTTTATTTTATTTATTTTCATTTTTATTTTTTTATTATACTTTAAGTTTTAGGGTACATGTGCACAAAGTGCAGGTTTGTTATATATGTATACATGTGCCATGTTGGTGTGCTGCACCCATTAACTCATCATTTAACATTAGGTATATCTCCTAATGCTATCCCTCCCTCCTCCGCCCACCCCACAACAGGCCCCGGTGTGTGATGTTCACCTTCCTGTGTCCATGTGTTCTCATTGTTCAATTCCCACCTATGAGTGAGAACATGCGGTGTTTGGTTTTTTGTCCTTGCGATAGTTTGCTGAGAATGATGGTTTCCAGCTTCATCCATGTCCCTACAAAGGACACGAACTCATCCTTTTTTATGGCTGCATAGTATTCCATGGTGTATATGTGCCACATTTTCTTAATCCAGTCTATCATTGTTGGACATTTGGGTTGTTTCCAAGTCTTTGCTATTGTGAATAGTGCCGCAATAAACCTACGTGTGCTATCTGATCTTTGACAAACCTGACAAAAACATGCAATGGGGAAAGATTCCCTATTTAATAAATGGTGCTGGGAAAACTGGCTAGCCATATGTAGAAAGCTGAAACTGGATCTCTTCCTTACACCTTATACAAAAATTAATTCAAGATGGATTAAAGACTTAAATGTTAGACCTAAAACCATAAAAACCCTAGAAGAAAACCTAGGCAATACCATTCAGGACATAGGCATGGGCAAGGACTTCATGTCTAAAACACCAAAAGCAATGGCAGCAAAAGCCAAAATTGACAAATAGGATCTAATTAAAGAGCTTCTGCACAGCAAAAGAAACTACCATCAGAGTGAACAGGCAACCTACAAAATGGGAGAAAATTTTTGCAATCTACTCATCTGACAAAGGGCTAATATCCAGAATCTACAAAGAACTTAAACAAATTTACAAGAAAAAAACAAACAACCCCATCAACAAGTGGGCGAAGGACATGAACAGACACTTCTCAAAAGAAGACATTTATGCAGCCAACAGACACATGAAAAAATGCTCATCATCCACTGGCCATCAGAGAAATGCAAATCAAAACCACAACGAGATACCATCTCACACCAGTTAGAATGGCAATCATTAAAAAGTCAGGAAACAACAGGTGCTGGAGAGGATGTGGAGAAATAGGAACACTTTTACACTGTTGGTGGGACCGTAAACTAGTTCAACCATTGTGGAAGTCAGTGTGGCGATTCCTCAGGGATCTAGAACTAGAAATACCATTTGACCCAGCCATCCCATTACTGGGTATATACCCAAAGGATTATAAAACATGCTGCTATTTTCTTTCTTTTAGAAGTATAATTTAAAAAATTTCTTTAAGGAGCATTTGTTCATAGTAAACATTCAGTTTTGTCTACACATGTTCTTGTTCTCAGACCATGTATTTGCTGGGTATCTAATTTTGTGTGTGTATGTAACACAACTCACACAGTTTTTTAATCCTTTATTTTCATTTAGCACAAAAATGTGATATGAACATTATCAGATATCTCAATCTCAAAAATGATTTAGTGGCTGGTTAATATTCTATTTATGGATAAATTATGATTTATTTAAATCATTTTCACATATTTATAACATAGGTAGTTTCCAACTTTTTACTGTTATAATTAATACTGTAGCAAACATCCTTGTACATAAATCTTTGTCCTCATTTCTGAATCTTTTTCTTTAGGGAATATTACTAGAAGAGGAATTTCTGGGTCAGACTATCCAGCCTTGTAAATTTAATTTAAGTTTACTCTTCTCCCCCCTGTACACCTCTGACCAAGGCTCTGGAATCACTGTTTAAATTACAATTTTTACTTACATCAAAGTAAAGACTTTACATGATTTTTTTTTTTTCAAATCAAACAGTATGGAAAGATTTAAAATGAGAAGGAACAGGTCCTTGTTTTATTTCTCCCCTTTCTATGTCCCACTCCCCACTGGAAGGGCTTTGAATTTTTCTTGATCAGATTCTTCTCATTACATCCATACTTTGAATAGTTTGCTTTTTCTAACTCAGTGCTGTTTCATTTCTTCCCACTTTATAAATGCAGCTTTTAGCATTTTCAGTCTTTTCTCCCTTTCTTTCCTGTCCATCTTCCACTGTCTACCTGCTATAAATTGGCATTTATACTTTCAAGATTAATAAGCTATATATTGTCTTGTAACCATAGTCAAACATTCTAGAAGCTGATTTTGAATGCTAGAAAAAGTAAGCCTTCCAGGATCATGACTATGTAAGTGTTGCTCCCTGTAGCGCTAAGCAGGGTGCTGTGATTATACTGCTTCCTTCTGCTTTTCCACCTCTTCCACTGGCCCTTCGTTCTCCATGATTTTCACTGACTCTTCCTCCTTACACATAAGATTATGTGTAAATATTGGAGGTATCCCAGAATTTGTTTAATCAAATGGGATTAGGAAGACAAGAGAAAAAGTAAGTTTGGTGGAAAAAATAATTTTTGGCATATAGAGTTTGAGATGTCTGAGGGTGAGACATAATATTTGGAGATGTGCAAAAGAGAGATGGAAATTTGGTTCTAGAGGTCAAGAGAGTGTTCTCAGTTGGAGAAACATTTGTGAAGGTTCAAGATATTTTAATGCTTTGCTGTTATTCAGAATTGGAATATAATCATGCTACACGGGATAATTGTTTTAAAGTATAAATATTGTGAAAATTATTTTTGCATCTTTTCTACTTCATTAACTTTTTATTTATGGAGATATAGAAATGAGATAGAGAGGGGGATAGAAGGGGGTGAAAGAGAGACACACACACAGATCTGTTGAGGTAAATCATAGATTTCTTTTGTTAGGCATTCATGCCTTTGGCTAAGGAGGGTTCTGAAATAATTAGAAAATACCTTCCGATTTCTACTCGGAAGTTATCCTTCTCCTCAGTTTTATTCCAATCATAATTGCGCAAGGAAAACCTTTTAGTCTAACTAAATGCTATGGCTAATGATAAGTGCTAAATCACCATAAAAGTGATAAGAAAATGTAGCAGAGGACTTAAACTTCCCTTAGACCTGGACCCCCTAAAACAAAATCGCAGACATTATAGCAATACAGAACACTAGAACATCCAGGTATTTTACAAATAAATCCTTCTAAAGACTTCCAAATACATTTAGAATCAAACTAATTTTTTTTTTTTTACCATATTCTACATGTCCCTGCATAATCTGAATCCTACTGAATTTTTAAATCTCATCTCCATGATTATTTTGGCTCACAATGGTACTTTAAAAATATACTTTTTTAAAGAGTAGTTTTAGGTTTACAGCAAAATTGAGTGGAAGATGTACAGATTTCCCATATACTTTCTGCCCCCATGCATGCATAATCTCCCCCATTATCAACATCCCCCAATCACAGGTACATTTATTACAATTGATGAATCCACATTAACCTATCATTGTCACCCAATCACCACAGTTTATACTAGGATTCACTCCTAGTGTTGTACATTCTATGGCTTTGGACACACGCATAATGACAAGTATCTACCATAGTATTATCATACAGAGTAATTTTACTGTACTAAAAATATTTTGTGCTCTCTTTGTCCCTCCCCTTCCCCAATTCCTGACAACCACTAATCTTTTACTGTCTCCATAGTTTTGCCTTTTTCAGAATGTCATATAGTTGCAATCATACAGTATATAGACTTTTCAGATGGCCTTTTTTCATTTAGTAACATGCATTTAATTTTCCTTCTTGTCCTTTTATGGCTTGACAGCTCATTTCTTTTAGCACTGCATAATATTCCATTGTCTGGATGTACACAGTTTATCCATTTACCTGCTGAAGAACATCTTGTTTGATTCTAAAATTTGGTGATTATGAATAAAGCTTCTGTAAACATTTATGTGCACATTACGTGTGGACATAAGCTTTCAACTCCATTGGGTAAATAACAAGGTGTGCAACTGCTGAATTATACTACCTGTAATAAACTATAATTATGCTCCCAATGGAGTTGAAAACAGTATGTTTAGTTTTGTAAACTGTTTTCCAAAGCGGCTATACCGTTTCTCAGTCCCACCATCAATGAAGTAGTTTCTGTTGCTCCACATCCTCACTAGCATACGGTGTTGTCAGTGCTTTGGATTTTGGCCATTCTAATGGATATGTAGCGGTATCTCATTATTTTAATTTGCATTTTCTTGATGACATATGATGTCGAGCATCTCTTCATATGCGTATCCATCTGTATACCTTCTTTGGTGAGGTGTCTGTTAAGGTCTTTGATTCATTTTAATGCTTTTTTGTTAGGGGTAGATACATGTTAAGGATATGTCTTCTTGGAGAATTGACTCCTTTATCCTTATATAATAATCCTCTTTGTTCCTTGTAACTTGCATTGCTGTGCAATTTGCTCTTTCTGAAATTAGCACAATTGACCCTTGAATGACATGGAGGTTAGGGGCACAAATGAAAATCTGTGTATAACTTTTTATTCATCTATAACTTAACTATTAATAGCCTACTTTAAAAAAAATAAGTTCCAGGATACAAGTGCAGAACGTGCAGGTTTGTTACATAGGTATACGTGTGCTATGGTGATTTGCTGCACTTATCAACCCATCATCTAGGTTTTCAGCCCCACATGCATTAGCTATTTGTCCTATGCTCTGCCTCCCCTTGCTTCCCACCCCCTAGACTGGCCCCGCTGTGTGTTGTTCCCCTCCCTGTGTCCATGTGTTCTCATCATTCCACTCCCACTTATGAGTGAGAACATGTGATATTTGGTTTTCTGTTCCTGTGTTAGTTTGCTGAGGATGATGGCTTCCAGCTTCATCTATGTCCCTGCAAAGGACAAGATCTCATTCCTTTTTATGGCTGCATAGTATTCCATGGTGTATATGTACCACATTTTCTTTATCTGTTTATCATTGATGGGCATTTGAGTTGGTTCCATTGTCTTTGCTATTGTAAACAGTGCTGCAATAAACATATGTGTGCATGTGTCTTTATAGTAGAATGATTTATATTCCTTTGGGTGTATATCCAGTAATGGAATTGCTGGGTCAAATGGTATTTCTGGTTCTAGATCCTTGAGGAATTGCCACATTGTCTTCCACAATGATTGAACTAATTTACATTCCCACCAAAAGTATGAAAGCATTTCTATTTCTCCAGCATCTATCAATTCCTGACTTTTTAATAATCGCCATTCTGACTGGCATGAGATGGTATCTCATTGTGGTTTTGATTTGCATTTATCCAATGATCAGTGACGTTGAGCTTCTTTTCATATGTTTGTTGGCCACATAAATATCTTCTTAGGAGAACTGTCTGTTCATATCCTTTGCCCCTTTTTGATGTTTTTTTTTTTTCTCGTAAATTTGTTTAAGTTCCTTTAGCTTCTGGATATTAGACCTTTGTCAGATAGGTAGATTGCAAAATTGTTTCCCATTCTGTAGGTAGCCTGTTCACTCTGATGATAGTTTCTTTTGCTGCGCAGAAGTTCTCTAGTTTAATTAGATCCCATTTGTCAATTTTGGCTTTTGTTGCCATTGCTTTTCGTGTTTTAGACATGAAGTCCTTGCCCATGCCTATGTCCTGAATGGTATTGCCTAGGGTTTCTTCTAGGGTTTTTATGGTTTTAGGTCTAACATGTAAGTCTTTAATCCATCTTGAATTAATTTTTGTATAAGGTGTAAGGAGGGGATCCAGTTTCAGCTTTCTACATACGGCTAGCCAGTTTTCCCAGCACCATTTATTAAATAGGGAATCCTTTCCCCATTGCTTGTTTTTGTCAGGTTTGTCAAAGAACAGATAGTTGTAGATATGTGGCATTATTTCTGAGGGCTCTGTTCTGTTCCATTGGTGTATATCTCTGTTTTGTTACCAGTACTGTGCTGTTTTGGTTACTGTAGCCTCGTAGTATAGTTTGAAGTCAGGTAGCATGATGCCTCCAGCTTTGTTCTTTTGGCTTAGGATTGACATGGCAATGTGGGCTCTTTTTTGGTTCCATATGAACTTGAAAGTAGTTTTTTCCAATTCTATGAAGAAAGTCATTGGTAGCTTGATGGGGATGGCATTGAATCTATAAATTACCTTGGGCAGTATGGCCATTTTCACGATATTGATTTTTCCTACCCATGAGCATGGAATGTTCTTCCATCTGTTTGTATCCTCTTTTATTTCCTTGAGCAGTGGTTTGTAGTTCTCCTTGAAGAGGTCCTTCACATCCCTTGTAAGCTGGATTCCTAGGTATTTTATTCTCTTTGAAGCAGTTGTGAATGGGAGTTCACTCATGATGTGGCTCTCTGTTTGTCTGTTATTGTTGTATAAGAATGCTTGTGATTTTTGCATATTGATTTTGTATCCTGAGACTTTGCTGAATTTCCTTATCAGCTTAAGAAGATTTTGTGCTGAGACAATGGGGTTTTCTAGATATACAATCATGTCATCTGCAAACAGAGACAATTTGACTTCCTCATTTCCTAATGGAATGCCCTTTATTCCCTTCTCCTGCCTGATTGCCCTGGCCAGAACTTCCAACAGTATGTTGAATAGGAGTGGTGAGAGAGGGCATCACTGTCTTGTGCCAGTTTTCAAAGGGAATGCTTCCAGTTTTTGTCCATTCAGTGTGATATTGGCTGTGGGTTTGTCATAGATAGCTTTTATTATTTTGAGATACGTCCCATCAATACCTAATTTATTGAGAGTTTTTAGCATGAAGTGTTGTTGAATTTTGTCAAAGGCCTTTTCTGCATCTATTGAGATAATCATGTGGTTTTTGTCTTTGGTTCTGTTTATATGCTGGATCACATTTATTGATTTTCGTATGTTGAACCAGCCTTGCATTCCAGGGATGAAGCCCACTTGATCATGTTGGATAGGCTTTTTGATGTGTTGAATTTCATGTATTTTTATGATAGTAGATATTGGCCTTTTGCTTCCAAATATAGGACATTATATAATGTCCCTCTTTGTGTTTTTTAACTGCTTTAAAGTTGCTTTAAAGTTTGTTTGGTCTGATATAAGAATAACTATTTCTGCTCACTTTTGGTGTCCATTTGCATGGAATATCTTTTTTCACTCTTTTACCTTAAGTTGATGGGGGTCTTTATGTGTTAGGTGAGTCTCTTGAAGACAGCAGACACTTGGTTGGTGAATTCTTATCTGTTCTGCCATTTTGTTTCTTATAAGTGGAGCATTTAGGTCATTTACATTCAATGTTCATATTGAGATGTGAGGTACTATTCTATTTGTTGTGCTGTTTGTTGCCTGAGTAACTTGTGTGCATGTTCTTTTTTTTACTGTGTTGTTTTATAGGTCTTGTGAGATCTATGCTTTAAAGAGATTCTATTTTGATGTATTTTGAGAATTTGTTTTAAGGTTTAGAGCTCCTTTTAGTAGCTCTTACAGTGCTGACTTGGTTGTGGCAAGGTCTCTTGACATTTGTTTTCTGGAAAAGACTGTATCTTTCCTTTATGAAGCTTAGTTTTACTGAATACAAAAATACTGGCTGATAATTGTTTTGTTTAAGGAGGCTGAAAATAAGACCCCAATACCTTCTAGTTTGTAGGGTTTCTGCTGAGAGATCTGCTGTTAATCTGATAGATGTTCCTTTTTAGGTCACCTGATGCTTTTGACTCACTGCTTTTAAGATTTTTTCCTTTGTCTTGACTTTAGATAATCTGATAACTATGTGCGTAGGCAATAATCTTTTTGCAATGAATTTCCTAGGTGTTCTTTGAGCTTCTTGTATTTGGATGTCTAGATCTCTAGGAAGGTTGGGCAAGTTTTCCTTGATTATTCCCTCAAATATGTTTTCCAAACTTTAGATTTCTCTTTTACCTCAGGAACACCAGTTATTCTTGGATCTGGTTGTTTAACATAATCTCAAATTTTTTGGAGGCTGTGTTCATTAAAAAAAATTGTTTTTCTTTGTCTTTGTCAGATTGGGTTAATTTGAAAGCCTTGTTTTTGAGCCCCGAAGTACTTTCTTCTACTTGTTTGATTCTATTGCTGAGACTTTCCAGTGTATTTTGCATTTCTCTAAATGTATCTTTCATCTACAGAAGTTGCGATTGTTTTTTATCTATGCTATCTATTTCTCTGGAGATATTTTCCTTTCATATCCTGTATCATTTTTTTTGATTCTTTAAGTTGAACTTCACCTTTCTCTGGTGTCTCCTTGATTAGCTTAATAATTGACCTTCTGAATTCTTTTTCTGGCAGTTCAGAGAATTCATCTTGGTTTGGATCCATTACTGGTAAGTTAGTGTGATCTTTTGGGGGTGTTAAAGAACCTTGTTTTGTCATATAAGCAGAATAATTTTGTGTTTCCTTCTCATTTGGGTAGGCTGTTTCATTGGAAAGATCTGGAGCTCAAGGGCTACTGTTTAGATTCTTTTGTCCCACGGGGTGATCCATTGATGTGATGCTCTCCCCACTCCCTAGGGATGAGGCTTCCTGAGAGCTGAACTGCAGTGACTCATTTCTCTTCTAGGTCTAGCCACCCAGCAAAGCTACCAGGCTCTGGGCTGGTACTGGAGAGCATCTACAAAGAGGCATGTGATGTGATCCATTTTCAGGTCTCTCAGCTGTGGATACCAGTACCTGCTCTGGTGGAGATAGCATGGGAATGAAGTGGATTCTGTGAGCATCCTTGGTTGTATTTTTGTTAAGTGTGCTTTTTTTGTATTTGTTGGCCTCCAGCCAGGAGGTGGCACTTTCAAGAGTGCATCAGCTGTGGTAGCACAGGGAGGATACAAGATTTCCCTAGGGTTGCCATTGTGTAAGTATTCAGGTTTCTCAGGCAGTGGGCAGGGCCATAGAGCTCTTAAGAGATTATCTACTTTGTCTTTGGCAACCAGGGTGGGTAGAGAAAGACCATCAGGTGGGGGCAGGGTTAGGTGTGTTTGAGCTCAGACTCTCCTTGGGTGCAGCTTTCTGCAGCTGCTGTAGGGGATGGGGTGTGGTTCCCAGGCCAATGGATTTATGTTCCCAGGGTGATTATGACTGCCTCTGTAGTATTACATAGGATGCCAGGGAATTGGGGGAAAACCAACAGCCACAGTCTCACCCAGCTTTCACAGAGCCTATAGCCTGAAAGGTTGGCCTCACTCCCACTGTGACCCCACAACAGCATGGATTTTATTTCGAGGCAGTTGGTGAGCAGGGCTGAGAACCTGCCGCACAGGCTGCAACCCTCCCAGCTTAGAAAGCAAGCAGACTCACAGTTCCTTGGGTGTCCCATGGAGGCTGCAGTGGCCATCCACCTCCTTCAAAGGGCCTGTGGATTTTCTCAGCTTTCCTGATATGTTCCTGTAGTAGTTCTTGGAGCAAAAGTTCACAGTATGTGTTTTCACACTGCTCTGTCTGAGTGGGAGCCACAAGTCCGTCCTACATCGTATCCCTATGTCATTTTTTAAAAATCGTACTATTATTATTTTGAATAAACTGTTATCTGTTAGATCAATTAAGAATAAGAAAAATAAGTTTATATTTTGCCTTTACTTATTCCTTCTTGGATTCTCTTCCCTCCTTTATGTGTATCCAAGTTTCTGACCTATATCATTTTCCTTCTCTCTACACAATTTATTTTAACATTTCTTGCAAAACAGGTTTACTGGCAACAAATTTTATCAATTTGTATTTATTCAAGAATGTCTGTATTTCTCCTTTATGTTTTAAGGATATAATTTTTCAGAGTACAAAATTTTAGGTTTTTTTTTGTCTCAACACTTTAAATATTTCACTCCACTTTATTTATTTGTACAGTTTCTGAAGAGAAGTCAGATGTAATTTTTATTTTTGCTTTTCTATAGGTAAGGTGTTTTTTCTTCTGGCCTCATTCAAGATTTTCTTTTTAGTGTTCTTCAATTTGAAGATAATATGCTTAGATGTATTTTTTTTTCTGGCATTTATCCTGCTTAGTGTTCTCTGAGCTTTCTGGATCTGTGGTATGGTGTCTGACATTAATTTGGAGAAATTCTCAGTCATTATTACCTCAAATATTTCTTCTGTCCTTTCTCTTTTTGTTCTCCTAGTATCCTTATTACATTTATTTACAACTTGTACAGTTGTCCCACAGTTCTTGGATAGGTTTTTTGTTTTCAGTCTTTTTTCTCTTTGCTTTTTTGTGTCTGAGGTTTCTGTTGAAATATTCTCAAGCTCAGAGATTCTTTTGTTAGCCATGTTGAGTCTACTAATGAGCCCATCAAAGACATTCTTCATTTGAGCTTTAACGTTTCTTTTTGGTTCTTTCTTTGATTTCCATCTCTTTGCTTACATTGCCCACCTGTTGGTGCACGCTGTCTACTTTATCCATCAATTAGAGCCCTTAGTTCTAGTACTTGCTCTCTTTTCAACCCATGCTTTTGTTTTTGCTTTTTTTTTGTATGCTTTGTGAATGTTTCCTTGGTAGACTGGCATAATATACTGGGTAAAAAGAACTGCCGTAAATGATCCTTTTTATCATAGTGGTAAGGTGTGAGGGGAGCCAGGGGAGCCAGGGGTGCATTCTATAGTTCTGGGATTAGGTTTCAGTCTTTTAGTTAGCTGGTGACCCTCTGAACTGTGAATTTTACAAATGGGACAGGATGGCTGGCGGTGGGGGACTGGAGTTGAGTATGTCCCTTCTCCCATGGAGAAGTCTAAAGGGAACTGGAGCTGGATATTTGCTTTTTCCCAGATCAGTTAGACCTTGATAAAATCCAGCAGGTGCAGCTCTGGTTAAATAGTTTCATCTGAGGGAAGACCTTGTTAAGGAGAACAGAATGATCTGGTTTATTTGAAAATTGGTCCTTCTCCCCTCTCCCAGGAAGTGCAAGGGGATTTTTTGTGATACTTCCAATGAGAATGTGGTAGAGCTCCAGGTGGGAGAATTTGCAAAAGCGAGACTTCCTTTCTCCTTTCTTGACTGTATTCCTCTGGAGTTTGTACCCACTCAGAGTCGTCCATACTGAGCCTCCAGCAATACATAAATTATAGTTTAGATTTTCCTACCCCAGCACTTGTTCTCTTGGAGGTTTCTGCTCTGGTAAGTTGTGATTCTCTATATTCACCTCTCTGTCTTCCCAGTTTTGGAGGTAATGGGTTGCACCGTGACCTCATTTCTCTGACAGCTAAGAGTTGTTGAGTTTTTAGTCCGTTCAGCATTTTATTTGTTAGGATGGAGTGATGACTTCCAAGCTCCTTACATGCCTGGCCAGAAACTGGAAGGCCTCACAATGCTATTTTTTTCCTTTCAAATGTATCAACCTTGTTCCTGTCTCAGAGCCTTTGTGCTTGCTGTTCCTTTGTGTGGAATGCTTTCTTTTGATTTTTTTTAAAATGGCCTAGATTGCCCTGACCAGTCTCATTTCAAATGTCACCTCCGCATACCAGCTTTTCTTCATTTCTAAAGAATATCTCCCTCATTTTGCTCTTACAGAGCACTCTATTCATTACCCTTGTCAGTATCCAAGAAATTATCTTCTTTAATTATATACTTGTTTACTTTTCTGTTGTCTGTTTTATTTATTGATGTATTTCATGCACCAAGATCTCTTTCTGGTTAATGCTCAATAATTATTTATGGATTTGTTGAATGGATAAATGTATGAATGCATCCAGATGCTAGCTCACCTGATCTAGATAGATTGTTAGACTGTCTTGTGATCAGGAACATGAGGCTAGCTAGACAGTGCTCAAAGGGACTTGTATAATGATTGAGAACTTAGAAATTCAACCTCCCCTTTCATTCATGCATAGTGGGATAATAGAATTGCTCAAAAAAATGAATGAAAACTAGAAAAAACATAAGAAAAACTTGTACAAGTTACAAGCAACCTTTGTTGAGTGCTTACCTAGCGTCTGGCAGTGTGTTGAGTACTTCACCTGTGGCGTATCTAATTTCATGCTCTCAGCAACAGGTGAGGCAGGGACTGTTAACCCTACTTTACTTGTGAAATGCCAGGTGTGAGGATGTTGAGTAATTTGCCAAAGAGTAACTATTTCTAATAAAGGTAGAACTGGGAAGTAAATTCTGGTTGGTTTTATTCCAGTTTCAGATCTTAACACTAGAATACTGCATATAATTTATGGAGAACATAAAACAGAAATTGTAATTTTGGGTCTGTAGAGAGCAAATGTCCCTGAATTCTGCCTTTTAATAAATCAGTTTTGCACCAGTTTATAGTAAGCATTTGGCTCCTGAGCTCTAAAATGTAAATTATATTTTTGAAGAACAATAAAAACTACTTTCCAGATAGTTGGCTAGTCAAGAATTATACCCATCCTTAGATTAGGGTGCAAGCAAACTTATCCTCCTTACATCTCTTCTGAATATTCCCACACACTGGGTTTCAAGTCTTGTAGTGGAGAAGATCTGGGTTTTAATCTCTACACAGTAACTCCTCATCTGACTTCCTCCTCTGGGCACTGATTATACCTGGCCCATCGCTGCAAGCTTAGAAGACTTTTCAAATAGTGTTGTACTGGGTTGCTATAGCTTTCTTTCCTCCATTGCACTGTCAGCTCCATGACAGCAGGAACTTCAGGACTAAGTGACTCTCTGACACATCGTATATGGAAAAGACCACAAAAGGTGATAGACAAAGCTTTTAACCATGATGGTTGGTCTGAGTTTTCTCTATTGTAAAGTGGAAAAAATGGATTAGATATTTAGATTCAACACCAAATCTTTTAAAGTTACATTTTTATATAATTCTGTTGGGTAAGAAAATGCAGATTTAAAAAATTGTAGGACTTGAATTTTCATGTCTTTAACTGGATGTCAACAACTTCCCTCATTTTACATTTGACCTGTGAGTCCACTCTGACACATGCCAAGTAGAGGAACTGCCACTATATGTTGTAGGTTAATGAAGAGCATCAATTTTGACAATCTGGGATTTGAAACCATACTTTGCTATTTATGACACTGTGTCTTTGGGAAAGATATTTAATTTCTTTGACTCTTAGCTTTCCTACATATAAAATGATATCAATAACAATTTTTGTATGGCTCGGTATAAAACATTTAGCAAATAAATATATTCTTAATATACTTTCCGTTTTCTTTTCCTCATGAGTTCTAAGTTTACATTTTCCTCCTCCAATTGCTCTTTAGTTAGTACCAGGTCATGATAGAAGCTATTAATTTTCCTCTGATATCCATTTTCCCATCTTCTTTTTACTAATAGAACTCCGCAAGAGTTTTTTTTTTTTTTTTTTCTGGCACATGTGATTCAGATAGAACTTACTTTTCCAGTGTTGCTTATTCCTAGGTGTTACATGTGACTAAGTTTGGGTCAGTGATATGAGAGTAGAACTGGTATTGCAGACCAAAATTTGTATAAAGTAGATAACACTCCTGAAGGTTGCAAATGTTATAAATACCAATAATTTAGGTAAAGGTCAAAATTCTAAGAAGAAATTTAACAACTAATATAAAAAGAATCCTTCACATAAATTGATAGAAGTCTATGGAAATTAGCATAAAGTCTCCATCCAGCATGGAAAACAGGTATATTATATTTGTGTAGACTATCACAGCATCCTGGGTCCCTGTCTTATGCCCATCTATATAAATATTATCAATGTAAAATTATTTTAATTATGATTAAATATATTAAACATTGGATTATGGACATTAGGCCTAGGATTGTTATTAGACCATTGGAAAAGAAACCCTTCTCTTGATGTAGGAATTATAAATCAATTGTTTTACTACAAGTTGAATGGTTTTCAGAGGCCACTATATAGAGATAACAGGAAGTTTTGCCCCCTGTGGGATGTTTGGCAGTGTTGAAGGCATTTTGGGTTGTTACAGTTTGGGAGAGGGTGCCACTGGTATCTGGTGGGTAGAAGTCAGAGGTGCTGCTGGGCATCCTATACCAAACAACTCATCACAATAGGAAATCAGCTATCCCAAAGTGTTGGCAGTGCTGAGATTGAGAAACCCTCAGTATACCCATCACAGAGAATTGCAGGGAAAAGAAATGGGAGAGAGGTGTAATGAGAACTACTCAGCTGCTAGATCCAGCTATTCTCAAGTCTTGAATCTTTAACTTACATAAGCCAATAAATATCATCACTGCCGCCTCTTCCCCTCTCCATATAAGCCAATGTAAATTGGGTTTCTGCCATTTGTTATCAAAGGAGTTCAGATTAATTTTCTTGAACTAATACTTTGCAATTGTTTTCCTCATTTCCAATTTTGGTCACTCTAAGGGCTTTCTTCTTAAGAAGGTAATTTTGCTGAGTGCATGATCAGTTTGGATCCTTTGGAGAATTGCTAATAAGTATATTTTTACTCTGAGTTGAGGTGAGTTTCCCTTGATTTTCTGAAGCACCTATTTACCAACTATTAATCATTATCAATATGTCTATCAAATAAGAATCCTATTAGTGACCACACTTTGGGGGTGCTGAGGCTCAAAAATATGATAGAAACCTCTGACACAAGGGAAACTGAAATCTCTGGAAATTGCTAGTCTTAAAACGTAAGGAAAGTTTCTGGGTTGAATTGTGTTCCCTCTAAAAGACGTTGAAGTCCTAGCCCCAAGTACCTTGAATGTGACCTTATTCAAAAATAGAATATTTGCAGATAATAAAGCTAGATGGGGTCATTAAGTTAGGCTCTAATCCAGTGTGAGTGTGTCCTTATAATAAGGGACAATTTGGACACAGATAAACATACAGGGAAAATGCCATGTGAAGATGGAAGCAGGGAGTGAGGTAATGTATGCACATGCCAAGGCATATTAAAGTTTGCCAGCAAACCACCAGAAGTTAGGAAAAATGCATGGAGCAGATTTCTCCTCACAGCTCTTAGAAGGAAGTAATCCTGACTACATCTTGATCTCAGACTTCTAGAACCCATAGATGAGGCAATACATTTCTATTGTTTAAGACATTCAGTTTCTGGTGTTTTGTTATGAGATCCATAGCAAATGCAGAGATTTTAGGGAGAAATCCTATTATCTTATACTAAGAAGACACTAGCACTTAGCTTCTCTGAGAATGAAGAATTCAATCAGGCTGAAAACTAAGTGAACTTGAAGCAGTCCTGGAGAAAATTACATTTATAGTTCTAAGGAAGATTTGCTATAGTCATACATTAGAAGTAGACATTTGTACTTAGTTTTTTGAATATTTATTTATTTATTTTTGAATATTTAAATAAATTCTTCAGCTTTTAATACACACAAAAGGCCATTACAGGCATAACTCTCTCATTTTATCATGTCTTGCTTTATTGCACTTTGCAGATACTGCATTCTTTACAAATTGAAGGTTTGTGGCAACCCTATAGTGAACAAGTCAATTGGCACCATTTTTCCAGCTTGTGCTCACATTGTATCTTTCTGCCACGTTTCAGTAATTCTCACAGTATTTCAAACTTTTTCATTATTATTATATCTGTTATGGTGATTTGTGATCAGTGATCTTTGATGTTACTATTGTAATTGTTTTGGGTTGCCACAAACAAAGCCCGTGTAAGACAACAAAACTAATAGATAAATGATGTTTGTATTCTGACTGTTCCACTGAGCAGCCTGTTTCCCTGGCTCTCTCTTTCTCCTTGGCCTTCTATTGCCTGTAATACAACAATTGAAATTAGACCAATATTGAATTTCAGTTAGGCCAATATTAAAATTAATAACACTACAATCGTCTCTAAATGTTCAAGTGAAAGAGTTACATGTTTCTCATTTTAAATAAAAAATCAGAAATTATTAAAATTAGCAAGGAAAGCATGAAGAAAGCATTAAAAGTATTACTCCATGAATGACAAGAAAACAAAACAGCCCTAATTCCAAAACAGAGAAACTATTTGTGGTCTGCACTGAAGATCAATCCAGCCACAACCTTCCCTTAAACCAAAGCCTAATCCATAAGATCCTAATGCTCTTCAATTTTATGAAGCCTGAGATAGGTGAGAAAGCTGCATAAAAAAAGTCTGAAGGTAGCAGAGTTTGGCTTGTGAGGTTAAGGAAAGAAGCCATCACCATAACATGGAAGTGCAAGGTGAAGCAGCAAGTGCTGATAAAGAAGCTGAAGCAAGTTATCCAGAATATCTAGCTGAGATTATTGATAAAAATGGCTAAACTAAAACACAGATTTTTCAATGCCGACAAAACAACCTTATATTGGAAGAAGATGCCATCTGGGATATGTAGAGAGAGATGTCAATGACTGGCTATTGGCTTCAAAGACAACCTGACACTCTTGTTGAGGGCCAATGGAGCCGGTGACTTTAAGTTGAATCCAATGCTCATTTGTCATATTGAAAATCTTAGAGCTCTAAAAGATAGTGTTAAATCTACTCTGCCTTTGCTATAGAAATGGAGCAACAAAGCCTGGATGACAGCACATCTGTTTATTGAATATTTGTCATGGTTTCCTGAATATTTTAAGTCCATTGTTGAGACCTACTGCTCATAAATAAGATTTCTTTCAAAATACTACTGCTCATTGAGAAAGTGTCTAGTTATCCAAGAGCTCTGATGGAGAAGTATAAGGGTATTAACGTTTACTTTTTTTTTTTGGATTTTTTTTATTATACTTTAAGTTTTAGTGTACATGTGCACATTGTGCAGGTTAGTTACATATGTATACATGTGCCATGCTGGTGCACTGCAACTACTAACTCGTCTCTAGCATTAGGTATATCTCCCAATGCTATCCCTCCCCGCTCCCCCCACCCCACCACAGTCCCCAGAGTGTGATATTCCCCTTCCTGTGTCCATGTGATCTCATTGTTCAATTCCCACCTATGAGTGAGAATATGCGGTGTTTGGTTTTTTGTTCTTGCGATAGTTTACTGAGAATGATGACTTCCAATTTCATCCATGTCCCTAAAAAGGACATGAACTCATCCTTTTTTATGGCTGCATAGTATTCCATGGGGTATATGTGCCACATTTTCTTAATCTAGTCTATCATTGTTGGACATTTGGGTTGCTTCCAAGTCTTTGCTATTGTGAATAATGCTGCAATAAACATATGTGTGCATGTGTCTTTATAGCAGCATGATTTATAGTCTTTTGGGTATATACCCAGTAATGGGATGGCTGGGTCAAATGGTATTTCTAGTTCTAGATCCCTGAGGAATCGCCACACTGACTTCCACAATACTTGAACTAGTTGACAGTCCCACCAACAGTGTAAAAGTGTTCCTATTTCTCCACATCCTCTCCAGCACCTGTTGTTTCCTGACTTTTTAATGATTGCCATTCTAACTGGTATGAGATGGTATCTCATTGTGGTTTTGATTTGCATTTCTCTGATGGCCAGTGATGATGAGCATTTTTTCATGTGTTTTTGGCTGCATAAATGTCTTCTTTTGAGAAGTGTCTGTTCATATCCTTCGCCCACTTTTTGATGGGGTTGTTTGTTTTTTTCTTGTAAATTTGTTTGAGTTCATTGTAGATTCTGGATATTAGCCCTTTGTCAGATGAGTAGGTTGCGAAAATTTTCTCCCATTTTGTAGGTTGCCTGTTCACTCTGATGGTAGTTTCTTTTGCTGTGCAGAAGCTCTTTAGTTTAATTAGATCCCATTTGTCAATTTTGGCTTTTGTTGCCATTGCTTTTGGTGTTTTGGACATGAAGTCCTTGCCCATGCCTATGTCCTGAATGGTAATGCCTAGGTTTTCTTCTAGGGTTTTTATGGTTTTAGGTCTAAAGTTTAAGTCTTTAATCCATCTTGAATTGATTTTTGTATAAGGTGTAAGGAAGGGATCCAGTTTCAGCTTTCTACATATGGCTAGCCAGTTTTCCCAGCACCATTTATTAAATAGGGAATCCTTTCCCCATTGCTTGTTTTTGTCAGGTTTGTCAAAGATCAGATAGTTGTAGATATGCGGCGTTATTTCTGAGGGCTCTGTTCTGTTCCATTGATCTATATCTCTGTTTTGGTACCAGTGCCATGCTGTTTTGGTTACTGTAGCCTTGTAGTATAGTTTGAAGTCAGGTAGTGTGATGCCTCCAGCTTTGTTCTTTTGGCTTAGGATTGACTTGGCGATGTGGGCTCTTTTTTGGTTCCATATGAACTTGAAAGTAGTTTTTTCCAATTCTGTGAAGAAAGTCATTGGTAGCTTGATGGGGATGGCATTGAATCTGTAAATTACCTTGGGCAGTATGGCCATTTTCATGATATTGATTCTTCCTACCCATGAGCATGGAATGTTCTTCCATTTGTTTGTATCCTTTTTTATTTCCTTGAGCAGTGGTTTGTAGTTCTCCTTGAAGAGGTCCTTCACATCCCTTGTAAGTTGGATTCCTAGGTATTTTATTCCTTTGAAGCAATTGTGAATGGGATTTCACTCATGATTTGGCTCTCTGTTTGTCTGTTATTGTTGTATAAGAATGCTTGTGATTTTTGCACATTGATTTTGTATCCTGAGACTTTGCTGAAGTTGCTTATCAGCTTAAGGAGATTTTGGGCTGAGACAATGGGGTTTTCTAGATATACAATCATGTCGTCTGCAAACAGAGACAATTTGACTTCCTCTTTTCCTAATTGAATACCATTTATTTCCTTCTCCTGCCTAATTGCCCTGGCCAGAACTTCCAACACTAGGTTGAATAGGAGTGGTGAGAGAGGGCATCCCTGTCTTGTGCCCGTTTTCAAAGGGAATGCTTCCAGTTTTTGGCCATTCAGTATGATATTGGCTGTGGGTTTGTCATAGATAGCTCTTATTATTTTGAAATACATCCCATGAATACCTAATTTATTGAGAGTTTTTAGCATGAAGGGTTGTTGAATTTTGTCAAAGGCTTTTTCTGCATCTATTGAGATAATCATGTGGTTTTTGTCTTTGGCTCTCTTTATATGCTGGATTACATTTACTGATTTGTGTATATTGAACCAGCCTTGCATCCCAGGGATGAAGCCCACTTGATCATGGTGGATAAGCTTTTTGATGTGCTGCTGGATTCGTTTTGCCAGTATTTTATTGCGGATTTCTGCATCAATGTTCATCAAGGATATTGGTCTAAAATTCTCTTTTTTGGTTGTGTCTCTGCCAGGCTTTGGTATCAGAATGATGCTGGCCTCATAAAATGAGTTAGGGAGGATTCCCTCTTTTTCTATTGATTGGAATAGTTTCAGAAGGAATGGTACCAGCTTCTCCTTATACCTCTGGTAGAATTCGGCTGTGAATCCATCTGGTCCTGGACTCTTTTTGGTTGGTAAACTATTGATTATTGCCACAATTTCAGATCCTGTTATTGGTCTATTCAGAGATTCAACTTCTTCCTGGTTTAGTCTTGGGAGAGTGTATGTGTCGAGGAATTTATCCATTTCTTCTAGATTTTCTAGTTTATTTGCGTAGAGGTGTTTGTAGTATTCTCTGATGGTAGTTTGTATTTCTGTGGGATCGGTGGTGATATCCCCTTTATCATTTTTTATTGCGTCTATTTGATTCTTCTCTCTTTTTTTCTTTATTAGTCTTGCTAGCGGTCTATCAATTTTGTTGATCCTTTCAAAAAACCAGCTCCTGGATTAATTAATTTTTTGAAGGGTTTTTTGTGTCTCTATTTCCTTCAGTTCTGCTCTGATTTTAGTTATTTCTTGCCTTCTGCTAGCTTTTGAATGTGTTTGCTCTTGCTTTTCTAGTTCTTTTAATTGTGATGTTAGGGGGTCAATTTTGGATCTTTCCTGCTTTCTCTTGTGGGCATTTAGTGCTATAAATTTCCCTCTACACACGGCTTTGAATGCATCCCAGAGATTCTGGTATGTTGTGTCTTTGTTCTCGTTGGTTTCAAAGAACATCTTTATTTCTGCCTTCATTTCGTTATGTACCCAGTAGTCATTCAGGAGCAGGTTGTTCAGTTTCCATGTAGCTGAGCGGTTTTGAGTGAGATTCTTAATCCTGAGTTCTAGTTTGATTACACTGTGTTCTGAGAGATAGTTTGTTATAATCTCTGTTATTTTACATTTGCTGAGGAGAGCTTTACTTCCAACTTTGTGGTCAATTTTGGAATAGGTGTGGTTCGGTGCTGAAAAAAATGTATATTCTGTTGATTTGGGGTGGAGAGTTCTGTAGATGTCTATTAGGTCCGCTTGGTGTGGAGCTGAGTTCAATTCCTGGGTATCCTTGTTGACTTTCTGTCTTGTTGATCTGTCTAATGTTGACAGTGGGGTGTTAAAGTCTCCCATTATTATTGTGTGGGAGTCTAAGTCTCTTTGTAGGTCACTCAGGACTTGCTTTATGAATCTGGGTGCTCCTGTATTGGGTGCATATATATTTAGGATAGTTAGCTCTTCTTGTTGAATTGATCCCTTTACCATTATGTAATGGCCTTCTTTGTGTCTTTTGATCTTTGTTGGTTTAAATTCTGTTGTATCAGAGACTAGGATTGCAACCCCTGTCTTTTTTTGTTTTCCATTTGCTTGGTAGATCTTCCTCCATCCTTTTATTTTGAGCCTATGTGTATCTCTGCATGTGAGATGGGTTTCCTGAATACAGCACACTGATGGGTCTTGACTCTTTATCCAACTTGCCAGTCTGTGTCTTTTAATTGGAGCATTTAGTCCATTTACATTTAAAGTTAATATTGTTATGTGTGAATTTGATCCTGTCATTATGATGTTAGCTGGTTATTTTGCTTGTTAGTTGATGCAGTTTCTTCCTAGTCTCGATGGTCTTTACATTTTGGCATGATTTTGCAGCGGCTGGTACCAGTTGTTCCTTTCCATGTTTAGTGCTTCCTTCAGGAGCTCTTTTAGGGCAGGCTTAGTGGTGACAAAATCTCTCAGCATTTGCTTGTCTGTAAAGTATTTTATTTCTCCTTCACTTGTGAAGCTTGGTTTGGTTGGATATGAAATTCTGGGTTGAAAATTCTTTTCTTTAAGAATGTTGAATATTGGCCCCCACTCTCTTCTGGCTTGTAGGGTTTCTGCCAAGAGATCCGCTGTTAGTCTGATGGGCTTCCCTTTGAGGGTAACCCGACCTTTCTCTCTGGCTGCCCTTAACATTTTTTCCTTCATTTCAACTTTGGTGAATCTGACAATTAAGTGTCTTGCAGTTGCTCTTCTATAGGAGTATCTTTGTGGCGTTCTCTGTACTTCCTGAATCTGAACGTTGGCCTGCCTTGCTAGATTGGGGAGGTTCTCCTGGATAATATCCTGCAGTGTTTGCCAACTTGGTTCCATTCTCCCCATCACTTTCAGGTACACCAATCAGACGTAGATTTGGTCTTTTCACATAGTCCCATATTTCTTGGAGGCTTTGCTCATTTCTTTTTATTCTTTTTTCTCTAAACTTCCCTTCTCACTTCATTTCATTCATTTCATCTTCCATTGCTGATACCCTTTCTTCCAGTTGATTGCATCAGCTTCTTAGGCTTCTGCATTCTTCACGTAGTTCTCGAGCCTTGGTTTTCAGCTCCATCAGCTCCTTTAAGCACTTCTCTGTATTGGTTATTCTAGTTATACATTCTTCTAAATTTTTTTCAAAGTTTTCAACTTCTTTGCCTTTGGTTTGAGTGTCCTCCTGTAGCTCAAAGTAATTTGATCCTCTGAAGCCTTTTTCTCTCAGCTTGTCAAAGTCATTCTCCATCCAGCTTTGTTCCGTTGCTGGTAAGGAACTGCGTTCCTTTGGAGGAGGAGAGGCGCTCTGCGTTTTAGAGTTTCCAGTTTTTCTGCTCTGTTTTTTCCCCATCTTTGTGGTTTTATCTACTTTTGGTCTTTGATGATGGTGATGTACAGATGGGTTTTCGGTGTGGATGTCCTTTCTGTTTGTTAGTTTTCCTTCTAACAGACAGGACCCTCAGCTGCAGTTCTGTTGGAGTACCCTGCTGTGTGAGGTGTCAGTGTGCCCCTGCTGGGGGGTGCCTCCCAGTTAGGCTGCTTGGGGGTCAGGGGTCAGGGACCCACTTGAGGAGGCAGTCTGCCCATTCTCAGATCTCCAGCTGCGTGCTGGGAGAACCACTGCTCTCTTCAAAGCTGTCAGACAGGGACATTTAAGTCTGCAGAGGTTACTGCTTTTTGTTTGTCTGTGCCCTGCCCCCAGAGGTGGAGCCTACAGAGGCAGGCAGGCCTCCTTGAGCTGTGGTGGGCTCCACTCAGTTGGAGCTTCCCGGCTGCTTTGTTTACCTAAGCAAGCTTGGGCAATGGCAGGCGCCCCTCCCCCAGCCTCGCTGCAGCCTTGAAGTTTGATCTCAGACTGATGTGCTAGCAGTCAGCGAGACTCCGTGGGCGTAGGACCCTCTGAGCCAGGTGCGGGATATAATCTCGTGGTGCACCATTTTTTAAGTGGGTCGGAAAAGTGCTGTATTCGGGTGGGAGTGACCTGATTTTCCAGGTGCGTCTGTCACCCCTTTCTTTGACTTGGAAAGGGAACTCCCTGACCCCTTGTGCTTCCCAAGTGAGGCAATGCCTCGCCCTGCTTCGGCTCACGCACGGTGCACGCACCCACTGACCTGCGCCCACTGTCTGGCACTCCCAAGTGAGATGAACCCGCTACCTCAGATGGAAATGCAGAAATCACCCGTCTTCTGCTGTCTTCTGCGTCGCTCACGCCGGGAGCTGTAGACAGGAGCTGTTCCTTTTTGGCCATCTTGGCTCCTCCCCCAGCGTTTTCATATCTATTAACACAATATTCATTCTGCAGCTCACTGATCTAGGAGTAATTTTAACTATCAAGTCTCACAATTTAAGAAATATAGTTTGCAAGGCTGTAACTGTCATAGACAGTAATTCCTCTGATGGATCTGACCAAAGTAAATTGAAAATCTTCTGAAAAGGATTCACCATTGTAGTTGCCGTTAAGAACATTTGTGATACATGAGAATAGGTCAAAATATTAACATTAATCAGAGTTTGGAAGAAGTTGATTCCAGACCTCATGGATGACTTGGAGGTTCAAGACTTCAGTGGAGGAAATGACTGCAGATGTGGTGGATGTATTAAGAGAACTAGAATTAGAAGTAGAGCCTTAAGATGTAATCAAGTTGCTGCAATTTCACGATAAAACTTGAATAAATGAGGGATTGATTCTTATGAATGAGCAAATGAAGTGGTTTCTTCATGTGGAATTGACTCCTAGTGAAGATGCTGTGAATATTGTTGAAATAATAACAAAGGATTTAGACGATTGCATAAACTTAGTTGATAAAGCAGTGGTAGGGTTTGAGAGAAATGACCCCAAATTTGAAAAAAGTTCCACTGTGGATAGAGTGCTATCAAACAGCATTGTATGCTACTGAAGAATCTTTCATGAAAGGAGGTGTCAATCTATGCAGCAAACTCTTCTGTTGTTTTATTTTAAGAAATTCCCACAGCCACCCCAGCCTTCAGCAACCACCATCCTGTTCAAGCAGCAGTCTACAATATCAAGGCAAGACCTTCTGCCCCAAAAAGATTACATGTTGCTGAAGGCTCAGATGATTATTAGCATTTTTAGCAAAAAAGTATTTTTACATTAAGATATGTGCATTTTTTTCCAGACAAATGCTATTGCACACTTAATAGACTGCAGAATAGTGTAAATATAACATTCATATGCACTGGGAAACAAATTTGTGTGACTTGCTTTATTGCAATATCCAAGTCTGCAATATCTCTGTGTTATACTTTTGTATATTTTTATTTATTTCATCTGTGTTATAATCATATACTATGCTTTGATTGAAAGTTTTGTTAAGTTAGAACCATTCAATAAGTTGCTAATTTAATTTAGATGATGTGTGCAACATTTGGGAAGGCCGTAAGATGTACAGAAACAAAACCACTTATCTTCAGTTTGTTAGATTGGTAAATTTGCTTTTCTGGGTTAAAAAATCTTAGCCAGATAAAATCTACGGTTATTGTTGAAATAATTTCTTTGCTTGAAGTGTTCAATCCTCATGCTTAGTAGGTGTTTATGTTTTAGTTGGGGTGCCAGTTATCAATCTAATACCTGTTAGCTCCACACTTTTCAAAACTTGCTCTGCAATAATGAATGGAGTTCCTTTAAACATTTCTCCTTTACAGTGAGCACTCTGTGAAGCCTCCTCAGTAGAGGGGGCTACAGGGATATTGCCAGAAGATGCGGCATCTCTTACTGTTTCTTGAGGCCAAAAGCTTTGTCAGCCATGGGAACACAAAGATAGACAGTGGTGCTCTGCCCCAGGGAACAGATGGGCCTTCTGACATTGTAGCCCCGGTCTGGCCTGGCAATCACTTTTCTGTGGCTCTCCCAACATGGATATCCTCTGTTCCAGGGCTTCTGCCATGATGGCACATTGACTCCCTCTGCTCCTATGGATGTTAGCCCACTGGCAGGAGCTCCTCCATGCATTGGTTATCCATCGGCATGATAATGCTTACAACATGCTCTCTCCCAAATCAGTGGTTTATAGCAATAAGTATATATTTAGGTCATAGGTCCATTGTTGGCGCTTTTGCTTGAACTCAGCTAAGTGTGGTCTTGCCTGTTCTTGGTCATTTATCTAGTGGTTGACTAGCTGTTGGATGACCTAGGATAGATTTAGCTGTGGTTTCTCGGCTCTGTTCTATTTGTTTTTCATTCTTCTAAAGGGTAACTGGGCATGTTATTACAGTGATGGTGAGAACAAGCATGAGGGCAAGTGGAAAGATGTAAGTGCTTTTCCAGTTTCTGTTTGTGTTACATATACTAACATCACATTATCAGAGCAAGTTACATAATGTATTGGTCTGCCAGGGCTGCTATAACAAAATACCTCATACTGGGTGGTTTAAACAACATAAATTTATTTACTCATAGTTCTGGAGACTAGAGGTCTAAAATCAAGGGTTTTGTGATTTTAGTTTCATCTGAGGGCTCTCTCGTTGGCTTGTAAATGGCTGCCTTCTTGTGTCCACACAGTCTTTCTTCTCTGTGCCTACATGCCTGGTATCTCTCTGTGTCCACATTTCTTCTTCTTATAAGGACACCAGTCAGATTAGATTAGGGCCCACCCTTACAATCTCATTTTAACTTACTCATCCCATCAAAGGCCTTATCTCAAAATACAGACATCTATTAAGGTACTGGGGATTAGGACTTCAATATAGGAATTTGCAGGGAGGGGCAGACACAGTTCAGCTCATAACATATGGCCACGCCAAGTGAGAAGGCATGGACGTAGGGAGATGCAAAGAATTGGGGCCATTACTTCCATCTATTTTCTATGATGCTGGCAAAAACATCTCAGTGACATTTTTATTTTCATAATTTTACAGATGAGGAAAAATGAGGCTCAGCTAGAATTTCTCCCTTGTGTATTTTTTTCTTATATGAAACAGTGACAAACTAAAATAAGAGGTCAGGAAAAATCTTACTTTTAGTTTTCACATATTTCATTTAGAGGCAACCTCATATAGTGATTAAGAGTGTGAGGTCTGGCAATAGCCTGCCTTAATCCAAATCTCAGCTTTAGCGTTAACTTGGCCATGTTACCTTGGGTGAGTGATTTAACCTTTAAGTATCTTAACTTCCTTTCACATGGGAATAAGAGAATTACCTACCTCATAGAGTTATTAAAGAATTAAATCTCTTAATATATGCAAAGCTTAGAACACTATGTCTAGTAAACATTATAAACTGTCTGCTGTAGCAACAACAAAAAATATAGCCCTTTATCATTTGATGAGTGATATCTATTAAGCACAATGTAATTGCTCTTTGATCAGGGTCACATTATCCAGTGATCAGAGTGATGAGCAAGCTAAACAGTTTTGTTGAAAGCCTAACACTTAACTGGTACTCTATAGGAGATTAAATTCTCCATTAAGAAATTCTCAAGTATTGATTCATTTATATGTTTTGTAAATTGTAGTATTTCAAGTCTTGATTTTCTATACATATATGTTTGTGAGGGTGTGGGGCTATAGTGTCAATCTGATAGGGACAGGAGGCAGAGAAATTCTACGTAGAAAAGGGCAGGGTCCCCAGCAAAGGTCCCACCCTGAATCCTGGAACTGTGGCCCAAAGTGAGAACTTTATATCCCTGGTTTCCCACTTGAATGTTGCCTTTTCTAAAACCACCCATGGCTTGCCCTGCCCCCATCCTGTACCCACAAAAATCCCTGACCCAGCTGGCAGGGAAGAAGAAGACTCCATATGTGAAAAGGAGAAGCAGCAGCTGAATGTTGGAGAGAAGCAGCTTGACTTCAGAGGGACAGCTTGAGGGTGGGACTTTGGAAAAGAGTCTGGCCGGAGATGGCCAGAATTCAGGGGAAGAATACCTTCCTGCTCCATCCCTTTTCCAGCTCCCCTTCCCACTGAGAGCCACTTCCATTGGCAATAAAATCCTTGCATTTACTATCCTTCAATTCATTCATACAACCCAATTTTCCTGACGCCTGACAAAAGCTCGAGATACAGAAGGCTGTCACGTTGACCCTCTCTGCCATCGCTGGCAGAAAGCAACTGCCTCACCCAAAAAGGCAGAGGGCGCATTGAGCTGTTTAGCACTTAAGCCTTCCTGGGAGAGCAAAAGCTAAAAGAGCACTCACTTTAACACTTCTTCTGGGGCTTTGAGGGTCGTGGGTACTCCCCACTAGACGCTGCTCTGGGGCCTGCATGGAGTGTTGCTCCTCCCAGTGCCCAAAAACATTTGCCTGGCTCCAGCACTTGCGCACCTGTGTGCTCTCTCCTGCGAGGGGTTGAGCACAATGGGCTTGAGTGAGTGGGGTTCACCCCTACAGCACTGAAGCGCCAGCAAGTTCCAGCACCCGTGCACCCCAGTTCCTGCCTACAAAGGGGGCAGGGAAAATTTCCTGCTTCAAATTAAAACACATAACTTCAAAGTAATTTTTCAGTTTCTACTTTCTCCCTTCTCCAAATCATTTAACATACTGAGGTCAGATCCTGATTCTGAACATTGGTTTCATCATGTTGCTCCTCTATTCAAGCCTTCAGTGGCTCTCTAGGACCTAGGGGATAACATTAAAACTTTTTATTTTAGCATGCAAGACAGTCCACAGAATGATTGCCTCGCCTTCTACAATTCCCTGTGTGAGCACTTGATGTTCAGTAACAGATGACACTAGTCACTTTCCCATCATAATTTTTGTGTCACCATCAGCACCTTGATTTTACCCACATTGTTTCCTAACTTTCTCTTGTCTTCCTATTTTCTCCATTTAAGGAATCTTTCCCTAATGTTAGCCTTGGGATTTTGTGTCTGTAGTTGTCTGTTTTTTGGTTCATCAGTTTTCCACGCCACCTATTGATTTGCTGTGAGGAAAATACAAACTTGGTTTCTCATATAGTTTTATTATAATTATTGGTTAAATTAATAATCAGTTAAGTCTTTATGCTATGTTTATACAAATGCTACTCACAGCTGAGTAGGTTATACTTCCTTTCCCTGAAGGTAATAATGATTTTCTTTTTCATTTGCATAGCTTACTTTGTACCTATTTCTAATTCTTCCCATACCTTTCAAGAGCTTCTTAGTATAATTTTCCACAAGGTAAATCGCTTATGAGCCTCATTCAGTTCCAATTTATTTTTTCCTCCAAAACAAGCCCTTGACTCTGTAGACTGGGAGGATTTTTCCCTGGGCCTGCTACACTGCTTTCATCTTAGGACTTCTCTTTGTTGTCATTCTTGAAATTCCTTTTGCCTTTCTTCTAGATAAGGTCCTGGTCATCAAGATCCTGAATAGTTTGTTTGTTTTTCTAGGCTTCTTTAGCATAAACATTGAGAGTGAACAAAATTTTCAGGAATGTTGAGAATCCTCAGTTGTTAAATTCTGGTAAAGGTTTTACTGCAGTAAAATTTAATGTACTTCATGAGAAATAAGCAAAACGGGATAAGAAAATAGGGAGATAAGGAAAAATGTCTGATCTTCAGTGTGCAAGTCTGCTGAGACAATAATATTTTTTATTTTGCCAAGCATTTGTTGAGGTTCAAGTAAGTGGCAGGATAAAAGTTTTTTTCTTGCAAAGAATTGGCATTCAGATCTTATGAAAATTAAAATGTTGAGGTCCCATTATAGACTTTCATTCACCGTGCATTTTTCCTTTATAGTGTTTAGTACAACTTATTAAACATTTACTTGTGTGTGTACCTTTGCTCAGCTCTAAGTTTCCTGAGGGAAAAGATTGAATCTCTGGTCCCTTACTTAGTTTCTAAGATTCAGCACAGTGGCTGGCACCTAGTAGAGCACAGCAAAGAGTCATTCATTGCATGAATGAATGATGCAAATAAAATGAAAACCTGAACCCACAGGGAAAATTAAGAGAATGTTTGATTATTTTAGTCATTGTAAAAGGAACAATCAAAGATTTTGTGGAAATAAATAAAGAGTATTCATACGAGAACCAAAAGAGGCTCTTTATTCAAAGCTTGGAAGGGCATCACAGAGTAAAAGGCATACAGGAGAAGGGGAAATCTTTATAGTAAAAGAAAAGGAAAGGCTGCAGTTATCCCCTGATTGGAGGTCCTGATATGAGGAAGCTGTGGGGGTCTGCATAGAAGCAGATTATCTTATCTAATTGGTTTGGGAGTATATTTGGCTTTCTCTGATTGGTCTTGAATTGGGAGAAGAGGCAAAAATAATGAAAGCTGAAGGACACTGACAAAGTCCTGATCGCTCTAGGCCAATCGCTGCAGAGGTTATGGTCTGGCTTCTCTCACTGGTTGCTTGCTGCCAGAGGTTGTGGGTGAGACTGTTATGATCATATATGGTCTTGCCATTGCCTATTTGTATATTCAATATCTCCATATAGTATTCTTCAAATGGGAGAATTTGAGGTCCTCATTTGATTTTTCCCCCAAATTTTATCTTCAGTATCAGATACAGGGTGGGTGCTTAATAGATATTTGTGTGATAGTGAGGAATGAGAAGAGAAGAAGGTGAAGTCTTCCTTCCCTCTGTTGTAGAGAATATACCATCTAGTGAAATAGCCACCAGTTACCTGTAGCTGGTGGGCCCCTGTGTAGTCAGTCTGAATTGAGACATGGTGTAAATGTAAAATACACACCAAATGGCTAAGACTTCAAATGAATGAAATAATGTAAAATATCTCATTAGCAATTAAAAATACATTTATTATATATTGAAATGATAAGAGTTTAGACATTGGAAGAAATATTGAAATTAAGCACTAAAAATTAATATATTTCAAAAATTGTGAATATAACCTCCATTTAAAAAAGGACATTAGTTGAAACTGAGTTTTAAACATTTCATTAAATGCAGAAGATTGGGCCTCATACTTCTTCAGAATTTTTAAATGAAAAAAGGAACTTGTTTTCTATAAACTTTTGTCCTCATAGAACTTTCCTCATGGTAGAAGATAAGTTCTGTATTTACTTATGACTAGTTGGTCAAAGAAGCAACTATAATATCAAATAAACAAAGGCAAGATTATTTTGTGAAAATTTCATCTCCAGATCATTTAAACAGATTAATAAAAGAATATTTACTATCTACAGTTGTATCACCTTAGCCATGGATGGGCTGACTTTAACTTTTTATGATAGTACAACATTCATTTTTTACCTTTAAGTCCCCTTAAGTGGTCCCCTTGTATAATGAAATAGCTGAGGAATAAAATGCGTTTGGAATCTTTATTTGTACATATAAGTGTTGTATGAGAAAAGATGAAATAACTGAAGTACTTTTAAATGGTTTGGTGCCTGACCATTATTTCCCATATTTTATCAGTTTTCAACAGTAGACTTCTAAGGGTAATGTGTGTTTGAGGAGAAAGTATAGCAAACAAACCATTTTCCTTTCTAAATCAGAATCAGTGTTATTTCATCTTTTGTATAGTGTCCTGAGATATTTTAATCCTATTAAGAGAACTTTAAAGCAAAACTTTGAAGAAGTAATTCTTATGTTGTCTATTTCCTGGTCTGCGATAAACCAGCACCATTTTATGTTTTTCCTCTTCCCCCTCCTCTCTCTCCCTCTCTCCCTCCTTTCCTCTGCCATTTTTTTTTTTTCACTTAACAAATTGTTGAAGATCTACTACCTGCCAGGTGATATTCCATATTAGGTATGTATTAATAATAGCAAAAGGAAGCCACTGACTCCACAATATTTATGTTCCATTAGAGGGAAGATGGAGGATTTAGGTGGTCAAGGTTGACAGAGACTGGCCAATTTCCTTTAAAACAAAAATACTAATGGTAATCATCTGGACACATTAAAATTTATATGAAACCACCAAATAGCCACAGAGACCCTAAAAGAAATAAAGTTGTGGTATTCTACTTCCCAATCTCAAATTATATTACAAAGGAATAGTAATCAAAACAGGATGGCATAAAAACAGACACATAAAGCAATGGAAGAGAATTGAGAAGCCAGAAATAAACCTAAACATATATAGCCAACTAATTTTGACAAGTACCGAAGGAGGACACAATGGGGAAAGGATAGTCTCTCCCATAAATGGTGTTGGGAAGATGAGATGTCCACATACAAAAGTAAAAAACCGTACCCTTATTCTACATCATACACAAAAATCAATTCATAATTAAGTAAAGACCTAAATATAAAACCTGAAACCATAAAACCTCTAGGAGAAAACAGTGGAAAAGCTCCTGGACACTGGTCTTGGCAATGAGTTTTTTGACTAGGACACCAAAAGCACAGGCAAAAAAAGCAAAAGTAAACAAATGGGACTTTATTGAACTAAACACGTCTACAGAACAAAGGAAACAGTCAACAAAGTGAAGAGGCTGCCTACAGACTTAGGGAAGGTATACATGAAACATGTATCTGATAAGGGGTTAATATCTAATATATATAAGGAACTCACATAACTCAATAGCAAAAAAAATGAATAACCTGATTAAAAAATGGACGAAGAACCTGAATAGACATTTCTCCAAAGAAGACATACAAATGGCCAACAGATATATGAAATAGTGCACATCACTAGCCATCAGGGAAATGCAAATAAACACCATAATGAGATGTGACCTCACATGTGTTAGGATGGCGATTATCAAAGTAACACGAAATAAGCATTGCAAAGGTGTAAAGAAAAGGGAACACATGTACACTGTTGGTGGGAATGTAAATCGGTACAGCCATTATAAAAAATAGTATGGAAATTCCTAAAAAAATTAAACTTAGACCTTATGACCTAGCAATTTTCTAGGTATACACCTCCCAAAAAATGAAAACAGCACCTCATAGAAATAACTGCCCTCCCATGATCATTGCAGCATTATTCACAATTGCCAAGATTTGGAAGCAATCTAATTGACCATTGGTGGATGAACGGATAAAGAAAACATGGTATGTACATATATATAGTATGAAGAGTATCTTTAATGATACTATATTCTGGAAATTCTGTAAGATTTTAGATGCTCTTAATGCAAATAAAAAAGGGCTATGAGATGATGGTTATATTAAATTGCTTATCTCTAGTAATTATTTCACTGTATATATGTATATCAAAATATCTTATTGAACACCAACTTGACTTTATACAGTAAAAAAAGTATTTCCTGAAAGTAGTCATCTGATAATTGAGAAATTCTTTGAAGTTTCCTCTTCCTTCACATAGATGATATTAAAATACCCCATTCTCTCATGATCCAGTTGACTCCAAGGGATAAGTCTGAGCCTTTTGATCTC
Source organism: Homo sapiens (assembly GCF_000001405.40). NCBI lineage: Eukaryota > Metazoa > Chordata > Mammalia > Primates > Hominidae > Homo > Homo sapiens. The sequence goes on along the minus strand of NC_000011.10, from coordinate 100,400,058 downwards.
CTGCTCTGTGTGCTTTCAGATGAATCATCACACACTTAACATAATTACACAGAGGCTTATCATTTTTCCCTTAAACTAGCATTTCTTCCAGCGTTCCCCATTTTTGCTGTTCCTCCCGATCACTGAGTCTTGAAATTCTTAGCAGTTTCACTAGAATTATCCTTGATTCTCCATTTGCCTTTTACCATTCATTTCCATTCATTCACCAAATCCTGATTGTTTTTCTTCATTTGCATCTTCTTCATCTATCACATCACATTGACAGTCCCTCCATAATGGCCTTTAATTGGTATGTGTCTGCATCCAATTGGCCTCCTCCTACTACTGAGTGCGGGCAAAAACACCTCCTGCCTAAAGAACTTCTCCAAGTCTACTCGTATTTAACCTCAAGATCTTATCACTGGGCTGTGTTCTTCCAGTTTTGATTTCAGACAGTCCCAGCGATTTTTGTCTTTTAATATTTGTCAACTCAAATATTGACATTTATTAACCTATTCCTCCAGTAAGCAAATTCTGGCCACAAATCTAAGATTAGCCTACCCTCTCAACTTTCTGAATCTCTGAGATGTCTATGAATTTCAGCTTGCCATCCTCTTTATTGACTTAGCATTAACTATTAATTCTATTCTTGGTCAATGAAAATAGAAGCTGCATGTCTTTTGGGCAGTTATGGTTTTTGATCCCGTAGAGTACACGCTCAAAGGGCTTGCCATGCTGGTAAGTTAGGGAGTGATTCTAAATGGCTCTGTCGTTTAGTAAATTGCAGATTTGCAGAAATAAGTATGAGTGTTACAGTTATGACATATATGAGTAGTTACAATTCAAACAATAGTATTCTCCTAGGCATAGTGTAGAAGACACTTATGACTGTGACCTGATCAATGTGCCTTTCCCACAGAGAAAAATCATTTACTCATGAATTTATTTACTTACCCAATATATACTACATGCCAAGCACTGTGGAAGAGGCTTGAATTATAGATGAACGAGGCTTATTCTCTTATTTTAAGCATCCTAATATCAAGGAGAAGAAGAGAGAGACATGCATATTTAATTACACATATAATTTTAAAATATACTCAGGAGATTTTTTGAAGAATAAATACCTAAATGTATTTAAAGGGTTTAAAGTAGTGCCTGGCAAATAGAACATATCATATAAATGTTTGCTATTAATTTTACAATGAGCTTTAATTGTGTTCACATGCTAGGGCACTATAGAGTTTGCTTTGCATGTAAATGTTGTCTGTCCAATCATGGGCTCTCATGAGGCCCCAAGTATGACTTTATACCACTGGCTCTTGTTCATTCATTCATTCAAAAAATACTTATTTAGCATCTTTTATATACTCCGACTTTGTGGGGTACAAAGGAACAGATAAAAATAAAACAAAGTTCTCAGCCTCAAGGTGCTCTCACATTTTATTTGCCCAGCATTTGAGTAATGGAAGAATTCTAATAACTGAACTCCCTACACTCCCTGTTTTTGTGGTCAATGATAAATAAATATGGGCAATTTGGATTTTTTTTGAAATAAAGAAAAATGCAATCAAATTACTAGGGACTGTTCTGGGCCTGTACAGATTTAGATTAAGCATTCTGCACTGTCTATATCAACAGGACTGCAGCAGTATAAACCATGTTCCAAATTTAACACTCAGCTCCAAAAGAGCCAGTTCATCAGAGAAGATATATTTGCAATTATCACAGATTTTATTATTAAATATATTTTTCTAAATCCTTGGAAAATTGGTGACCCATAAATGGCTAATTTTAATTAAGTAAAATATTCTAATTTAATTGGTAAGATACAGGGGAAAGAGCACTAGATCTGAAATTAGAAGACAAAGGATTGATCCTGGTTTTATTTTCTGGCCATATCACTTTGAGTAAATGATTTAAATTCTTCATTTGTGACATAATATGAATAAATACCATACAGGGTTGATAAAAAGATTGTAAGAGGTGTTATATTCAAGAACTCTAACCAAAATATCTCGGACATAGTAAGTGCTAGTCATGTTTTAAATGGAGGCAGTTGTATGTGTGCATATGTGTGTATATATATATATATATATATATATATATATATATATATATATATATATCCAGGCTGTGTGTATATATGTATATATGACCCTTGTTTATTTGTATTATTTCACCTGACTCCACAGAGGATTCGAGTGTACTATTTCCTTTAATATGCCACAAACTTTTTATAAAATTTTTTATGTTGCTTACTAGGAGGGGCTAAGTCCACTTTGTCTTTTACGATGTGAATTACAGAGAAAGCCATGTTCATGTGTACTCAGTGGATACTCATAAGCACAATAAATTCATACAGGGCCTGAATTCATGATTACAGTGGCAGGTCCAGCATATTGTAAAATTCCAGTGGTTTCTGAATAACTCATCTGGGCTAAATATTAATACACTTCAGCTTCTTGGAGGTCAGTCATCTATTACAATGGCCACCAAGTATTCCACAATGTCTATTTTATGCAAGCTTACTTAATACCCTTGCAACAGCAGATTGTCATGTGACATGCTCTAGGAGAGATTCGATATCAATTTGCAAAGCATGATTTATGAATACTGAAATTCATTTACCCAAGATATGGTAGTGAGGACAGCAAGCAATAGATGAGGTGTTTCGCTAGAGGTTCCTTCTAACTCCACTTATTCCTTGACTTACTAAACAAGGACATTTCCTCTGTGAATTATATTGAAGGCTGGCTCTTCCGTTAGAGGCTGTAGGACTTTTGTCAAAATAATTTAATGATGAAAATGAAGCTGGTCTAATTGAATTCAGTACGAACTAAGAGTCATCACCTTAGGGTGAGTTTAGCCCTTAGCAGTTAATATTCTGCTCAGCACCTCTGCTTTGTTGTCATTGCGGGCTTCAAGCTTAGAAAGATATCTTTCTCTTTAATATAGAAAATGGGAAGCTGAGAATGTGTCTGGAATTGTGATAAATGTAGGCACTCACCTTGACCACTTAGGAGCTTTTAAAACCTGGCGCCTCATCAGCAAGTAAAAATCAACTCAGCAGGTCTAAATAAAGCTGATTTAGAAAACTAAAAGTTTTTTTGCTTCCGTTCAAAGGTTCATGTTCTTTATTTAAAGAACTCAACCAAACTCTTACCCTATCCTCCTTAGGAAGCAGTTTTAATGAGTATCAGTAGGATTCCCACGCCTCTGACATCAAATTTACTTGTAAATTGATTTTTAAAAATTGGGTTGGAAGCTCTGAGGACAGAATTCCCTAACTCACCCCGCTGTGAAATACTATGCTTACCTCCCTATTGTCTGATCTTGCTTCATTTAACCAATGATGTTTTAAGGGCTAAGATTCAGCCTTCCGTTTCATTTCACTGAGTCTCTGAAAGACAATCTAATGTTAAAATTGGCCCATTATTTAGACCAGTTTAATTTGTGCCTTAAAATGACTTTGGAAATAAGTTTTGATTAAAAAGTTACACCAGTGATGCATTTTCAGTATCACAAAGCAAAACCTATTTGAAGAAGTTATTCCTGCATGCCAGATTGAACAGAAGCCTTAATTCCCCTCAGTAACTGTGTAGGCGAAAAGAAATTAGGAGGCCGGTGAATAAACAGGAAGCCATAAAAATCACAGACATCTTAGCTATCTATCTTGTTTTTCCATCGAATGGATTGTGCAGTCAAAAATTACAACCAAAATTGAATGTATTTTAAGAATGAATACACACATATTTTCTTTTTTGAAACAACTATTAACAACCAAGAAACATATGCTTCAGTGAATACTTTTAGTTGAATCATAAACTACATTTCCAACAACTGTCTTTTTGAAGCCAGTTGAGACAGCTACACAAGAGGATGTTAAAGCAAATCAAGCTCTCACAGAGCTCATCTGTGTCTTTCCTGTGAGTTTCCAGCTACTTTTTTTCTCCAAAGTTACTGTAAGTTATACAGTTCCTGCCTGGTTAAGAGATGCTCTCTTCTCTTCTAAATGTGCAGCTTAGCCCTCTAAAAATTAAGGAGAAAATTAAGACCTTTCTTTGCTGTTGGGAAACTAAGTGAAAGGAGTGTAGTTCATCATGGAGAATTTGCCAAAGATACTGCATTTTGCAAAAACATAGTTATTCCTATTATTGGTTGTTTGCTATGTCAGGACTCCTAGGGAACTGAGGTACCTAGGGAGGTGAAGCATCAATAGCAATGATAGGGAAATAATAAAACTGAAAAAAGATTGTGGCATTGGTATTGAATGCTGGGTATAAATGAAAAGGACATAAGAGCCCGCGTAGCACTCCAAAGCTTCGTATTCAAAGTTAAAGCAGAATTCAGAGGCAGCTACAGCAAGGTATCAATTCACTGTAGCAGTGCCAAAGCCAAGGATTTGAGTCCTAAAACAATGCCAAAATAAATCTCTCAAGCAGGTCGGAAAATGTTCATTTCATTCAAATTCATTCACTCATGCCGTTATGATAAGGCATCTTCTGAAAGCCCATGGGTGAGTAGACTTCCTACTGTATTGGAGGTCTAGGGTTCTTACAAAATTTTAAAGATTGAAGACCGCTTTCTTGAAGGTGCAGGAGAGGCAATTAATACAATTCAGCATGAGAGCTAGTAAGAAATAATAAGACTTTAATTTTAGTATGAATATCTATGATAACATATACAAGAATCTGGTATTTCTTACAGTTAAGAAAATTGTGTGAAATGGTTAAAAGTTGAGAACTCCCTACAAACTCACCCCTGACATTTGCATAGGTAAAGGTACAAATAGAAGCTGCTACCTGTAACCTATGGTTCTCCCTTACCCTGTTTCTGCTTCTCTTTGCAACCAGCTCTGCTCCCACTCAGATATCCAGGCTTTATCTATAACCCTACCTCTGGCCAACAGCAGCCCCTGGCCTTCTCCCCATCCTTAGAGGACACACACCAGCAGTGAGGCCTGTGCTTGGGAGAATGGAGTTGAGGAAGAAACTGTCTCAAACTCTGGAAGTGGATTTGAGGGCATCTGGGTAATTCTGGGGTTAGGAGTAATTACCTGGAGTATAGTTTAGAACAGTGGGCTGATAGGGGTTTATGGGAGTTAGGAAGGCAAGAGGAAGGGGGAAAGGTTGGGGGGAAGGCTCCAGGTGGGCATGTTCAATTGGCCCCACAGACTTCTTGTGCTGTGGTGAGAGGAACAACTGAACAAGAACCAGAGGGGACTTTCTGAAGCCTGGGGTTTGGAGCAGGGGGTGCATTTGCTTTGGTTTCTGGGTAGGATTGCCTCCTTATTAATTTCTCACTGTTAACTGATAACTTGGCAAAGGAAATCTTTCACCATCCAGACTTCTCTCCAGCGTCATCTTTCTAGTGTCCACCTCATCTCAATTTCCAATGACCTCAAAATTCTTGCCATTCCACCAAATCATGATGGTCTTTCATACTTTGTATCACTTCCTGTGCTGTCTACCTGAGAAGATCCTGGCAACTCTTGAAAACTAAGCTCACATATTCAAATTCTGTGAAAACTCCCCTGGCTTACTCAGAAGTTCATTGCATTGTTCATTTGGTGTCATAGTCCTTTGTCTGCGTCCTTATTATTTTAATTCTTGGTTTCCACTTTTTCTTGTTTTCTGTCTGCTTGAGTCCTCAGTATCCAGCAAAGTACCCAGCACATAACAAGTAGCCAATAATATTTATAGAGTTGGATAGATCTTTGGACTGACCTGTCTCCTACTCTGATGGGAAATATACTTAGATTTCCTTACAGCATGTCTCACCCTAGTTTTCATCGCTTTCTTTCCACTTCGTTGGCATCTTATTTCCTAACTTTTATACCTCTTCCAGCCTCCCCTTGATATCCATTTTCTGCTATGTTCCTGTATTTGGTTTAGGGTTCCAACTAAGTCTTTGACTTGCTGATTTATATGACCCTGCTATTTGTCTTTTTATGAGAAATGAGAGATAGGATTGAATTTGTAACACCAGGTGTGCTGATGGAAGACATTTGAATGGCCTAGTTAATGGGTATATTATACTAGGGAGATAACATGGTGAAGAGGTATTTTGACTGGTTAGTCTTGACACTAGTTGAAGTAGCCAAAGGATGCACAGGTACCCTTCTGGTTCCTTCTGGTGGCTGAGAGCAGCAGTCACCTCCCAGAACATAAGAAATTCAGAGCTGATGGGGCTTTAAAATCATCTATTCCTATGTTCTTATTTAATAGCTGAGAAAACTAAAGCACCAACATGACAATAGTAGGTAGTGATTGAGTCACAATTAAGACCCAGGCCAATTGTTCCCATTTAGTTATCTCCTCTTCAGTGATGTCTAGCTCCAACTGTATTTTTACTCTATCTGATTTAATACATTGATTTGAGTCTTCTTTGTCCAAGCCTGAATCTACGTGCATAGTTCGCTCAGTTACTTATTATCTTTGTTAAATTAGTGGTAAGGCCAACGACAGGTGTTACACTAGGCTCTGAGGACACAAAGCCTAATAAGAACTTGTCCTTGTCCTGAAGAAACTCAGTATGTTTGGTGTGTTGGGGGGGTAGTCATTACAATGGTGGGAATGACAGTGCCTATGTCAGCCTGGAAGATTGTTAATGAGGTGGGTTTCTATGAGGATATGACATCAGCCCTTGGGTTTGTTTTTTTCTCTCTCTTTCTTTCTTTCTTTGTTTCTTTCTTTTTGAGACAGCGTCTCACTCTGTCACCGAGGCTGGAGTGCAGAGGTGTGATCATGGCTCACTGCAGCCTTGACCTCCTGAGTTCAAGCAATCCTCCCTAGTAGCTGGCACTACATACATGCCTCATCATGCCCAGCTAAGTAAACAATTTTTTTTTGTAGAGACAGAGTCCCACTATGTTGTTTAGGTTGGTCTTGAACTCCTCCATTCAAGTGATCTCCTGCCTTGGCTTCCCAAAGTGCTGGCATTATAGGTGTGAGCCACCACACCTGGCCCTATCTTGGTTTTGAAGGATGCTTACACTTTAAGTGCTAAAGAGAATGGACATTGATTAATGAAAATGAGAACTCCTGTACTAAACAGTGTGATCTTTTCATGGCTAGCCCCTGTATTGAACACAAGTGACATATTAGTGGAGGATAGAGGAAAGGCACTGCCAGCTAGCTGACAGGCATTCGTTTAAATCCTTGCTCTGATCAATCGACTTAGGTTATCTGAGTCTTAGTTTCATCATCTGTTAAATGACAATAATAATTCTTACTGGACAGGGTTCTTATAGGGATTAAATGGGATAAAGCAAGTTAAATCCTCTGCTTACAGACTTCTGCTTTCCTTTCCAGAGAAAGTTATTCTCTGATCAGTAGAATTATGAGGGAAATTCTCAGGCAGGTGTTGGGGCTGGAGGCTGACTTCAGTCCCTCTGCTCTGTCCCACAGTTTCTGACCCATGTGAGAAACAGGAAATACACACAGAAGTTAGGAACAAATTAAGATATCAGCTTTACTACTGGTAAAACTGGATTGGAAAGCTCTGTGGCAGAGCATTTGGAAAGCTGCAATTTATCTCTTTAGATTAGGAGCCTAAAAACAGCATATTTAAATTTTAGTGGAGATCAGTTAAAGATAATATTTTGAAATGGAAATAATAAGGCAGGACAGCAAAGGATGTATATGCACATTTTGGAATAAACTGGCCACTTGGTAATTATGGGAGCTTGTCATACCATAAGATAAATATTTCATTTTCTTTCCCTCCAGTGCCCTCCCTTGAAGGAGTTTTATATATTTCTGTCTTGTTGAACTCAGGAGTGAGCATATATTGGATCACAAAGTGTAATGGAAGAGGCACAAATTTCTTGCAGGGAAAACTTTAAGAGCCAGGGTGTGTCATACCTCTCTTCTCTCTGCCACCCTGATAAGCAATATTCCAGATAGAGGCTGCTCCATAAGCTTGAGTCCCGGGGTGAATTTAACATAAAGCAGAGTAGTGGCTGGCCTATGAAAGACGTACAGCCTGACCAGAAACTTGTATGTTATAAGCCTCTAAGATCCCTGGGTTGTTTGTTACTGTAGCAAAACCTAGCCTGGTTTGACTGATGACTAGCTGTTAAATTATACCATGTAAACGACTATTATTTAACTCAAGAGATCAAGTCTGTCCGTTAAGTCTATATTTGTCTAGATTTTGTGGTTTGGGAAGAACTTCCATATGAGGTTGTTCAATTCATTTTTAACTTGTGCCCAAGATTCTGGAATCATCAGGGATTTCGTATGGCTACTGCCATCCATCAAAACAATAAGCCATAATGAGAAGGTATATCTAATTTTTTTCTACCATATCTATTGTTTTGCAATACGCTTTTCATACTTTTTGTGTTTGAATTTTCTACCCTAATATGAAACATATAATTTTGTGTTATTTATGTTATAGATTAATCTTTACCTATGACCTATCACTGATCAAAGACAAGGATCACATCTATGTGCTATATTCTTGTCTACATCAAAATAACTGCTCGAAAATGAAAGATGTTGCCAAATGATAAAATCAGCACCTATAGGGTGCTTCTAGAAAAAAGTTCTGATTTTAGAATTTTGAATGTAGTTGCCATATTAATATTATAGTCAAGTTATTTAATGTAAATATATACAAGTAATAAGGATAATACAGATTAGCTCTTATAACCAGATTGGGTTAGAAAGAAGAACAGAGATAGGATCCTATCATCTTCAAACACTACAGAAGACATTTTTATACAACTTTTATGGTTTATAATATTTTCAGCCAACAGAGACTGTGTTTGGTAAATGAGTCCATCCTCCAACCAATAACAGTAATTGATACCAGCTTTTCTCTTTTTTAATTTTCAACTTTTAAGTTCAGGGGTATATGTGCAGGATGTGCAGGCTTGTTAAATACGTAAACATGTGCCATGGTGATTGCTGCACAGATCATCCCATCACACAGGTATTAAGCCCAGAATCCACTAGCTCTTCTTCCTGATCCTCTCCCTCCTCCCACCCCCAACCCTCTGACAGCCCCAGTGTGTGTTGTTCCCCCAATGTTCCCATGTGTTCTCATCATTTGGCTCCCACTCATAACTGAGAACATGTAGTATTTGGTTTTCTGTTCCTGCATTAGTTTGCTAGGGATAATGGCCTCCAGCTCCCTCCATGTCCCTGCAAAAAACATGATCTTGTTCCTTTTTATGGTGTATATGTACATGTTTTCTTTATCCAGTCTATCATTGATGGGCCTTTAGGATGATTCCATGTCTTTGCTGTTGTGAATAGTGTTGCAGTAAACATACACATGCACGTGTCTTTATAATAGAACAATTTATATTCCTTTGGGTATATACCCAGTAATGGAATTGCTGGATCAAAGGGTATTTCTGCATCTAGGTCTTTGAGGCACACTGTCTTTGCCACATTAGGTCTTTGCCACACTGTCTTCTTCTTTGAACTATTTTACACTCCCACCAACAGTGTAAAAGTGTTCCTTTTTCTCTAAAACCTTGCAAGCATTTGTTTTTTTAGACTTTTTTTTTATTTTTCCGAGACAGAGTCTTGCTCTGTTGCTCAGGCTAAAGTGTGGTGGCACAATCTTGGCTCACTGCAGCCTCCGCTTCCTGGGTTCAAGCGATTTTTGAGCCTCAGCCTCCCAAGTAGCTGGGATTACAGGTGTGCACCCCCATGCCCAGCTACTTTTTGTATTCTTAGTAGAGACGGGGTTTTGCCATGTTGGCCAGGCTGGTCTTGAACTCCTGGTCTCAAGTGATCTGCACACCTCGGGCTTCCGAAGTGCTGGGATTACAGGTGTGATGTTTTTTGACTTTTTAATAATAACCATTCGGACTGGTGTGAGATGGTATCTCATTGTGGTTTTGATTTGCATTTCTCTAATGATCAGTGCTATTGAGCTTTTATTCATATGACTGTTTGCTGACCACATGTATGTCTTTTTTTGAGAAGTATATGTTCATGTCCTTAGCCCACTTTTTAATACGGTTTTTTTTTCTTGTAAGTGTAAGTTCCTTATAGATGCTGGATATTGACCTTTGTCAGTTGCATAGATTACAAAAATTTTCTCCCATTCTGTAGATTGTCTATTTACTCTGTTAATAGGTTCTTTTGCTGTGCAGAAGCTTTTTAGTTTAATGAGACCCCATTTGTCAATTTTTGCTTTTGTTGCAATTGCTTTTGGCATCTTCATCATGAAACCTTTGTCTGTGCCTATGTCCTGAATAGTATTGCCTGGGTTTTCTTCTAGGGCTTTTATAGTTTTGGGTTTTCACTTAAGTCTTTAATCCATCTTGAGTTGATTTTTGTATGTGGTATAAGAGAAGGGTCCAGTTTCAGTTTTCTGCATATGGCTAGCCAGTTCTCCCAGAACAATTTATTAAATAGGGAATCCTTTCCTCCTGCTTGTTTTTGTCAGGTTTGTTGAAGATCGGATGGTTGTAGGTATGTGGTCTTATTTCTAGGTTCTCTATTCTGTTCCATTGGTCTATATGCCTGTTTTTGTACCAGTATGATGATGTTTTGGTTACTGTAACCCAGTAGTATAGTTTGAAGTCAGGTAGTGTGATGCCTCCAGGTTTGTTGTTTTTGCTTAGGGTTGCCTTGGTTATTTGGGCTTTTTAAAAAATATATAAATTTTAAAATAGTTTTTTTCTAATTCTGGAAGAATGTCAATGGTAGTTTAATGGAAATAGCATTGAATCTGTACATTACTTTGGGCAGTATGGCCATTTTCATGATATTGATTCTTTCTACCCATGAGCATGGAATGTTTTTCCATTTGTTTGTGTCATCTCTGATTTCTTTGAGCAGTGGTTTGTAGTTCTCCTTGAAGAGGTCCTTCACTTCCCTTGTTAGCTGTATTCCTAAGTATTTTATTCTTTTTGTGGCAATTGTGAATGGAAGTTCATTCGTGATTTGGCTCTTGGCTTGGCTGTTACTGGTGTATGGAAATGCTAGCAAATTTGCAAATTGATTTTGTATCCTGAGGCTTTGCTCCAGTTGCTTATCAGCTTAAGAAACTTTTGGGCTGAGACTATAGAGTTTTCCAGATTTAGAATTATGTCATCTGCAAAAAAGATAATTTGCTTCCTCTCTTCCCATTTGAATACCCTTTATGTCATTCTCTTGACTGACTGCCCTGGCCAGGAGTTCCAATACTACATTGTATAAGAGTAGTGACAGAGCAACCCTGTTTTGTGCCAATTTTCAAGGGAAATGCTTCCAGCTTTTGCCTATTCATTATGATATTGGCTGTTGGTTTGTCATAGATGACTCTTATTATTTTGATGTATGTTCCTTCAATACCTAGCTTATTGAGAGGTTTTTTTTTTTAACATGAAAGGATTTTGACTTATATTGAAGGTCTTTTCTGCACCTATTGAGATAATCTTGTGGTTTTTGTCTTTAGTTCTGTTTATGTGACGAATGACATTTATTGATTTGCATATGTTAAACCAACCTTGCATCCTGGGGATGAAGCCTACTTGATTGTGATAGATACACTTTTTGATGTGCTGCTGGATCCAGCTTGCTAGTATTTTATTAACGATTTTTGCATTGATGTTAATCAAGGATATTGGCTTCAAGTTTTTTTGTTGTTGTTGTTATATCTCTGCCACGTTTTGGTATAAGGATGATGCTAGCCTTATAGAATGAGTTAGGGAGGAGTCTCTTCTTTTAAATTTTTTGGAATAGTTTCAATAGAAATGATACCAGCTCTTCTTTGTACCTCTGGTAGAATTCAGGTGAATCTGTCTGTTCCTGCGCTTTTTTTGGTTGGTAGGCTATTTATCACTGCTTCAATTTCAGAACTCATTATTAGTCTATTCAGGAATTCAATTTCTTTTTTTTTCAGCCTTTGGAGGATTTATATGTCCAGGAATTTATCCATTTCTTCTAGATTTTCTAGTTTATGTGCATAGAAGTGTTTACAATATTATCTTATGATTATTTGCATTTCTCTGGGGTCATTGTTAATATCCCCCTTATCATTTCTGATTATATGTATTTGAATCTTATCTCTTCTTTATTAGTCTAGGTAGTGATCTGTTTTATTAATTTTTGTATAAAGCCAGCTCCTGGACTCATTTATTTTTTTAAAGGTTTTTTTTTGCATCTCTGTCTCCTTCAGTTCACCTCTGATCTTGGTTATTTCTTCTTTCTTTATTTTTTTGAGACAGAATTTCAGTCTTGTCACCCAGGCTGGAGTGCAATGGCACGATCTCGTCTCACTGCAACCTCCGCCTCCCAGGTTCAAGTGATTCTCCTGCCTCAGCCTCCTGAGTAGCTGGGATTACAGGCACCCACCACCACTCCCAGCTAATTTTTGTATTTTTAGTAGAGACAGGGTTTCACTGTATTGGCCAGGCTGGTCTCGAACTCCTGACCTTGTGATCTGCTTGTCTCGGCCTCCCAAAATGCTGTGATTACAAGCATGAGCCACTGCGCCTGACTGGTTATTTCTTATCTTCTGCTAGCTTTGGGATTTGTTTGCTCTTAGTTCTCTAGTTCTTTTAGTTGTGATGTAAGGTTAACTTGAGATTTTTCTAGCTTTTTGATGTGGGCACTTAGTGCTATAAATTTCCCTCTGAACACTGCTGATATGGTTTGGCTCTGTGTTCCCTCCTAAATCTCATCTCAAATTGTAATCCTTATAATCCCCACATGTTGAGGGAGGAACTCAGTGGGAGGTCATTGGATTACGGGGGCAGTTTCATCCATGCTATTCTTGTGATAGTGAGTATGTTAGTCCATTTTCACACTGCTAATAAAGACATACTCAAGACTGGGTAATTTATAGGGAAAAACAGGATTAATGGAGTCACAGTTCCATGTGGCAGGGGAGGCCTCACAATCATGGTGGAAGGTGAAAGGCACATCTCACATGGTGGCAGACAAGAGGAGAACTTGTGCAGGGAAACTCCCCTTTATAAAATCATCAGATGTTGTGAGACTTACTCACTATCACAAGAACAGCAATGGAAAGACCCGCCCCCCCATGATTCAATTGTCTCCCACTGGGACCCTCTCACAACATGGGGAATTGTGGGAGTTACGATTCAACATGAGATTTGGGTGGGGACACAGCCCAACCATATCAGTGAGTGAGTTCTCACAAAATCTGATGGTTTAACAAGTGTTTCATTGTTCTTTCTACACACTTCTCTTCTCTTCTGCCACCTGTGAAAAAGATGCCTGCTTCACCTTTCAGCATAATAGTAAGTTTCCTGAGAACTCCCCCATCCAGGTGGAACTGTGAGTCAATTAAACCTCCTTTGTTTATAAATTACCCAGTCTTGGGTAGTATCTTTATGGTGGTGTGAAAACAGCCTAATAGAACTGCTTTAGATGCATCCCAGAGATTCTGGTACACTGCATCTTTGTTCTCATTAATTTCAAAGAACTTCTTGATTTCTGCTTGAATTTCATTATTTACCCAAAAGTCATTTAAGAGCAGGTCATTCAGTTTCCATGTAGTTGTACGGTTTTGAGTGCATTTCTTAATTTTGGTTTCTAATTTGATTGTGCTATGGTCTGAGAATTTGTTATGATTTCAGTTCTTTTGCATTTGCTGAGGAGTGTTTTACTTCCAATTATGTGATCAATTTTAGAGTTAGTGCTGTGTTGTGATGAGAAGAATATATATTCTGTTGTTTTTGGGTGGAGAGTTCTGTAGATATCTGTCAGGTCCACTTGATCCAGAGGTGAGTTTGGGTCCTGAATATCTTTGTTAATTTTCTGTCTCAATGATCTAATATCGTCAGTGGAGTGTTAAAGCCTTCCACTATTGTGTGGGAGTCTAAGTGTCTCTGAAGGTGTCTGAGAACTTGCTTTATGAATATAAGTATTCCTGTATTTGGTGTACATATATTTAGAATAGTTAGCTGTTCTTGTTGAACTCTTTACCTTTATGTAAGGCCCTTCTTTGTCTTTCTTGATCTTTGTTGGTTTAAAGTTTTTTCAGAAACTGAAGTTACAACCCCTGCTGTTTTCTGTTTTCCATTTGCTTGGTCAATTTTACTTCATTCCTTTATTTTGAGCCTGTGTGTGTCTTTGCATGTGAGATGGGCCTCATGAAGACAGCATACCGATGAGTCTTGACTCTATCCAGCTTGCCATTCTGTGTCTTAATTGGGGCATTTATCCCATTTACATTTAAGTTTAGTATTGTTTATGAAGTTTAGTTTGGCTGGACATAAAATTCTGGGTTGGAATTTCTTTTCTAGAAGAATGTTGAATATTGGCCTCCAATCTCTGCTGGCTTGTAGGGTTTCAGCTGAAAGGTCCACTGTTGGTCAGATGGGCTTCCCTTTGCAGGTGACCTGGATTTTCTTTCTGGCTGCTCTTAACATTTTTTCTTACATTTTGACCTTGCAGAATTGGATTATTATGCTTCTTGGGGATGATATTCTCATGGAGTATCTTTCTGGGGGTTCTTTGCATTTTATGAATTTGAATTTTGGTTTCTCTGGCTAGGTTGAGGAAGTTCTCCTGGATGATATGCTGAAATATGTTTTCCAAATTTGTTCCATTCTCCCCTTCTCTTTCCAGTACCCCCAATTAGTTGTAGATTTCATATCTTTTCATAATCCCTTATTTCTCAGAGGTCTCATTCATTCATTTTCATTCTTTTTCCTCTTTTTTTGTCTGCCTGTCTTATTTCACAAAGGCAGTCTTTAAACTCTGAGATTCTCTCCTCTGCTTGGTATATTCTGCTAGTGATACTTGTGATTGCATTGTGAATTTATTTTAGTGTTTTTTTAGCTCTATCAGGTTGGTTATATTCCTCTCTATACTGGCTATTTTGGCTGTCAGCTCCTGCGTTGTTTTATCATGACTCTTAGCTTCCTTGCATTGGGTTGCCATGTGCTCCTTTAGCTCAGCAAAGTTTGTTTTTTATCCACATTCTGAAGACTACCTCTGTCATTTCAGCAATCTCAGCCTCAGCCAGTTGTGAATCCTTGCTGGAGAAGTGTTGCAGTCATTTGGATGAAAGGGGGCACTCTGGGTTTTTGAGTTTTCATTATTTTTGATCTGATTCTTTCTCATCTTTGTGGGCTTATCTACCTTTGATCTTTGAGGTTGCTGTCCTTCAGCTGGGTGTGTGTGTGTGTGTGTGTGTGTTTTGTTTGTTTGTTTTTCTTTTATAAGTCAGGCCACTCTTCCTTAGGCCTGATGCAGTTTTCTGGCGGTCTGCTCCAGACCCTAGACACCTCAGTTTTTCTAATACCTGGAGGTATCACTAGTGAAGGCTGTGAAACAGCAAAGATAATAGCCTCCCCCTTTCTCTAGAAGTTCCATCCCAGGGTGTACAGACTTATTGCTGACTTTAACACACCTGTAGGAGGTGGCGGGGGACCCCAGTTGTGAAGTCTCACCCAGTCAGGAGGAATGGGATCAGAGATTTGCTTAAAGAGGCAGTCTGGCTGAATTTCATTAGAGCAGCTGTGCTGTGTTGGGTGTCCCTTCAGCCCCTGATCAGCTTTGGCTTTCCAAGGCCCATAGTCTGAACCAGCTGAGATGCCCAAACCGCAAAGGTGGCAGCCCGCCCCGCCCCCCCAGGCACTTCATTCCAGGGAGAAGTAGAACTCTTCTGGGGTAGAACATGGGCAGGGGTGGCCAGAGGCCCTGGCTGGGAGGACCCACCTATTGAGGAGGAATGAATCGGGGTCCCACTTAAAGAAGCAGTCTGGCCACACCTTGACAAAGCAGTCGCGCCATGCTGGGGAACTGCTTCTGCCCTGGTCTGCTTGGACTCTCCAAAGCCTGCAGGCTGGAATGGCCAAGTCATCCAAATAGCAAAGGTGGAGGCCCATCCCTCTCCCTGGACACTCCCTCCCAGGGAGAGATCAGAGTGCTGTCTGTAGAATACAGGCAAGGTTTGCTGTAGGTCCTGGCTGGGATGTCCTGCCCAGTGAGGAGAAATGCATCGGGGTCCTGCTTAAAGAAGCAGTCTGGCCACATTTTGGTAAAACAGTTATGCTGCACTGGGAGGTCCCTTCCTCATCTGGACCATTTGGACTCTCTAAAGGCTGCAGGTTGGAATGACTGAGTCATCTAAACAGCAAAGATGGTGGCCCACTCCTCCCCCGGAGGGTTCCGTCCTGTCCCAGACAGGTTCTGCCCTGTTACTGGTGGCTGGCTGGAATTCCAAGTCAGTGGGTCTTGTGAGCTGCCACATAAGTGGGGCCTGCAGACCAACACAGCTCAGATGCCTGTATTCAGCCCCCTTCCTAGGGTTCGGTACAGACCTCTGGCCTTGCCTGAGTTGCAGTCACCTTTGTCAGGGAACACTGGGGTTGGAGTATATAAAGTTCCTGGGTCTCTGTGTGTGTCAGCAGCTGCTCTACTGAGATTCCACACCGCTCTGTGTGCCAGTCCCAAAACCCTGGTGGAGTGGGCTCACAAAGGGATCTCCTGTTCCAAGGATTGCAAAGATTCCAGGGAGATGTGTAGTTTCCCAGGGCCACACATTCATTTACCGCTTCCCTTGGCTGGGGGTGGGGTTTCCCTTGGCCCTGTGTCACTCTTGGGCGAGCTGTCGCCCTGTCCTGCTTTTCTTCATTCTCCATGTGTCAAGTTGTTTCTCTGATCAGTCCTAATGTGAGTACCTGGACATTTCCGAGTATCAGATTTTCCATATAGTGTGAGTAAATGAAAAAGAAACACTAAAGGGAGATTTCGTTCTTGAAACTATCAGAGATAAGATCATTCACATGAAAGGAATGTGATCATCTGCAAATGGCCTAAGTACCACAGACTGTATATAGGGAGTTGCTGGCAGGATTCAGAATTAATGGTAGAAAGTATTAAATGGTAAAAGGATTAATAGTATATTAGAAAATAAATGAAAAATGATCTAAGCTGGCCTGTGCATTGTCACTATATTTAAATTATAGCTGAAGGACCACCTTACTATAATTAGGAAAAATCCTAATGGAAATTAGCGGACCCAGTATTATGTAAATGCTTTTAATGACGATAGAGATCTTGTAAGTGATATTCTCATTAATGATGCTAACTATGTAGACTAACACTTCTTGTCATATTCAACACGATCAAAGTTCTGCAAGGATTGCTTCATTTAAATATCAGCCTGTGAGGAATGAAAAGGCAATAAAATTAAGGACCACACATCCTGTTGTAGATAAATGCCTTTAGCTACTCTACTTATAAATCACTCTCAAAGAAGAACATTCTTTTACCTTGCAAAGTTTACATGCTTTATAGCAGTGCTGTCTTATTGAACTTTCTAGGATGAAGGAAATGTCTTCTACCTGCAAGGTTTGTTATGGTAGCCACCAAATGAGCAAGCGAAATACAACTAGTCCACTTGAATTTTCAATTTTATATCAGGTTAATTTATTTAAAATTAACTTTAAATTGCCACATCTGGTTAAAGTCTACCATATTGAACAGTGTAGGTCTAGGGAGGTCCCATGTTGTAAGAGATTGAGATAAGAGACCTAGGCCAGGCGCAGCGGCTCACGCCTGTAATCCCAGCACTTGAGGAAGCCGAAGCAGGCAGATCACAAGGTCAGGAGTTTGAGACCAGCCTGACCAACATGGTGAAACCCCATCTTTACTAAAAATACAAAAATTAGCTGGGTATGGTGGCATGCGCCTGTAATCCCAGCTACTCAGGAGGCTGAGACAGGAGAATCACTTGAACCCAGGAGGCAGAGGTTGCAGTGAGCCAAGATCTCGCCACTGCACTCCAGCCTGGGCAACAGCAGGAGACTCCATCTCAAAAAAAAAAAAAAAAAAAAAAAGAGGGCTAGCCTGTGTGTCCCCTTGTTTCTCCTTTGCCCTTGATAGGAAATCAGGTCTGCATTGAGCAGGGAGGTGTTATGTCCCTGGAGAAAGAACTAGCTATGAATTGTTCTCAGCCAACATTCACTGCAGTTGGGATAGGCGTGGGGGTGCGGGGTGTATACCAAATTGTAACAGTGCTGGACATCCACCACAGTCAGCATGGCAGAAGCTCATATGCTTCTTCAGTGGGACCATCAGCAAGATAAGCTGAAGACTGAACTAGGGGCTGAGGACTAAATGTTACCTGTTTAGCATGATTCCTTCCAGCTCATCACATGGCCAGAGACCATTAGGGAGACTGATTCCAGAGACAATTAGGGAGAACTGTTATGTTGTAGAACTAATCCATGTTCTGGGAATAATGATTAAGTTTCCAGATTTGTGAGCAGTAGATTTATAAGTGGATGAATACAGGAAAATGAGAATAGGTGCTATCAAAATAATATGAATCTGTGCAAGCAGAGAAGGGAGAGAGCACGAGTGGGGAAACTAAATAAATGTTCACAGAGAAGTCAAAATTTGAACTAGGGATTGACATAATTAGGGGTTTATCTGGCAAATTTCCCTAGTCATACAGCAATCCAGTGCCTCAGTACTCATATATATGAATAATAGGGTTTTTATTCTAGTAGGATTTAGGGGAATGCTTGTATTAAGAGCCTACAAAGGCATTAGGTTATGATTTCATTTCTACCCCAGAGAACTGTGTTTGACCCTCTGATTATATAATGAATTCATAATTCAGTATGTTCCTTTATTGACTTGAACATATAGAAGATTATTCAGCTGCTATTTGTCCAACATTCATATTCAAAAAACACTTCAAGTAAATCAAAGGCACTTCACACAAGAAATGTGTGCTTATGACATATGCAGGTGTTTCCCACCTCAGTTTCCCAGCAAATGGAGGTACTTTGAATGATAGATACTTAATTTCTCATGAATGTAATTCCATGGATTAAGCTGAGAGGTAACAGGATTCCAGTGTGATGGATTTTCTCCTTAGAGTTTGAGCTGGAAACTTGTCATTAAGACAAAAAAAAATCTGTTCATCTATCTATTGAACAAATCTGGTTGTGAGGTTGAATATAAAAGAGATTCTATAGTGGTAAGCTTTGCAGATTCTCTCTACAGTTATTTATCATCTCAAAAATGTCTCTTTTCCATTTTCACTAATAGGGTGGCTTGATTGGATGTATTCATTAAATAGGCAAAGTCAAAAGGAAAGTACTTCTTTTGAAAGCACTGTTAGAGTTACGTGGGGAAGCACATCAAGGCTTGACTCTGGTAACTTATCCTTGAAAATAAACAACTTTGTTCATTAGTTGTTGTTTTTGTAGAGCAAAGAGAAGAATGAAGATAGTGAAGCAAAATTATATATTGTCTTCTTTCTGTTTCTAGATAACTGAAACCACCTCCCTTTAAAATTTTTATTTTTTAAAGAGATAGCATCTCTCTATTTTGCCCAAGGCTGAATGTAAACTCGTGGGCTCCAATGATCCTCCCACCTAAGCATCCCAAGAAACTGGGAATACAAGTGTGTGTCACTATACGGGGCCCCAGGTGACCATTCCTTCCATCTTAATTTGCTGGTTCCTCCTCATCTTTCTAACATCTGGATTTTGAAGGGCAGGAAGGCCATCAAAACTTTTGCTCTGTTTTCTCCTCTAGCTATGCTACTACAATTCCATGGCAATCTCATCTAGTCTAGTAGTTTTTAATATCTCCTATGTTAATGATCTACAAATATATTTGGCAATGATGTATAGAACTCTCTTGAGCCTTAGTCTTTAATATCCAACTGCACCTTTGACATTCCTACTTGGTTATCTAATAGTGATTTCAAATTTAACATGTCTAAAATTGAAGTCTTGATTCTTTCCCTTTCTAAACTCTTGACTTCCTCTGTCTTTATCTAGTGAAGGGCGTACCTTTCACGTATTTAATAGAATAAAAATCTGGAAACTGTTCCTGGTTCATCTCTTTTCCTCACACTTTTAATATACTTTATGAGCATATTTTGTTCTATCTTGAGGCTATATCTAGCATGTAATGTCTTCTTAAAATATTTATTTAAAAATATTTATTTTAATTAAAAAATAAAATTGAATATATTAATGGTGTACACCATAATGTTTATATATATG
Organism: Homo sapiens; assembly: GCF_000001405.40. Lineage (NCBI taxonomy): Eukaryota > Metazoa > Chordata > Mammalia > Primates > Hominidae > Homo > Homo sapiens. The sequence goes on along the minus strand of NC_000011.10, from coordinate 100,380,116 downwards.
CATTGTGAAATGGCTCACCCAAGTCACTTAACATATGTAACCCTTCATACTTATCATTTTCTGTGTTGAAAACAAATATACTTAGTAATTTTTAAGTATGTAACATATTGTTATTAACTGTAGTCCAAATGGTATACAATACATCTCTTGAACTTATTCCTCCTGTCTAACTGGAATTTCATATTATATGACCAACATATCCTCAATCCCTCTACCAGTCCTGACTCCAGCATTTGATAACTACCATTCTATTCTCTGCTCCTATGAGTTCAGCATTTTGAAATTCTACATATAAGTGAAACTATGCAGTATATGTTCTTATGTATGTGGTTTAACAACATAATGTCCTTTAGGTTCATACATGTTGTCACAAATAAAAGGATATTCTTTTTTTTAAAGACCGAGTAGTGTTCCATTGTGTTTATACACATTTTCTTTATCCATTCATTTGTTGATGAAAGCTTAGGTTGATTCAATTTCTTGGCTATTGTGAATAATGCTGCATGTGAAGAAACATGAAAGTGCAGCTACCTCTTTGGCATATTAATTTTGTTTCCTTTGAATATATATCTAGAAGTGGGATTGCTGGATCATATAGTAATTCTATTTTTATATTTTGGAGGAACCTCCGTACTGTTTCTATAATAGTCGTACCAATCTACATTTTCACCAACAGTGTACAAGGATTCTCATTTCTCCTCATCTCACTGACGCGTGTTATCTTTTGACTTTTTGATAATAGTCATTCTAGCAGGTGTGAGGTGGTACCTCGTTGAGTTTTTGATTTTTGTTTCCCTGATAATTAGTGAGGTTGAGCATTTTTTCATATACCTATTAGGCATTTGTATCTCTACTTTTAAGATATGTTCATTCAGGTCCTTTGCTCATTTTTTAATCAGCTAATTTGTTTTCTTGCTATTGAGTTGCTGGGGTTCCTTATATATTTTGAATGTTAATCCCTTATCAGATTTATAGTTTGCAAATATTTTCTCCCATTTTGTAGGATGTCTGTTCATTCTTCTGATTGTTTCCTTTGCTGTGCAAAAGCTTTTTAGTTTGATGTAATCCCATTTTTTTCTTTCATTGCCTGTGTTTTTGTGGTCATATCCATAAACTCATTGCCCAGACCAAGGTCATGGAACTTTTCTCTTATGTTTTCTTCTAGTAGTTTTACAGTTTTAGGTCTTATGTTTACATCTTTAATCCAGTTTGGATTGATTTCTTTTATATGGTGGGAGATAAGGTATAATTTCATTCTTCTGCATGTGGATATTCAGTTTATCCAGCACCATTTATTGAAGAGACTATTTTTTCCCCCTTGTGTGTTCTTGGCTCCTTTGTCAAAAATCAATTGATTGTAAATATATGGATTTATTTCTGGGCTCTTTATTCTGTTTCATTGATCTATGTGTCTGTTTTTAGATCAATAGCATGCTTTCTTGACTTGCAGTAAATTTTGAAGACAGATAGTGTGATGCCTCCAGTTTATTCTTTTTCCTTGAGATTGCTTTGGCTATTTGCGGTCTTTTGTAGTTCCATATGAATTTTAGGATTGATTTTTCTATGCCTGTGAAAAATGTCTTTGGAATTTTGATAGAGATTACACTGAATCTATAGGTCACTTTGGGTAGTATGAACATTTTAACAATACTAATTTAATCTATGAGCATGGTTTATCTTTCCATCTATCTGACATGTAATTTATTTTCACAGCTCTAGTATATATCCCCATTATTTCTCATTTGGGCTACTCTAATAGCCTTTTTCGTGCTTCCACATTTGCATCCATCCTCTACAATCTACTTTTCAGAGTCTCCGAAGTAATTCATTAAAAGCATAACTCTGACCATTTCACTCCTAACAGGGTGTTTAAAATATTATTTGGCTGATACTTTTAGACAAAAACCATCATATAGCAAAGGGAATTGGAAAACAGAGCACCTTTATGGAATTTCAAATGCAGATAACCAAAACTAGCTACATGATTCTAGAATATTTTACCCACATCAAGAATGTAAAAAGTTAATCAAGACAGAGGAATACTCACAAAGAGGATTTCTGAAGAGGAATTCTCAGGAGACAACCTGGCTATGAGTTCCCTACCCCCAATTATTTGATAAAAGTCCTTCATTGAGATTATTTAGAGATCTTAACATGTGATGTCTGCAGAATGTGTGACAGGGTAGATTATTTATATTTCTACCTAGGAAGTTTAAACGTCTGGAGTTGGGCATCCTAGTTGCTGATGCTGGAGTTAAGCTCACTATGTTGGATTTGGACTATGCATGCAGAATTCAGTAGGTAAAGGATTTGCATATGTTTTACATGGTCCAGATGTGGGCCATGTAGGACACAGAGCTGTCCTTGAGCTGTTTTAAATCCTGCCCAGTAGCATTGTCTTGAGTAATAGTGGGACTGAAGGGAAAATGACTAGCCATAGAAAAATATATCTCATGATGTAGAAATTGGAATCAAATATAACCAGTGAGCTCTTGGAAGAAGCCATGGAAGTATTAATGAGACAAAGAATTAGCTTTAAATATCTGCTAAACTCAGAGAGCAAGAAGTCATCTTACATTAGTGCTAGTTAAGTAAGAAGTTTTCTTGCGCTCCTCATTTTTTCTTCCTGATCTTACCTCTTTGAACCTGATAGATTCACAAGCTTAGGTTATAAGAAATGGGAAAGGGACTTCTTGGATCATAGACTTTTCATTTACAGAAGGCCCTAAATGTAGATGAAGTATTTTTAACTTTAAATCAAATTGGAAGTTTTATTACTCTATGTTTTGACCATTTGAATTATTGAAATGAGACAATGGTTTTGTGACGTAAAGGTGACCATAAGACTTATTTTTACCATGATTAATCAGAAAATTATGGGAATACTTTGTCTTCATCAAGTTGATAAAAAAGTAGATGAACAAGTTTCTCTACTGAATAACCCTAAACAAAGTAGAAAGTAAATATAAGGCGACTTAATGATTAAATCCAAAAGATTGTATTTATTCAAGATACCAGTCTCTCTCTTTTCTCTCCTCCCTCTCTCTATCTCTCTCCCCTTCTTCCGAGCTCCCCCGCTCCCCCTCTCCCCCTCTCCCCCATCCTCCTCTCCTCCTCTCCCCCTCTCGACCTCTCCCTCTCTCCCTCTCTGCCTCTCCCCCCCAACCTCTCTGAGGCTTGTTATCACAGTTAGAATAAAATCTAAAGTTCCTGGTGCACTGATCTTGCTGCTCTCCTGATGCTCACTCACTCCCTCCACCTCAGTCAGCCACATAGGTATCCTTTCTGTTTCCTGAACTGGCCCTTTCCTTTCTCAAGTATAGGATTCACATGGTAGTCTGAAAACTCTTCCTACCTACTCCTGCTTCCTACCGTCATCCATCACAAGCATTTCTCCCAATACATTTTTCATACAATTAATACTACATTGATGTCTGGTTATTGGAGGACCCATACTGGCACATGGTCATTGATGATCCTTTTCAAAGCAACTTCAATGGGAGTAAAAGCCTGATTTAAGAGCTTGGAACATGAATGGAAGGTGATGAAGCATAGAGCATGAATGTGGATTATTCTTTAGGAAATTTTGCTATAGATAGATGAGAAGATATGGTAATAGCTAGAAGTAGAAGAGATGAGTTTTGTTGTTGTATTTTGAAATAGATGTTAGGAAATTGAGGGAAAAGATAGGTAACTAATATATATCAGGGCTTTTACTTGTGTAAAAATATCTAGCCCTCATAGTAATTCTCTGAAGGTGGGTATTATATTTCCCACATCAAATGAGAAAACCAAGACTTATGACCGTAGTCAATTTGCTTGCTATGTTAAGAGGTAGAATCAAGTCAAGCCCAGAGATAAATGATTTCAAAGTCTTTCTTTTCCTCCATCTAACACGATGCCTTTGAAAGGAGCCAGTGAGAAGGAGATGTTTGAAATTATAGAAGAGAGAGGGGATAACTGATACATCTAGGTCCTAGAAGAGGCCGGGATGATATAACATCATCAGAGCAGCAGAGACATCTTCTTCTGAGATAAGCATGGCTGCAAATCAGCAGCTCATGCAACTTAACTTCTTAAAATGTTCTAGTGATGAACTTCCGATTTCACTGGCAGTAAAATTCAAACTTCTTACCATGGCTTTCGAGACCCATTTTGCTTAACCTCTGTTTAACTCTCTGGCTTCTTCTACCACTCTCACAAATCCCTTATTCCATTCCAGATATACTCTCTCCTCCTTGAGTAAATCAGGCTCTTTTTTGCCTAGACCTTTGCACTAGTTTCTTCTTCTGCCTAAAAAAACGCTTCCCTGCAATCATTGCATATCTATCTTTTCAGCATTCAGGCCTCAAAGCAAATGTCATCTTAGCAATCTCTTAAAAATTGTTTCTAAGTAATCCTTTCCCTAAATTATTTTCTTCTGCATTGCTATTTAATTGTCCTCATAGGGTGTACCACTGTCTAAGATAATTGTGCTTATTTTATTGTCTGTTTCCTATCAAAAATAAATGCCATAAATGTAGGTACCTTATCTGCCATGTTCTTGCAGTGTCCCCAGGATCTAGAATAGTGCCTGACATGTAGGAGGCATTTTCATTTCGATTTGGAGATAAAAGGAAGGGAGTTAAGAGTATTGATACCAGGAGGCCTTGATTTTCTGCTTTCTTGAGTTTGCCAGCTGCTGAGATTACAGGGACAGGAGGATTTAGGAAAGCTTGAAATAGTGGCTATGAATGGTAGAAGGTGGTAAGTGATAAGTAACAGTTATCTGCTTGTGTGCTGCAAGAGCTGACATTTATCCTCTAATAGTAAATAAAATTATAGATATCTGTGAATCTAAGAGGTATGCATCTTCCCTATGTTCTTATTTGAGCCTTGCTTTTCTGTAAGGTCAATAAATACACAAGTGGTTTAAAGAATTTTTCAGTTGCATTGATGCATTTTGATTGTCTTCCTATTGTTTGAAAGACTTTGAAACTAAGAATCCTTTGACCTGTTTTTGCCTTTTTTTTCCCTTCCAGTTTAAGTAAAGATTAAATGAATATTTTTTTCCTTGGCATTTTTCTTTATATTAATCTGGCTTTTTTTTTTTCTCCCATTCTTTTTCCTTGAACCACTTTATGTGCTTCATACTCAATCACTCTTCATTCTAAAGTAGATAGTTTTATTTCCCTCCTTGGTTAAGGAAAAAGAAAGTACAAAATCACTATGTGAGTTAACAGAATTCTCAATTTTCTGTTTTCACTATTGTTTGTTTCTGTGAAATTTCTGTCATTTTTCTTGCCATCTATAGTATTTCAGAAATTTTATAATCCAATAATCAAATGGCAATGTGATCTGATTTCTAAACTTGCTGTGAGTTTAGAAAATATATCACATAAAAAGCAGTGCCTTCCAAACAATTTTACAAATGGCAATGAGGGTAGTTAAAATTGATTTGAGAAATAGCTTTAAATTTATATGATACATTAATCTATGTATTCATTCATTTGATAAATACTTATTGAGTGCCTTTTACATATTAGGTAGTGTATTAGGTGCTGGGATATAGAGATTGTGGTTCTTGCCCTTTAAAAGTTTATTGTGAATGAGACAGATGCATATAAATAACTTTAATAAAATTCAATAAAGGGAATAACATGGTTTATTAAGATAGCACATACAGCAGAACTCTTATCTTTATTTGGGGATGCAGCAGATGAAAGAGGATGAAGAGGGTCAGAGTACTTTAAAGAATTGAGTCTTGGAGCTAGCCAGCTCTGTAAAATGACAGAAAGGCAGTCTAGGAAGAAGGGAAAACATAGAAGTTTAGGATGGCTGAAATTGTGAACAATGTGGTTGGAAAAAATAGAGTATCAGATCATGAAAGACTTTGTACAAAATACTAAGGCATGTGGACTTCATTCTGAAAGTGAGAAGGAGTCTCCAAATAATTTTAACCAGGAAAGTGTCATGTCTAGGTCTGCCTTAGCAAAAATACAAATTTGATGGCAGGTTTCACTAAGAAGCTGGAGTGGGTTGAAGGTGGAGAAAAGTCCAGTCAAAAGATGGTTGAGAAATAACAAGAGCTCAACTAGGGATGGTGACAAATTTAAAACTTATTAAAGAGGAAAAATTAAAACAGTATGATGATGCTATTGTATGTGGACTATGATGACTCCCAAGTTACTATTTTAAATAGCCACTTATAAAATTCAGGAATTATAAAAGATGAGGAGGCTAGAGAAGATGATAAGTTCAATTTTGGGTATTTTTTCACCTGCTGAACTATTAAGACATCCAACCCTGGATGGCCTAGAAGCATTTAATGTATACTGCCCTGGAGCTCAAGAGAGAGAGGTCAAGGTTGGAAATGTAGATTTGGGAATCAATAGCATTCAAGGTGATTGAAGCCTTGACAGGAAATGACATCCCTCAAGGAAAGTGGTTAAGTGATACAGGAGGGTGTATAAAAAAGAAACTCTGGGGAACATTGCATCCAGGGACAGAGAAAGTAGAGCCCATAAACACGGATGGGAAGGACATGACCCATGAGAGCGGGTAGAGAACAATATGGAAAAAAAGAGTTGTAGAAATTGAGAAAAGAGAGTGTATAAAGAGAAGGGCATTTTTAGTAGTTTTGAAATTAAAATTTTCAAATAGCTATTGGGTAAATAAATTATCTGTAACAGATAGCAGAAGAGTATAATTATTTGCAAAAATTTTATTTAAATTAGAATTTTGATTTTAGAATTTCACATTAAATAATATTTAGTGAGGCACAGAAAGAAAAACATCACATGTTCTCACTCACATGTGAGAGCTAAAAAAATGGATCTCATGGAGGTGGGGGATAGAATGGTGTTTACCAGAGGGTGAGAAGGAGACGCCGTGGGAGGATGAAGAAAAGTTGGTTAATGAGTACAAAATACAGTACAATAGAAGGAATGGATCTAGTGTTTGATAGTACAGCAGATAAATTATAGTTAAGAATAATTTATATACATATATATTTCAAAATGGCTAAAAGAATAGGCTTGTAATGTTTCCAACACAAAGAAAAAATTGATGTTTAAAATGATGGATATCCCAATTAACCCAAATTATACAATGTATAATTTGATCATTAGGATACATGTATCAAAATAGTACATGTACTCCAAAAATATGTACAACTATGATATATCAAAAAATAATATGAAACAAAACTCTGACCTTAAATTTTTTAAATTTTTAGGTTGGTATTTTACATATTTAAGTAAATTTGCAAAGACTGTTTCTGATAATAGATCACCAATAAAAATCATATGGAAGTCAGTATAAATGTTCACATACATTAGATTTTTATTTTAAATTCAAAACTTTGCCTCAAGTAACATTGATTTTCTTCCTTCAAAGTGTGTATGCAAGGACCATTTTGCTTCTTCCCTTTTCTTGTATTCTGAAAATTATTTTACAGGCTTTCATTGCGAACATTTTCAAACAAGTAAAATTGGAGAAAATAGTATGAGAAACCTCCATGGACCTATCTCCTTGATTGAACAATTATCAACATTTTGCCATGCTTGCTTTGTCTATCCCTTTCATAATTTTTCTCTTTTCTTCCTTCCCCCTGTTCGCACTCCTTCCCTCCATCCCTCTTTTCTTTCCTTCCTTGCTTTTCCTCTGCAATGTTTTAAAGTAAATTCCTGTTACGTTATTTCATGTCTTTCTCTAAAAATTTTCTATCTAAAACAATTACAGTATCTTATCACACCTAACAAAATTAGTATATCATTTTCTATCTACTTTATATATAATTTTCCCTGGTCATTAAAAGGTATTGTTTATTATGAATGATTTATTTAAAGCAGAATTCAAACAGGCCTTTGCATTTTATATTTTTTATTTCCTTTGAATAGGCGCCTCCACTAATCTTCTAGTCTATTTCCTCTCATATTATTGACATGCAAAATAAACTATATCCTGAAGAATATCTCCAATCACATATTTGACCAATTCATGATCTCATATAACACATTTTCAAATTTATGTTTTCTGCAACTGATAGACATAGAAGTTGATGAAATTCAGGATTCAGGGGTTTTGTTGGATCAGGAATTCTTTGTGGTGGTATTATATGCTTCATATTGTATTACATCAGGTGATTGACAATGTGTGATTGTCCCACTTTTAGTGATGCTAAAATTAATTAGGATCAGGTGATGAAAATCCAATGTCAGATTCCTCATCAACTATTCTTGTAACTGTTTTAGCATCCACTGATAAATACAACCCCAATGAATATTTCATTAGGCATTGCAAAATGAGGGTTTTCCAATATTTTATGTATCTTTCAAATTCCACTGGGAACATTTTCAAGATTGATCTTGTGTCATGACCCCATTTGTCTTTTCAACTTTCTTGCTTGCTGGCACTACGAGGTGATGTTGCCTTATGTCCTACTTCTCCAAGGAGGCTTACTGACCTTTAATGGTTAGTAAGGTCAGGGACTGTTTGAGGCCAGTTTCTCTAGCAAACCGATTTTGGTTCAATCGCTTGGCATCATGAGTAAGAGAAAAAGGAAGTGAGAGAGGAAAGAATAGGAGGCAAGGTAAGATGATATGTACTCAGTTTTCATTGCTTTATGCTAAGCTTTGATGGAACTATATTCTTGCCAAATACATCTGCATCTGCATAGCCATATGGGACATTTCCAGATTGGCTGTATGAAGAAACCATGCTTTGGATAAAAGAGGGGAGCAAATTTATCTGTGTGCCTCCATTTGTCTCTTATTTCTTACTGGTGGAAGTTCACACCCTGAGCAAGTTCATCCCCTTGTGCACACCTGTTCTGCATCATCTAATACTGACAGGAGCTAGTCGGGCAGATAGATTCCATGCTCTGCATTTTAACTGGGTACAAACATTTTAACTGAGTACAGAAGTTGTGAGACAGCCCAGAACCCTATACATGTGCCTGGTTGACTTAGCTTTGAGAATGTCAGCCAAAAAGAATCACCTAGTGAATTAGGTATTGGTTGGTCCCAGGCAGTGGAATTGAGTGTACCTGAAGGGCGTTAGTTTGGTGGCAGCTAGAGGTGGAATAAGCATCTCTGCGTCTGGGAGGCAGGAAGACCAAGTGAGTCTGGAGATATACATAAGATGTGTTTGATAACTCATGATAATTTAAAAATATAATATTAAATACCCAGAGTTATTTCTTCAAATTTTTTCCTTTTGTTTTTAGGATAATCTGAAGAAAAAAAACCCATCTTCCAGAAAACGGATATTACTCAATAGGTAAATCCTAGGTTATATTAGTTAGGATACTGCTAAAGTGTGCACATAACTTCCATCATATTTCATTAGCTAGAACTCAGTTATTTGTTCTCAGCTAAGTTTCAAGAAAGGCTGTGAAATATGGTTTAGCTGTATTCCCAGGGAGAGGAGGACACAGGTTAAGTGGGCTGGTTTCTGCCACAGATGTAATATTTAGCGTTTAAATGTTTCTAAAGCACTGTGGCGATGTTCTCTTAAAGAGTTACTAGTTACTAGGCTGGGTGAGGTGGCTCACGCCTGTAATCCCAGCACTTGGGGAGGCCAAGGCTGGTGGATCACCTGAGGTCAGGAGTTCAAGACCAGCCTGGCCAACATGGTAAAACCTCGTCTGTACTAAAAATACAAAAATTAGCTGGGTGTGGTGGCGCTTGCCTGTATTCCCAGCTACTTGGGAGGCTGAGGTGGGAGAATTGCTTGAACCCAGGAGGCGGAGGGTGCAGTCAGCTGAGATCAAGCCATTGCGCTACAGCCTGGGCAACAGAGTAAGACTCTATCTCAAAAAATAAAAAAAGTTATTGGTTCCTGTTGGAGGTTAATAGTAACATGCCACAGAGATCACTGATGAGAGAATCCAGATGTTTGTCAAGATGTAGGAGTTTTCTGATAACTGACATGGGTTTAATTCAAATTTAGAAAATAGATTAAAAAGATAAGAAATTGGCCAGCTCAGAATATTTGCAAATGTTATGTTATAGCTAAGTCACATGTTAACAAAAGTTAAGTTGCTAACTTCTTTTACTATATACTCTGACATTGAGGTCAAGAGGCAATGGTAATGTAAACAATAATTTATTTACTTATTGAAATTGCAACTTGATTTTACATGGTGGGAGCAACCAGCTGTTTAGTAAATTTTATTTGGATTCATCTAATGTAGTGCCATGTAAAACATTTATTCTTGCATAGTTATGAATCATTAACTATATATTTTATAAAGATACAACCGGTATTACTATTACAAAACACTGGGAAACAAAGTAGAAAATATCAAGGGGGCATATTATAATATTTTTCTGAGAACAAAAGTTTCTTTTATTAAAAGCATGGAAAATATAGATTTCATTTGGTCTAAGTTTCTCCTTTTCATAAAAAGTAATCTTAAGAGACAATGTTCTAGTATTTCATTATAGATGCTAAAAACCAAGACATGGAGATATATCTGTGTTCTCTGTTAAAAGGTTTTTAGTGATATTTTGTGGATATCTTTTTCTGCCAAGGAATCTAAATCTCAGGTCTTTAAAAATTTTTTTTTGTTGTTGTTTGTTTGTTTTTTCCTCGGACATGGTCTCACTCGATTTCCCAGGCTGGAATGCAGTCGTGTTCACAATCATAGCTCACTGCAGCCTCAACCTCCTAGGCTCAAAGCAATCCTCCTGTTTCAGTCTCCTGAGTAGCTGGGACTACAGGGATGGACCACGATACCTAGCTAATTAAGAAAAAAATTGTGTAGAGACCAGTCTCCCTATGTTGCTCAGGCTGGTCTTGCACCCTTGGGCTCAAGCAATCCTCCCACCTCTGCCTACCAAAGTGTTGGGATTATAGATGTGAGCCACCATGCCCAGCCTCAAGTTTTTATTATGGGAAATATTCTGTTTATACCAATGTAGATAATATAATAAATGTCCATTAACCCATCACTGAGCTTCAACATTTATGAACATTCTGCTTGTCATGTTCCATATATTCTACTCCCTAAATTCTGTTTGTTTCTTTTGGATATTTTAAGACAAATTCCAGACATATCATTTGACCTGTACGTACTTCAATAGGTACCTCTATTGATGAAGACTTTTAAAAACCTATTATTCCTACTATAATTCCTTCTTCCTCATCTAATATTCAGTTCATATTTACATTTTCCTCATAGTCTTAGAGTCATCATTTATAGATGATTTGTTTGAATCAAGATCCTGAGATGGTTTACATGTTGTGTTTTGCTGTTATTGCTCTTTAGTCTATTTCAACGCTATAACAGTTCCATTCCCCACTTTATATCTGTGTGTCCTTTATTTGTGGGAGAAACTGGTCCTTTTGCTCTACAGAATACCGTACATTCAGAATTTATTTGATTCCTTCCTTGTGGTTTTATTTAAAAAGTTCTTTTTCCTCCAGCATTTTGTGGAAAATATCAGTCATAATTTTAATTAGGTTTATAATAAAAATTTTTAAAGCAAAAATTAAAGAGGTTGTGCTGGGTTCATCCTGATTCTACCGTATCAGGATGCACTTAATGTTTGTGTGTGTCTCTTTCAGTGATGTTAAAATCAGTAGGATCAGATGATGGCTGCCTGATATTTTTACTAAATATTCTTCATCAGCATTTTACCTAGTGGTTTTAACATCTACTAATAATGATTGCCTAAGTTATTTGCTATTTTTAAATTCGATCATTCCTTTTTCATTTATTAGTTGTGATTCTTTCATATAGTGGAGATATCCTTCATCAACTACAGTCAAGTGCCACAATGACAGACCACATTTGGGACATTGGTCTCATAAGGTTATACCATATTTTTACTGTATCTTTTCTATGTATAGATATGTTTAGATACACATATACTTACTATTGTGTTACAATTGCCTACAGTATTCAGTTCAGTAACATGCTTTACAGGTTTTTTTTTTTTTTTTTGCATAAAAACAATAGGCTATATCATATAGCCTAAGTGTAGAGTAGGCTGTGCCATCCAGGTGTATGTAAGTATACTCTGTGATGCTTGCACATGATGAAATAACCTAACAATGCATTTCTTTGAATCTATTGTTAAGTGACTCATGACAGTATCTGGTTATTTGGTATTTGTAACTGTAAGAAAACAGTACTAACAGAGAAGCCAGGATAAAATCTGAAATCCCTTTTTATAACAATTCTCAGAAGGGTGATTTCTGCATCCAACAAAGATAATCAGTGATTTGTGTGTGTGTAGTGTGTATTAGTATGAAAGCATGGAGTTTTAGAGAGTCAATGTGCTTCAGTTTATTGGATTCATGATGCTTTTCGAGCTCAAATTGTCAAGGGAGGCTTTTAAATTTTCCTTTCATCATGACCACAGGTACTCTATAGGTACAATAAGAAGTCCCAGGCTGATCTGGTATATTTCCTACCTGAAGCCTTAAATCAGTCACTTCTCTAAGAAAGTCCTAATTTCTTTTAGGGATAAATGGAATTTGGAGAACATAATTTGAGTATTATTTGTGCATTTAGGGTATTCATTGTTCTTTCAGGCCTTTTCAGTGGACACAGCTAGAAAACCGGTCATTTTTAAGAAAAAATTAATTATGAATTCATACTGACATTTCTAAATCAAAGCTTCTAGGTTTTTATTTAACTTAAAAAATTTTACATACGCATCTCTTTTACTCTGAAAATTTACTCTTTTAATACTTTAAAGTTTTATATTTATATATTTTATTAGTCCAATAATAATAGTAATTGTCATGCTACTCACAAGAAGACCAATGAATGTAATTTAGAATTGTGTGTGTGCGCATGTGTGTGTGTTGTTCTTGGGGGTATATGTCCCATAACAGATGTACCACCAAAAGATTGACGTTAAATACTTATCTGTGTGCTTGTAATTCTTCTGTAAAGAAAAATTGTGGGGTTTTTTTTTGCCAACCTGGCAGATTAGCGGTTTTAGTAGGCCTCACTCGCTTGGAAATAGCAAGGTGGTCCATGAAGATAAACTCTGTGAGCTACAATTCAGGAAGGCAAATGGGAATCCCAGATCCCAGGGATGAGAATGCCCAGATCTTGGGGATGAGAATGCTGGCAAACAGCCCCCAAGAGGATGTTCAGCTGATAAAAGTGAGTGAAGCCCCAGTGTGGGAGACAGAGCACATCTCTCTGTGACTCTCTCTCCCCAAGTTAGCTCCAGGGCTTGGGAGAGAGGGACGGCACTTTGTTTCTCCCAAGCCCTGGAGCCAACTTGGAGAGAGGCTTGGAGATGCTGTGAGGGAAAAGCTCTTGGAAAAACTGCAGACATTTTCCCAGACCCAAGACCAAGAATGGGATGCCATTTTTAATCCAGGTGCATATTAAGCCATTCTTTGGCAGTCCAACAGCATTGCTGCAGAGGTATTTTTATCTCAGGCCTGAGATTGGGGCACCCACTCTGGAGCAGGGTAGGGGCCTTCACAGTCAGAACTGTGGAAAACACTATCAGTAGATGCTGGAATAGTGCTCTACCACATAAGAAGCCTGGAGTAGGAGAAGAGCTCCTTTAGCTGCAGTTTCTCCTTTGTGGCAAGACTTGCAACTAGAGCCAGCTTGGTAAACTAGCACTGGACTGAGTATGCCATTGCTAGGTGCCCAGCCTGCTCCACTGAGATTGTGGTGTAGTAAGGCCCTCTTTGCTCTAACCCTAGGCAGAAATCCAGGCATTTGGAGCACTCACTTTCCTGGTCCAGTAGCCTGAGTTAACTTACCCTTCATGGGCATAGATCGTGGTGCAGGGGGCCCCCCTCTGCCTTGTGTGCAGGCAGATCTCCAGGCATTTGTGGCACCTGTTCACCTGGTTCAGCAGCCTGAGCCATCCTAACCTTCCTGGGTATAGCTCATAGTACAGGGAAGTCCTCTCAGCCTCATACCCAGGAAGAAGTCCAGGCATCCATAGCATCCACTCTCCTGGATTAGGAGTTTAGGCCACCACTACCATCCCTGTGCAGAGAACTTGGGGCTGAGAAGTTTCCCGAGATCCATGCCTAGGCTCTGGGTACTTGGTGGCCACCCACTGGATTCTCCCTCAGTGTAAGTGTTGTGCCTGACACTGGGAGACCTGTATGCATAACTGCCATGCATACAGGTCATGTGCAGTGAGGACCCCACACCCCCAGGGCTGATCAGGGAGCTCAGCTGATTGCATTTCATGAATCAGCTAATTACCTGAGACAGCAGAGCTTTTGCCAGTAAACAAAGATCAAATAGATACAATCCACATTGACCACAGCTGGGTTTTACCTATAACCACCATCTATGGGTTTGTAGGTAAAACCGCATAGCTCAATATAAAACCTGCTGAAACAAGTGCATAGGGCTACAGAAGCAAAGCCAGAAGACCTTATCCAACATTCTCTACAGTTGTAACCCCCTAGGGAAGGGGAAAAAGGAAAGTGAAAACAAAAATCATAGGGAAAGAGATGCAAAAAATTGCTAGCCATATGAAAATAATTTTAAAAATTAGAAGTGACAGTATCTTCAGCTGGAAGAAACCAGTGCAAAAATTCTGGCACTATGAAAAATCTCAATGATCTGACACCACTAACGGATTGCACTAGCTCTCCAGTAATGGTTCCTAACCAAAATGGAAACTCAAAAATGACAGATAAATAATTTAAAGCATAGATTGCAAGGAAGCTTAATGAGATCTAAAACAAGGTTGAAAAATCAACACAAATAAGCTTCTAAAGCAATCTAAGAAACAAAAGATAAACATCTTAACAATAAATTAGAGTTTCTGGAATTGAAAAACTCAGTTAAGGAATTTGAAAATACAGTTGAAAGCTTTATCAATAGACTGGACAAAGCAGAAAAAAGAATTTTAATCTGAAGACTGGACTTTTGAACTAACCCAGTCACACAAAAATTAAAAAAAAAAAGAATTAAAAAGTCTTTGAGAAATAAGGGATTATGTAAAGTGACCAAACCTATTAGTTATTGGCATTACTCAGAGAGAAGGAGAAAAAGCAAATAATTTGTAAAACACATTTGAGGGGATAACTCAAGAAAATTTTCTTAATCTTGCTAGAGAGACAGACATCCAGATACAAGAAATCAAGAGAACACCTGCAAGAAACTATAAAGCATGAGCATCACCAAGGAATATAGTCCCTAGACTACCCAGGTTCAATGCTAAAGAAAAGGGCACCTGAAGAAAAAGTTTGCATCTTAAAGACAGCTGGAGAAAAAGGTCAGATCATTTACAAAGGGAACTCTATCAGGTTAACAGACTTTTCAGCAGAAAGGTTACAAGCCAGCAGAAATTAGAAACCTATTTTTTAGCATTCTTAAAGAAGTTCCAATTAAGAGTTTAATATACAATCAAACTATGCTTCATAAGTAAAGAGAAATAAAATCTTTTCCAATTCAGCACTAAGATAATTTGTTATTATTAGACCAGCCTTACAAGAAATCCTTAAGAAGTTTAAACATAAGCACTACTCATAAGAAATGAAAGAATGATACCTGCTACCACAAAAACACACCTAAGTACATAACCCAGACACCCTATAAAGCAACCACACAATAGAAACTACAAAAGATCCAGTTATCAACTTCACAACAGAATCAAAACCTCACATATCAATATTAACCTTGAATGGAAACAGTCTAAGTACCCCACTTAAAAGCCACAGAGTGGCAAGATGGATAGTAAAATAGGACCTTTCTATCTACTGTTTTCAAGAGGCCCATCTAACATATAACAACACTTATAAACTCAAAGGTTTGAGAAAGATCTAACATGAAAATGAAATATAAAAAAGAGGAAGAGTCACTATTCTGTATCTGATAAAAGAAAATTAAAACCAACAAGAATAAAAAAACAAAGGTAGGCATTACATAAAGGGTTCAATTCAAGAAGACTTAACTATCCTAAGCATATATATATATACCCAATATTGGAGCACCCAGATTCATAAAGCAAGTAATTTTAGATCTACAAAAAGACTTAGCCACACCCTAATAGTGGGGTACTTCAACATCCCATTGTCAGTGTTAGATAGATCCCTGAGGCAGAAAACTAACAAGGAAATTCTGGACTTAAAACTTGACAGCTGACCAATTGGACTGAATAGACATACACAGAATAGTCCACCCATCAACCGCAGAATATGCATTCTTCTTATCTGCACATGGAACATACTTCAGGATCAACCACGTGCTCAGCCATGAAGCAAGTATCAACACATTTTTTTTTTGTTTGAGACAAAGTCTCACTCTGTCGCCCAGGCTGGAGTGCAGTGGCGTGATCTCGGCTCACTGCAACCTCTGCCTCCCGGGTTCAAGTGATTCTCCTTCCTCAGCCTCCTGAGTAGCTGGGATTACAGGTGCGCACCACCATGCCTGGCTAATTTTTGTATTTTTAGTAGAGTCGGGGTTTCACCATGTTGGTCAGGCTGGTCTCGAACTCCTGACCTCGTTATCCACCTGCCTTGGCCTCCCAAAGTGCTGGGATTACAGGCGTGAGCCACTGTGCCCAGCCATCAATACATTTTTTAAAAACTGAAATAACACCAACTGTACTTTTTGACCACAGGGAATAAAAATATAAATCAATACCAGGAAGATCTCTCAAAACCACACAATTACATGGAAAAGAAAAAACTTTCACATGAATGACTTTTGGGTAAACAACAACATTAAGGTATAAATAAAAAAAAATCTTAGAAGTGAAAACAGGCAAACATACCAAAATCTCTGGAATACAGCAAAAGCAGTGTTAAGAGGAAACGATATAGCTCTAAATGCCTACCTCAAAAAGTGAGAAAGATCTTGAATGAATACCTAATATCACATCTAGAGAAAAAAAAACAAGAGAAAAGAAAAGAAAAGCTAACCCCAAAGCTAGCAAAAGTAAAGAAATAACTAAAATCAGAGCAGAACTAAACAAATTTAAGACCCAAAAATCTACACAAAGAATCCATGAAACCAAAAGTTACTTTTTTGAAATAATAAAATGATTAATAGACAGTTATCTAGAGTCACAGAAAAAAGGGAGAAGATCTCGATACGCTTAATCAACAATGACAAAGGTGACGTTACAACCAATTCTACCAATACAAAAGATCCTCAGAGATTATTATGAACAATTCTATATATACAAAGTAAAAAATCTGGAAGAAATGGATAAATTCCTGGAAACACACAATCTTCTAAGACTGAATTGAGAAATAATTGAAATCCTGAACAGACGAATATTGAGTTCGCAAAGTGAATCAGTAATGGAAAACAAAAACAAAACAAAAAAAAACCTTACCAACACCACCAACAACAAAAGCCCTGGACCAGATGAATTCACAGCTGAATTCTATCAGACATACAAAGAAGAACTGTTACCAATTCTAATGAAACTATCCCACCCAAAAGAGGATGAGGCAGCTCTTTCCTAACTCATTCTATGAAGCCAGTGATACTGGGCATTTAGGTAGCCATTTAGGTTCTGATACCAAAACCTGGCAAAGACACAATGAAAAAAGAAAGCAATAGGCAAGTATCTCTGATAAGCACAGATGCAAATATCCTCAAAAAAGTGCTAGTATATCATATAAGCAGCACATCAAATAGTTAATTCACACAATCAAGTTGGCTTTATTCCTGGGATGCAAGATTGATTCAACATATGCAAATCAATACATGCAATTCATGACATAAACCAAACTGAAAACAAAAACCGTATGATTATCTGAATAAATGTTGAAAAATCTTTTGATAGAATCCAACATCCCTCAATGATAAAAACCTTCAACCAGCTAGGCACTGAAGGAACATCTCAAAATAATAGCCATCTATGACAAACCCACAGCTAACATCATACTAAATGGGCAAAAACTGAAAGCCCATTTCCCTTGAGAACTGGAACAAGACAAGGATGTCCACTCTCACCACTCCTATTCAACATATTAGGTTGGTGCAAAAGTAATTGCGGTGAAAAGTATTAATGGCAAAAACTGCAATTACTTTTGCATCAACCTAATAGTACTGGAAGTACTGGCCAGAGCAATCGGGCAAGAGAAAGAAGTAAAAGGCATCCAAACAGGAAAATAAGAAGTCAAGCTATCTCTCTTGCAGATGATTCTATACCTAGAAAACCCTAAAGACTCTGACAAAAGGCTCCTAGAACTGATAAATGACTTCAGTAAAGTTTTCAGTATACAAAATGATTGTACAAAAACTAGTACCACTTCTATACAACAATAATGTTCAACAGGAGAGGCAAACCACGAATGTATTCCTATTTATAATAGACACACACATACACACACACATACACACACACACACACACTAAGGAATACATCTAACCAAGCTGATGAAAGATCTCTAAAGGAGAACTACAAAACATTGCTAAAAGAAATCATCGATGACACAAACAAATGGAGAAACAGTACATTCTCATGGACTGGAAGAAACAATATCATTAAAATGGGCATACCACCCAAAGCAGTCTATGGATTCAATGCTATTCCTATTAACCAATGTCATTTTTCACAGAACTAGAAAAAACTATTCTAAAATTCATTGGGAACCAAAAATGAGCCAAGAAAGCCAAAGCAATCCTAAGCAAAAAGAACAAAGACAAAGACTTAAGATTACCTGACTTCAAACAATACTGTAAGGCTATGGTAACAAAAATGGCATGGTACAGGTACAGAAACAGACACATAGATCAATGGAATAGAATAGAGAACCCAGAAATAAAGCCAAACACCTACAGCCATCTGGCCTTTGACAAAGTTGGCAAAAATAAGCAATGGAGAATGGACTCCGTAATCTATAAATGTTGCTGGGATAGCTAGCTAGCTAGCCATATGCAGAGGAATGAAACTGGATCCCTACTTTTTACCATAAAAAATTAAAATGGATTAAAGATTTAAATGTAAGACCTCAAACCATATGAATCCTAGTAGAAAATCTAGGAAACCTTTCTGGATGTTGGCCTTGGGAAAGAATTCATGACTAAGTCTTCAAAAGCAACTGCAACAAAAACAAAAATTGGCAAGTGGGACCTAATTAAACAAAAGAACTTCTGGATGGTAAAAGAAACTATCAACAGAGTAAACAACCTACTGAACAGGAGACAATATTCACAAACTTTGCATCCAACAAAGGTTTAATATCCAGAATCTATATGGAACTTAAATAATTGAACAAGCAAAAAATAACCTCATCAAAAAATGAGCAAAAGACATGAATAGACACTTCTCAAAAGAAGACATACACGTGGTCAATAAACATGAAAAATTCTCCATATCACTAATTATCAGAGCAATGCAAATCAAAACCACAATGAGATACCATCTCACACCAGTTAGAATGGCTATTATTAAAAAGTCAAAAAACAACAGATGCTGGTGAGGCTGTGGAGAAAAGGGAATACTTATGCACTGTTGAGGGGAATGTAAATTATTTTGGCCACTGTGGAAAGCAGTTTGGAAAGCAGTTCTCAAAGAACTTAGAACTACCATTTGACCCAGCAATCCCATTACTGGGTATATATCCAAAAGAAATCATTCTGCCAAAAAGACACAGACACTCACATGTGCATCACAGCACTGCTCCCAATAGCACAGAAATGGAATCAATCAGTCTAGGTGCCCATCAACAATACATGGATAAAGAAAATGTGGTACATATAAGCCACGGAGTACTATACAGCCATAAAATGAACAAAATCATGTCCTTTATGGCAACATGAATGTTGCTAGAGGCCATGATCCTAAGTGAATTAATGCAGGATCGGAAACCAAATACCACATGTTCTTACTTATAAGTGGGAGCTAAACATTAAGTACTCATTGACACAATCACAGCAATAACAGAAATTTGGTACTGCTAGAGCTGGGAGAGAGGGAGAGCTGGGAGAGAGAGCTGGGTTATAAAGGTTGAAAAGCTAACTATTGTGTACTGTGCTCAGTACCTGGGTAACAGGATCATTAACGCCCCAAACCAGCATCATGCAGTATACCCAGGTATCAAACCTGTACATGTACCCCCTGAATCTAAAATAAAAGTTTAAAAAAAGAGCAAAATTACAATTTACCCACCGTTTGGTTGATAGATATTCAGGTTCATTTGCTTCTATTTATTCTCAATGTTAGGAGATTGCTTTGTTTTTTTTTTCCTTTTGGTTTAAAGTTTAATTTCATCTAAAACATTTGTGTAGTTCCAAAATCAAAACTATGAAAAAGTACTGTACATTGAAAAAGAGTTTGCTTGCATATTTGTTCCCGCATCCCATTCTCTCCCTCCTCAATCGGTAACACTTTTTTATTAGTCATTAGTTTATGCTTGCATTATTTCTTCTTCAGAATATTAGTAAATGTGTTTGTATTTTACACAAAAGGGTCATACATTCACTCTTCTGTATCTTGTTTTATCCACTTAACATTGCATATTTTTGTATCTATTTTAGGAATAGATAGATCCCTAGGTATGGATATCCTAGGTAAAAGGGCAAATCCATATAAAATTTTACTAGATATTGCCAAATTTCCTTTAATAGAGTTGTATTATTTTGTGTTTGAGAAGATTTTAAAAACAAGGGTTTCCTAGTCTCGGACCTACTGAATGAGAACTTGGAGATTTGGGTTCCCAGCTGTGTTGGACGATTACCCAGTTTTGGGGAGCTCGTTCCAAAGGAAATTTTAAGGCTGACAATTTATTGCTCATTTGATATGTGTTAGATACTGTGCTAGACACTGGTGAGAGAAATTCCAAGAATAATGTATTTTTCCCTGGGCAATCCCAGTGACTAGATAGTTGGAGAGAAGCGTTTAAAACAAATCATTATAATGTGATTATTGGTATAGTTGAGATGTATAACAGGGCTAAGGGACAAAAAAAGAGTCAATGCCTATGAGAATTGTACTTAGAATAGATTGGGATTAACTGTTTATAATAAAAGCAGAAGTATGCATTTAACAAATTCTTTATGAAACTGATTTCATGTAGTCTCTTTTCCTGAAAAGAAAATCATGAGTTTAACCCCGAACTTATCCCATCTGGATTTGCTTCATTTCTTGTTTTATTTTTTGATATAGCTTCAAATTTTCAAGTTGGGACTACCGTGGACATTTCTGGAGATTTTTGAACCTCAAATCATAACAGCATAACATAATGATATTTCAGTGTTAAAATCAGACTGTAATCGTTGGCATTCTGTGGTCTGCATAAAATAAATAATGTCATTCATATAGTTGACAGGAGAGAAGATAAAAGTCAATAAAAAGAGAATTATTTATTAAAAAGATCTAATGTTACAAGAACAGTACACAGAACTATTATTTGACTGTGCCTTCCACACGGTATATGCCTTATATATAGTATATATACAGATCGTACACAATATATTTAACAGTTTGACATGGGGTCCACAGTACCTTCATTTGGGTATGCAAAACTTTTGCTTTCATGAAATTTCTAATTATAAGGACTGTTGCTTTCTTCATATTCAATGGACATTATACAAAAATACAGTCTCTTTAGTGATTTAAGACTGTGGTTACTATCCCATAGCAGAAAAAACTCAGTACTGTAGCTGAAAAATAATGTACCTTGATAAGAATGCTCTTCTGGTTTCTACAAAGTAACAGATATGCAGCACATAAGTACATAAACATTGAAAACCTGTTTTTTAAATAGGTTTATGATGCAAAATACATATTCTGTGTATGTTAAGTAAAAACATTCCATATCTCTGATTCCTGTAAGAATACATCAGACATTCTATATGTGTAAATACTCTGTCAGATACGTACCATCCATCAGCTAATTAAAAATATTGGTTAATTTAAATTTGCCATTTTATTTGTTTAATATTTTACTGGGCTTTGCTTTCTGAGAGTGTAAGTAAGAAGTTGATTCTTAAAGTCCTTCACTAAATCTGGTGTACACCACCATGGAAAATGAAGAAAATGGCTTGATTCATGAAATACGTAAAATTATTTTGCATTAAAAATATTCTTTCTGTCTTTTATTCAGATGCACAATTCATAAAGGTAAACTATACTTGGGAGAGCTCATGTTTTGCCAGCTAAACAATTAGCATCCCTGTTTTTGCAAAGTCCAGCCTCTCCCACTTTAAAGGAGGCGTTCAAGAAAGGCCACTTGGTCATAATTACTTACTTACAGGCTTAAATACTTACCATCTGTAGTATTTACTATAATATCATTGAGTGAGTCTTTTAACTAATTTCTTGTTTGTTTAGGGTGTCTTACATCATTTCCCCAAAGAGAATATGTAACCTACATACAGACTTTTACTGTGGCTCTGAAACTATTCTTTCAGGATGTTCAGAACAGAAACTTCAATCACTTCTCTGATTCTACAAGGATTAACCTTGAGAGCTAGCAATTTGAGCTCCATATTGTTTCATTTTGCTTGTTATTAATGAAGCAAATACAGTTAACAAGTTTAAATTATATAAAATTATAAAACCAATTTTTGTTCTCTTGTTAACATCGCCTATAAAACCATAGTTTCTCCAGGCTCTTCTCTGGCATATGACTTTGCAATAACTATCCTTTCACGCATCTTCATGGGTATGATGCCAACTCTGGCACATTCTTGTGCTTGTTAGAACTTCTTTAAGATATCATCAAGTAGAAAATTTTCATCTCATTTTCCAACAACTCTCTAGGATCTCTCAGGCTCAAGATGACTCTTTGAAATAGCAAATAAGGATTACTTCCCAAGCCACAGAATCAAACAGTGCATAGCTGGCTAGACTAGCTGAATCCCTGTACTGATGCCATGTTTCCACAGCTTAATTAAAAATTCAATTTATCCAAGAAAGACTGTCTTTATTTTACTAGTTGATTTTATCAGTGGTATGTGATGCATGGAACTGTTTTTAAAAATCAAAACTTATTTGTTATACTTGAACCATTTTAATCTACAGACTATGCATAATTATTTGCACAACAAATTTTCATTGCCCTTAAAATTTTTGCAAAATTTTGCAATTAGAAGAAAACCTTGGACCTAATTCAACATCTGTTTTGGCAGTAGGTAAAGAAATGGAAACGCTCTGTCCCATATTCATCTCATTTTTAAGTTAGCACCCATGCCAGCATGTCTGCAGTTTTTAGTGATCATATTTTTTGGTGATGTTAAACCATCTTTTGTTATTAAAAATAAATATTTATTATATTTGCTGCTAGATAACATAGTACTTTATGAAAAACTATAGCACTGAAATTCATCTGGACTCGCTTTCTATCTTGCACTAATGTAAATGGCTTATTCCCTACCCTAATGACTTGCTCTAGGGGTGCATATAGAATAGCATATTGACAAATCTTGCTATTTCACTATGCAATCATACAATATTTTTCAAGAAAATTTTTGTGTACTTATCTTATAATGGACCACATCACTGAAGCATTTTTCATATGTCCTGCTGGTTTGTCAATTGAAATATTCAGCCAAAGGGAAAATGAAAAACACTGGACTTAGTCTTAAGCAAACTTTTCATTCTCATTTTTGTATTTGTTTTTGAAACAGATCTGCTAAAGGCCAGTTACTTAACAAATGGATGGCACACACTCGGAGTCATCAGATATAAAATAAAATCCCAACATATTAAAAAAGTAAAGAATACATTTGACAGAAATTACCTTTGTTTACAAAAATTCATTACATACAATCTGCATATTTTTACTGGACTAAGAACTGTCCTCTCCGTTTACAAAAACCAAAGAGAAACCTGATGGATAAGTAATATTTCCCCCCTAACCTCCTGTAAGTTCACCATGTATAGTCCCAAGTTTTTAAAGCTCAAGCTCATCTCAGGATCCTGGTTCTCCACTTACACTACACTCTATTCACCGCTGTTACCAAGCTAAAGCAAACAAAAGCAAATTAAGTCAGCAGTTTTCACCAGGAAGTTGAAGGAATCATCAATGCCAAGAGCAAGGTGACTGATGACGAAGATGTGGAGAGAGAGTGAAGGGTCGACTGTGCACTTGTGATTTTTCCACCTGTGAAAAAAGAAGCATCAAATGGAGCAAATTATCTTGGTTTTGCTTGAGCTAGGACAGAATTGTTTTTAGTATGTAAGACTAATGAGTGCAAGATCGCTCCTGTTTCTGATGAGAGTGTTCTTTATATTTATAAAATCAGACATTATCTGAGGTTCCCAAAGTTATATAGAAGGGACAAGTATATATGAGATATTGTATTGAAAAGGTGATGTCATGTCTAACAAACACATCCAATCATGAGATTTAATTTTCACCAATGATGAAAGTATTCCAAATTCAGATATAAAAAATAAAATAATTTTGATAGTGCATAGTTCAGAAAATGGAGCAAAAATTACAAAATTTGTGGCAATATGAATTCATAATTTACAGTCATGAGCTGCATAATGACATTTCAGTCCACCATGGACTACATATCTGATGGTGGCCCCCTGAGATTATTATGGAACTGAAAAATTCCTATTGCCTAGTAATGTTGTAGCCATTAGAATGTTGTAATGCAATATGTTACTCACGTATTTGTGGTGATGCTGGTGTAAACAAACCTGTTCTGCTAGTTGTATAAACGTATAATGTACAGTACTTAATTGATAATGGTAACAAATGACTGTTATTTGGCTTATGTATTTACTATTCTTTTAGTAATTATTTTAGTGTACTCCTACTTACAGAATAACAGTTAACTGTAAAACAACTTCAGGCATGTCCTTCAGAAGGGCTTCCAGAAGGCGGCATTATTATCACAAGAGATGATAGCTCTATGTGTATGATTGCCCCTGTAGACCCTCTAGTGAGACAGGATGTGGAGATGGAAGACTGATATTGATGATCCTGACCTAGGCCTAAGCCTATGCTAATGTGGATGTTTGTGACTTAGTTTCTAACAAAACAGTTTAAAAAGCAAACAAAATAAAATAAAAAATATTAAAAAGTTTATAGAATACAGATATAAAGAAAATGTTTTTTTAATCTGTATTATGTATGTTTTAAGTGTTATTACAAAAGAGATAAAATTTAAAGTTTATAAAGTAAAACAGTTACAGTAAGCTAAGTTTATTAGAGAAAAAATTGTTTTTATAAATGTAATATAGCCTAAGTATACAGTTATAAAGTCTATGACAGTGTACAATAAAGTCATAGGCCTTCACATTCACTTGGCAATCACTCAGTGACTCACCCAGAACTTCCAGCCCTGCAAGCTCTGTTCCTGTTAACTGCCCTGTAGAGGTATACCATTTTTTTATCTTTTATACTGACTATATCTTTACTGTAATTTTTCTATGTTCAGATACACAAATAGCACTGTGTTACAATTACCTACAGTATTCAGTACAGTATCATGTTGTGTATGTCTACAGCCTAGGAGCAATAGGCTATACCATATGCCTTAGGTGTATAGTAAGCTATACCATCTAAGTTTGTGTAAGCATACTCTATGATGTTCACACAATGAAATTGCTGAAGGATGCATTTAATAGAACTTATCCTCATCATTAAGAAATACATGACTATGCTTACTCTAGTAAATTTTAAAATCTAATAACATTATTTTATTTACTGAATTTATTTATGTGTTCTTGATTATTTCAGTTGAGTGAGCTTAAATTCTAGGTTCTCATGCCAAACCTGGCAAAAAATGGTGATCTTTCGTCACTCTTTCTTATACCCAGGAGAGGATCTTTTATGAGACAAAAACATTGTATGCAGCTAATATATTAGAATCGCTGTTGGATTAAACTGACTGATCCAAGGTTGATTGGTCTGAAGTAGTTTTAATAGCCCTACATAACCACAAACTAAGTGACTTTTAGATACTAACATCAGGAGTGGTTCTTCAAGCCAGAAGTCTTCTGAAGCATCATGATCATAATTGATTATTTAATAAATGATTATTGTATGTCACATACTGTACGAAGCTTTTTATATATGTTATCTTATTTGATCCTCATAACATTCCTATATGGTAAATACAATTATTTATTCTCCTCTTGCAGGTGGAACTGGGGCTTAGAAAGGCTGTAAACTTGCTTAGAGTAATTGAGGTAGGAATTAGTGGATTTAGATACTCGTGTATTATCTCTCTTAAAACAATGATTGGCCTTAGTTAAAACCCTAATAATAATACTATAATCTACTACCCAATTGCTGGAATCTTCTGTCAAGGTAATCCTCTCTGGCTAGACTGAGTGTAATGGGATTTGGGGGGGTAGTTTTAGTTGCAAAGATAGAGTCTGAATTTATTTTCCTGATGCTTAAGAGCTAGAGAATAATTTGTTTGGTAAACACACACATGGGCGTGCACACACACACACACAAATGCAAAAAGCGTAAATCTTTCCTTTGAAAAATTTTACAGCTAATACACTACTAGAACTTATCAATCAACATATTGGAGAATGATGCATATATTTCAACTTGTACAAAATGGGGTTATTGTGAAGCACATAGCCACTTGTGAGCTATAAGAAAGGCGAGATGACAAAGACTCACTGGAGTCGTATGTGCATGCTTAATAAATAAAAAACAAGAACACATCCTTTCTAGCTATTGGGAATGGCTGCATCTTTGTTAAATCAACTTACCTGACACTTTTATAAAAATATCTCACTTTCAGAATGCTAAGTAGGGTCTGTGTCTCAAATTTCAAATAGAATCTACAAAGCTAAAACATATTACTTTCATACAGCAAAACAACCCCACAAAACAACAGAAAGAGCAACATTAGACTAAGTTCTTGCCCCAGCTATAAAACTAACTAGCTGTTTCACTTGGGCAAGTCATTCAATATCTTAGGCATTTGGTTTTTGCAATATGATAAAAATGAAACCAATCATGACTCAGGTTCTGAGTCTAAGGTAGACAATAGTGTAAGAGTTTCCCATACTGAAACTCAGGAAGTGGGTTGCACTGCCCAAATTTTATTAACTGAAATATAAAAGTTGACAATTTTTTTCTTGGAGTAGAAGTTACAATTTAAAATATAAATGGGAGAATTAAGGTTGTCATAAGTACTTCCAAGGTTGAGGCTGATCTTATTCAGATAATACTATAGAATCTGATTGTGTTGGAGTTGAAAGTAACCTTAGAGAGTCAGAGAAGAATAAAATACCTAACCCAAAGGATTGCTAGAAAGATAAAATAATATATAGAAAACACCTAGTTTAATCCCAGGAACGTGATGAGGCCTCAGTAAATGCTCACTGTATTGTTGTCTAGGAATCTGACGTGCTGAAGCAAGAGGAAGGTTGTCGTATATTTTGCTTTTCAGGAAATAGTCTTTTAAGATGCTCTTGAAAATTCAGCCTTCATCTGAACAGTTCAATTGTGAAATAATTAATGCAGAGACATTATAACTTTTCTTGTTGTTAAAACTATACTTTTATAAATGAACCATAAAGCATATTAAATTTTTGTGTGACCACAATAAAATTTAAATTCTTAGATCTTTTCACCAGAATTTCTGAAAAAGTCAGATTTCTCCCATCTTATGTTTTGTATTTTTAACTATTCATTTAAAAATACTTTTAGGTGTACTGAAAAGTTGTGAGACTAAGGAATTCACCCAGATTCCTTAAATGTTGACAGTTTATCATTCTTGCTTTATTGTTATTTCTGTACATATATACATTTTTTTGAAACATTTGAAATGAATTGCAGATAGCAGATATGATGCATCTTTTCCTCAAAATATTTTAATGTATAGTTCCTAAAAATAAGGCTTTTAAAAATATAACCACAGTATAGTTTTTTAAAAAAATGAAATGAATGTTGATGTAATATCTAATTTACAGGTATGCAAATCTTATCAATTATCAATAATGTTCCTTATCCTGTATTTTCATGTGAGAACTTATCAAGTATTGTAAGTGGCAGCTAAATTATGAGAACACATGGACATATAGAGGGGACCAGTACACGCTAGGGCCTATCAGAGGGTGGAGGTTGGGAGGAGGGAGAGGATCAGGAAAAATAACTAATGGGTACTAGGCTTAATACCTGGGTGATGAAATAATCTGAACAACAAAACCCCATGACACAAGTTTAAGTTTACCTGTGTAACAAACCTGCACATGTACCCCTGAACTTAAAAAGTTAAAAAAATTATCAAGTATTATGTCAGTAGCTTTTCCTCAAAGTTCCAGTCTGTCTCATTCTTTTCTACACTGTATTTATCTCCCATTTCACTTGGTGGCATAAAAAAAAAAATCACAAGCAATGCCTCTGGTCTGACTTCAAGTTGATAAATACGTTAAATAACATAGGGCCACATACAGAGCATGACGGGACACTTCCCTGTAGGTTGATAATTCTGCTTGGCAATGATTGCTCAACAAATGATGTTCCTAATTACCCACTAATTGTACATGAGAAAATGTTTCATAATGTTCTCATAAAATTGTCTAATACTTTTAAAATTAGAAATTTGCCTAATTTTTGCTTTTTTTTTTTTTTTTTTACTATCTCTACGAAATGGTTGCTTTCTTCTAAATTTCTAAAATCTTGCTTCCTTTAATCAGTTTTCCCTTGCTTATGTAATAATGATGGTGGTGATGGAGATATGTGGTTTTGGAGACAATCATACGCAGGTTTTGATCCTGGTTCCGAAACTTAGTAATAGTGTGGTCTTAGGCAAGTTACTTAAATGTTTTCTGCAAAACAGTAAAAATGTCACCTATCTCATATGATTGTTACTAAACTTAGATGATGTATGTAAAGCACTTTTGACCATGCCTGACATATAATAAGGGTCAGTGAAAGCTAGCAATTATTAATATTGTTAATAATAATGTACAATAAAATTTATAATTTGTTTAGAAATCAATAAATATGGTCACATTTCAATTTTAAAAGCTTCTCTTTAAATTCCTTATTGTCTAACAATAAAGGCAATCAAAACTACAGAAATGTAGGTATGT
Source organism: Homo sapiens (assembly GCF_000001405.40). Taxonomy (NCBI): domain Eukaryota; kingdom Metazoa; phylum Chordata; class Mammalia; order Primates; family Hominidae; genus Homo; species Homo sapiens. Next base: position 100,351,197 of record NC_000011.10, on the reverse strand, counting down.
CAAAACCAGTGTAATATCAGTTTAAAAGCTATACTCCAAAAACCAAATGGCTAGCAAGGTACTGCTTGAGACCAGGAGAGGCAAGGACATTTCACAAATCAGTATATTCTAATGAAAATGTCAACTCCTTTCTAGATTTGTAGAAATTCTGCAATTGTGAGCAGATTACTATGGTTCATATTAATCAGAAGATAATATAAAAATCAGAGAGGAGAAATCCCTCAAAATCTCTGAACCATGAAATCTATCACATCAATTTTCGTGACTTTCATACCATCTCGTAATTGTTGGTTGTCAGCAAATTAAATCTACTGTGTCAAAACTTACCTGAATATGATGGTACCCTAATTTGAGAACTAGCTGTTCCATCTCCTCCTTCACTATATGCTCGAACTTCAATAATATAGACTCCAGCATCTGGGAGTGGTACTACTGCTTGAAGTTTCTGTGTTTCAATAACTTGGCTGTTGCTGTGACCCTCTTGCCTATAAAAAACCTGAGAGTAATAACAAGGTTTAGACATTTGATATGAAAGATTACAAATGCACATTGACTGCCTACTATGTGTCACATTCTGAGATAAGCACAAGGAGCTTACAGTTTAGACAGATACATAAGCAAATGTAATACATGTGCAGTCTACTGCAGTAGAAGTACACAAAAGGGCCATGGAGGTACAGGAGAGAGTTTAATTTTGTCTAGGGGTTTAGTGAAGGACTTCCAGAGGAAGTGATGTCTGAACTACATACTTAAATATGATAGAGTGGACCAGTTTGAGAAAGGGAGAATTCCAGAAAGAGGTAAGATAAAATTAATAACTACATCTAAGCAATAAGAAACAATGGCATGAGAGCAGGGAATGGAGAGGGGATATATGGGAATAGTGAGGAATGAGGCTAGAGAAGTAGGTAGAGAGGAGGCAGATCATGGAGAGTCTGTTATGCTTGGTTATTGAAATATCCTAAGGAAGTTTGGAAAGCTCATCTTCAAATAGTTTGAAAGGAGTAAACAAAATTTGTTAAACATACCAATAATAAATCCTTAACAATGTAGGAAACAGTTGAAAGTGAAAATTTTATTTTTTTAATTTTTGCTTTTGTAGTGGTTTGCTTTTTGGTAAAATCGGCATTTGGATACATGGTGTAGCAAAGCTAAAGCTTTTTAGACATCTGTTGTGGTATTATAATTAAACATACATGCACGGAAAACAATTTTGGAACTGCAAATCAGGACACAGGATAATCCTGGGTTTACATATTAGAAAATGAAGGCCATAAAGGTTAGGTGACTTGTACAAGACCGTGTGGCTAGTTAGGGTAGAAATCTCATCAGAAGATTTATATTTGATCATCACTTCAGAGCTATTTTACTATATTGTACTATTACTTGCCTCCAAAAATAGTCAAGTAAAATTTTTGGTATAATAGTCAAGTAGTGGCAGTTAAGATGTGTTTAAATGTGTTTTTATTCAGAGTCACTGTTTTTTGTGCTTTTTCATAATTGGTATTATAAGTGTACAATGGAAAGAAAAATGGCTTTGTATTCATACAGATCTGGATATGAAACAGTTTCCTACAAAACATAGCAAAAGAAAACAAAATCTCCTATACCTTCCTGGCTGGGAAAATTTGGGCAAGTTACTAAATTTTGTAAACTTCAATTTATTCTACTGTATGATAGAGATGATAATAACAATTTTAGTGTTTTAGGGGAGTAAAATGAGAAAGCGCCTGTAGAATACCTAGCACAGGACCTGGTGTATGATAAGCTTAAAAAGAGAAAGCTACTCCTTCTGTTGCCATCATTGTTTATTAACTGTTAAAGGGTTGGTATTTCAAGTGCATCATAAAATATGAACTGACTTGGGAAATTAGATAATTATTGACATATATTTTCTTACAGAAAATGTGTTTTGAGCTTGAATTAACTTACATACAAAAAAATCCAAAAATACTTTAGAGAAGCAATATTTCCACATATTGAAGCCTGCGTGTACTTGAACCCTCTGAATTCTAGTAATAAATGCTCCCTCCATTTCACTTTCTTTTTTTTCATTTAATTTTAAATCTACTTCATGTTCTTGGGAGGGAAGTGAATTCTCCATTTAATTATGATGTGCAACAATTTTATCTATGGAAATCCTTATTGTGAAGGATGCTATAGCCTCAGTGTAAATGCAAGGTGATAACAGCATTATCAAACATTTATTGGACATCTCATGCAGGCCAGGCATAGTACTACATACCGGAGATTCATCAGAGAATAAGACCACATGGTTACAGTCTTCCTGGCATTTATAGTCTAATATTGAAGACAGACAGACAATGCAAAGAAGTGTGATATGCACTGCAGCGGGAAATATATTTGATGCTATGGTAATGCACAAAGTGGGTACTTAGTCAAGATTGGGGAAATCAGGAACACTTCCTGGAGGATGCCTTAAGCAGCTTCTTTTGTCTTAAAATGTGACAAATATATCTGTATGCTTTTGATTTCGTCTGGAGCATCGTGATGAATTAGAATTCTGATCATCCATGTGAGGTAATTAGAAAGCAAATTTATGGGAATGGGAAAGTATGTAAATTGGTGAGGATTGGCAGGGGAGTGATTATTTTAGAGGACAGTGTTATTATGGTTCAATAAATTACATTTCTTATGACAAAGAAAAATACATCCAGCAATGCATATCTAATGTTCTAGAGTTGAAGAAAAATTTGTGGATCAGTTGAGATTTAGGATTAAGAGGTAAAGACGGGGAAAAAATCAGTTAGTGGTGTCAAAACGAGTTTGAGATTAAGTGTGGCCTTTTGCCAATATATCCAGGGAGATGGAGTGCTATACATATATGTAGATCTACTAAGTAAAAAGATACATTAAATTAATAGTTAATCTTCAGTGCTTTAGAGAATGTTGGCTCATTTTAAAATCCTGATTTAGAAAAGATGCATGAGAATGAGAACTATGAGAAGGTTAAGAAGTTATCAAGACATAGAAAAAAATAGTTATTGACAGTAAGGAGTCCAGAGAGTTCTTAGAGAATATGGACATTTATAGATTGACAGTTGCAATGACAGCTATGTTTATGCATAAAGAAAATTGTCTAATGTATTGTCAAGACTATTCTCAAATTTTGGTATTAAAAAAAAAACTGAGAGCAGTGGGTTATCTAAAGAGATGATCCTAAATAGAAAGTGATTGTGGTATTGCTATTCTCAAAGGCATGATCTGAAAATGGCTATTCTATATGTTTGATGGTAGTAGAATATTGAGGAGAGTGTGCTAAAAATATGACAGAATAAATTTTTGCTGGTTATACCCAAACTACTCCTGAGAGGGATGGCTCATATTAAAGGAAAGGCCTATTCCTCTGCTGAGCATCTTCGGAAGAATTGATGGGTACAACTGCTCTTCATAAAAAGGGTGAGGAATCTAAAGCCTCGGTGACAATGGGATGGGAAGGAAGGAGTCAGTAAGACAATGGAAGTTAGATGAATAGAAGTTGGGAGACACAGTATCAGTGAGAATTCACTGCCTGCAGGGTGTCTGAACACAATTTTAACAACAAGATTTCTTTTTGGGCATGTTGCAGATGTTTGCTTGCATGTTGTTCCTTTCTAACTCTATCTCCCCAGCATTTCCAAAAAGTCAGCTTCATATATATACTGCATGTGACATGAGCCATTTCTATTTCAATTATTAAAAATTCTGAGAAATTTCAGGCATAAATGAATGTAAAGAGGATACTATAATGAACCTCATGTACCTATCTTCCAGCTTAAGTCATTATATGTGAGTCTTTTTAATTTGTGGAAACAGAGAAAAGAAGGCTGAGTCTCCTATTTAGAGTGAATATAAGATGAAGGAGGAGCTACAAAATAAAAGAAATCAGAGGCTAGAGTGGCTATAGACTATACAGTTCCCAAGAAGCTAGAGAAATACAGGGATGGGCTTCAAAGTTCTAGTGGGTATGTAAAACAGTATCAACCCAAGTGTACATATATCTCAGGAATCTGGAATCTCAACTGATATCTAAGTTGCATAAACAAATGAGAACCTCTGTTTGTATTTGATATGGTTTGGCTGTGTTCTCACCCATATCTCTTCTTGAATTGTAGTTCCCACAATGCCCACATGTTATGGGAGGGACCTGGTGGGAGGTAACTGAATCATGGGGACAGGTCTTTCCCGTGCTATTCTCATGATAGTGAGTAAGTCTCATGAGATCTGATGGTTTTATAAAGGGGAGTTTCCCTGCACAAGTTCTCTTCTCTTGTCTGCTGCCATGTGAGACGTTCCTTTCACCTTCCGCCGTGATCGTGAGGCCTCTCCAGCCACGTGGAACTGTGAGTCCATTAAAACTCTTTCTTTTACAAATTGCTCAGTCTCAGGAATGACTTTATTAGCAATGTGAAAATGGACTATTACGGTATTGATGGACTGTATAATAACTAGTAAACTTTGGGCCTGATTTCCTTCTATTTGCCCTAGCTCTGTTAACAGGTAGAAAGTAGATATGGGTGAGGGGAGATATTTGGTGAAGGGGTTGTATATCTAGGAAAGGCTATTTTCTAGATACAGATTTGAAAACTAATAGTTTTTGCTTGGATTATAGCCTGAGGTCCTGAATTCTTTCTGACTGCTTGTGTCTTTTCTGAAGGGATAACAGTTTTTGTTTGTGGGGAAGGGGACATTTGCTGAAGTGAAAGCATAGCCCCTGAACATTGAGTTTTATTTTCCCTTTCACTCAAGCATAAGTCTGTGTGAAGAAAATAAGGTGGAGATAAAATGGTTGTTTTTACTTTATAACCTGGGTAAATTACTTTCATCGTGTAAAGAAAAATATTTTCCATTTTTGAGATCATTAAAAATTATGGCTGAATATACTTTAGTCAATAAGCTTTTTTGGCATTTCTTTAGTAACACCAGTAATGGTGAGTCTTACGTGCTATAATTAGTAAGGATTCTAGATAGAGACCCCAAATTATAGGAGTTGTAAAAATAAAATTTTATTTGTTTAAAAACATTTATTTGAAAAAATAAGTCAAGGTAAGAAAACTTTGATTTGAAGTTTTTGTTTCATTTTCCCAATCATTTATATATAATGTATTAATAAAATAGGCAGTTGATTCTGAATTGGGGAATGTAAATACAACAAAATAAAGTGGCACATGTTTATTGACCTGAAGAAAAGTCATAAATATGCTAAATAAATTACCAAATTGGATTCAGCTTCTCAAATGGAAAGTTATTTTGAGTGGAAATTATTTGTATTATTATTTGGTATAACAGACAATCCTTTCCAACATCTTGCTGGTTCTCTATGCTTTTAGTCCTTACTTGTTAGTGAAAACTATGATATCTTGAAATTATTACTATTAAATCTGGATTTCTTAAACAAAATTCCAAGAAGCCCAGCATCTCATAGACAATCTCAAAAAAAAATCAGTGGAAAGTTTCACCACTAGGTACTGCTTAATGTTCACCTAAATGAATTCAGTTTTAATGTGTTACCTATTGTGCAATTATATGTGGTTCAATTCCATCTATCTTTCATGATATTCTTGGTCACTTTGAAGGCCCTGACAAGATTTTGTGATAGGGAAACCTCTTTTTTTTTTTTAATATCTGTTAGCAAAATTTCTGTTATCATCTTTCTCTAGTAATATCTGCTAGTTATATATGTTGCTGACACCTCAATGTCTGAAATCGAGTAAGAAAGTAAGATCTATGCTGCTATGGTTTTAATGTGTCCCCTGCAGAATTCAGGTGTTGCCAGTGTGATAGTATTAAGAGGTGGGGCCCTTAACAGGTGATTGTATCACAAGGACTTCTCCTTTCATGAGTATGATCAATGCCCTTATAAAAGAGGCTTCTCGTGGTTGTTGGCCCTTTTGCACTTCCGCCTTCTGCCAAGTGAGGACACGGTGTTCCTCCCCTCTTGAGGATACTGCTTTCAAGTCACCATTGTGGAAACCAAAAGTGGACCCTCATCAGACACAGAATTTGCTGGAGCCTTGATCTTGGGCATCTCAGCCTTCAGAACTGAGAGAAGTAAATTTTTGTTTTTTATAAATAACCCAGTCCCAGATATCTGTTATAACAGCGCAAAAGGACTAAGACAGTGCTTTCTTGGACAATGGGGAGCTCAAATGTCAAATTCTGCTGTTTTATCTTGTGCTATTTCTATAGTTTACTTTTCAAGATTACAATTACTTTATTAATATAAGCTTTAAAATTTTATAATGTACTGATATATTTTTTATAGTGTTCTTATTATATTCCATGGAAAATGGCAAAATAAATTTTAAAATTCCTAGAGGTATTAATGCACATTTATCTGCCTGAAAGGAGTTCAACTACTAAAGATTAAAGGACAATGTATTATTCCTTTATATCATTTACTTTTTAAATTTTTTATTGATACATAATAGATGTATATATTTTCAGGGTAATATGATAATTTGATACATGTGTATGATGTGTAAAGATCAAATCAGGGTAATTGGGTTATCCATTACCTTAAATATTTATCATTGTTTATGCTAAGAACACTCAAATTATTCTCATCTAGCTATTTTGAAGTGTACAATAGATTATTAACTATAGTCACCCTTCTGATCTATCAAACACCAGATCTTATTTCTTCTATCTTATAGTATATTTGTACCCATGGATTAAGCTCTCTTTGTTCCTCACTCTCCTTTCCCCTTCCTGGCCTCTGATAACCACCAGTCTCTATCTTTATGAGATCCAGTTTCTAGTGCACTTTTTCAGAATGTCTATCCTGTATATAGCAGCTTAACTATACAAAAGAATCATTTATTACATTATTTATGCACTGAATATATGGGGAAAATATCTACTTTTTCCTCTGCATTTATTATGTTTCAATAACTTTCACAACCTAGAAGTCTCCCAGATAAATACTTTTCTGAATTCTTCAATCTTAAACTGGACTTAATGTAAAAGGTGGAATATATATTCCCTGCATTTTAAACCTCAGGCATTAATCCCAAGTTCTCAGCCTCAAACCTCCACACAATATGCATTTCCAGTGATCCTTTCTGCTTGCAAAAGTGAAGTAGTTTGCAAAGACAAAGAGTGAAAATTAAGTGACCTCCCTTTTTAATATTCCAATTAAGTATGGAAACTCTCCCTTTCCCCGATGAGCAAGAAGTTTTCTGCTTCAAATGTTCCAAGAATCCTAGGGGCAAGTTCAGTTTTAATGGGTCAAGCCCGCCTCAAACTACCTTGTGGGAAGAGAAATGATTAGTGTCCTGTGTCCCTATTTTATTAATTTTTGTAAGTGACACACATTGTGCTTAAGAAGAGGTGGCCCGCTATTATAGTGGTGCCACTCTTGGTTGGCAGTAATTTTTGGGATGTAGTAGGAATCAAAAGGATTCTCCTTCTGAGTATCATGCCCAGCCCTGGTCATTCTATATTAGTGTGCACCTTCAGATGGTACAGTTCTTTCACTGCTGTGTGGGGATCCTTGCCAAGGGTGCAGTAGCTGTCTTCAACGTCATACTCAGAAGACGGGCTCCAAGCTTGTGTTCTCTGGGTTATAGCTCTTTAGTTTATATTCTCAGCTATTATTTCTAAATATATATTCCTGTCCCATTGTGTCAGGAGGAGCTTTCATCCTTGGCTGCCCTGTGAAAACCCGCGTTCTGAGGAGAATCCAAACTCTGGGTTAAGCCCAGTCCAGTCTGAAGTCCCCTTTCCCTCAGGAAGCCTTTCCTGTCAGCAGTTCTCTCAGTGGGGATCATCCCACTCATCAGAAAGGTTCCGATAAGGTTTAGTTGCAAAGGAGAAGGTTTTGAGGTCTCACTCCATTTGTTATCAGCAGACTCCTTTTATACGAATCAATTCTTCCTTCTCAGGGATATAAGGAAGTGCAACCATTTCAAGAAAATAAAAGGAAAAAAATATCTTTTGCAATGTGTGCCTACTTGTCATTAATTTACACAACTAAAATGGACTATGCTAGTGATTCTTCCCTCAGCAACAAGGTATTCCAACATGACTTGTGATATCTTTATTAAGAGGGAACTGGCAGGCAACTTTTAACGATCAGTTTCTTTGTTAAAATTTTAAAAATTGTACCTAATGAGACATGCTCCTCCAACAACACTAAGAAATGGTATCTGTTTTTTAATGAGAACATTTTATATGCCAAGCATTTTATACAAATTATTCTTTAGAAAATCCTGTATAATATGTATTATTATTGCTATTTCTGCCATTTGTGAAGTTAAGAAAATAAAACTGATAAAGTTTAAACAACTTACTTAAATTACTCAACTAGGATTTGAACTAAAATCTGTCTGAATCAGTGGCCAGTGATATTTTTTCCTCTAAGCAACAACAAATGGCAAGGTTATGCTAGAAAAAAATACATATTTGATAATACACATATATAAATAACTGCATAAGACATTTCTATCTGGGCCAACGTTAGTCATCCATTCTAGAAACATTAGGAACAAGAAATAAGTAAGATAAAGTCCTTGCCTTTGAGGACTTCAGTCTGTTTGGGGAGACAGTCATATATAAAAAGTAAGAACAATGACTGGGAAAGAGGTGTCAAATGTGAACAAAGAGTAGTGGCACCTAGCCTGGGATCCCTACACCCAAGCTCAATAGAGTATTTTTCTAGTTATATAGTATTTCTCTATTCTCACTTGAAAGGTACCTAAACCATATGAGCCTTCCACTTGACCATACACGTTTATCTGGTTTTCTCTTGCATTCTACTTTGCCTCTCCAGTTTGGGATATTGTTCATCATAGTTCTAATGATATTAGATTGGTTCCTGAATGGTCTATCATATTTCTCGCCTGCTATCCCTAAGCATTAAACAGTATATTTCCCTAAGAGGAGAAGTTGTGAGGATATGGTCTTTTGGGGAAGGGTATGGAAAGAGGAGTAAGGGAATGGTATAGAAAATGACCCATCTGCACTCCCTGCAAAAGATCAAATTCAATATTCCCGACCATTACTGATGGACTTGTGTGTGTGTGTGTGTGTGTGTGTGTGTGTCTGTGATCTATCCTAATTACAGTAGGTAACAAATGCTAGTTTGTGTAATATAATATTAATGGAAATTAAAATATTCCATTTATAACTTCTTCAGTTTTTAGCTCCTTAAATTTTAGCATTTTATGTACTGAATACTGTGTTACCATCTCTGATAGTTGAAAACCCACCTATAATGATAGCTTTCAGTTGAAATATTATCACTGAAATATTTTAAAATATTATACTTAATATATTTTATTATATTAAAAATATTGTGAATATTCAACTAATGATTCTGTGTGAAGTTTAATGCAACAAACAGAATCTGACATTATAGAACAAGAATTTGAAATTAAGCCAATTCAATACATAGATCACATATATTTAAAAATCAGATAACAAAGTTATTTTTCAAAAACAAATTGCACATGTTATCAAATTTCCAGATCTTACTGTCACAGAACAGAATGACTGTATGTGAATGTTGGCTCTGTTTTGGAGCTTGCTGTGTCTCTCCCTGGATTTTTTGTTTTCTTTCTAGTGTTCTAGCCCTTACATTTTTTTTGTTCTTCTGTTTCCTTGCTAATAGAAAGACTTTCCACTAAAACGAAATGGTCCCATATTTGTCAGCTGCCAGCAAAGTTAGTCTCCTGGAAGAATATGCCAGAATTCTCTGCCTAAATTCTGCTGGTCCTAATATCATGCTTCACAGAGTCATCTTCACACTACATTCAGATTGTCGCTACTTTTCCTACTCCTTCCCTTTCTGTGCCTTGTGCAGTTGAAACTAATTTTGACTGCCTTGGCTTCTCTATCTATAGGAAGGCTATCTTTCTAAGATACAGATAGAAAATGACTGAGAAAAAATAGGTTGGTTAATGGGTCTTTTTATGCCTTATTAATTTTCCATCTTCATAATAACAATTTCGGAGATGAGTATCTATGCAAAAGAGTGAAGAAATACTGACCTTGTAACCCACAACTTCAGATTCGTTGGCTAATGGTATGACGGGTTCCCAGCCCAGAGAAACCTGAGAGCCTTGCTGCTCCCACCTGAGGTTGCTAGGTGCTTGACTAGGAGCTGCAAAATAAAAAGTGAAAGTGAACTGACAAGGATTCTTAAATACATTTCTTCATTTAATTCTTTGTGAGTATCTCAATCTTTTCTCCTGCTTAGTAGTTGGCTGGCAATCTAGGCTTCCTTCCAGCTGGAGTCAGATAAGGAGGGTTTTGCTCCAGGAGTGTCATTTTAATAGCTACTCTGCTGAGCTTTTGAACTTGAATTCTTTTATCTCCCTTCTGTGTCAAAATCGCTTAGCCTTGTTTCACAGGAAGATAACCTTTGTCTACTCTGAATGCAGAATTTTCTGAGCTAGTTTGAGGATTCAGATCTAAGCACTGAAGCAAGACTATGAATCAAAACTCCCCTTTGACTCTGCTTATTATGCACCTCACGTGGCTTTGAGAAATGTTATACGATGTTTCCCCTTTGTCTGAAACAAACAAAAAGCCCAGGTCACTTACGGGATTTCTTGGTGGTTGCACTCACTTCACTGCTAGGTGGCCCATATCCAGCTCCATTGTAAGCCCTCACTGTGAAGTGATATAACGTATTTCCTTCTAATCCTGTTAGGATGACGAAAGACTCATTCCCTCTAGTTTTGACTGTTTCTGCTGTATCTTCCTGTTCCATGTCTTTCCAGTAACCAACCTATCAACAAATTATCACATGGCAGGTTAATTTTAAAGCTTCCTCTGTGCTTGTGGCTGCTTGAACTTTTTCTCTTTTTTGGATGTTGCTGGAGTCCACCCATAGGAAGAAATCACTCCTATATCACCCAATTAACAGGTCTTACTAATAAGGCCAAAACACATTCCTAATCACTGTCTGCTTTGCATCTGTGTAAATTGCAGCACTACAGCAGTACTCAGCAAAACAACAAAACCTGCTACTTTGTAGCCTGGTGGCCTGAAGGAGTGAAAATGCATCCTGACATTAAAGAAGAATCATTCAAAGAAATTGGAGTGCTTTTCTCTCATAGGTCATCAGAACAATTTACCATTCAAAACCATGAAACTTCAAATGAATTATCTGAGTATGTGGCATCTGAGTATTTCCTCTTGAGCTTCACATAAAGATGAATCACACGAGCTGTATCAGTTTAATGGAGAAGAGGTGGTAGAACACTGGATACTCTGGAATGGTTTGAATGTAGAGAAACAGCATTGTCAGGATCTGGGGGTAGGGAGGGTGGAGGGAGGCAGAAAGGAACAGCTTTCTGTCAAAGCCCTTTTTATGCATTGAGATCATCTTTCCTCGTTAGGAGCTTATGGTAACTGGCTTCAGCAAACTCCATCCCTTTGTGAGATCAATGACTGTCCCACAATTAAGCTAAAGATTTACTCTGTTTAGGCACTAGAACTTAACTACATATCAGTGCAACAAAGAGTAGCTTTCTCCCATCTACTTCCTTACTGTTGATAGAGGAAGGAGGCAGAGAAATTCTAGGCAGACAGAAATGGGTCCCCAGTGAAACTGCACCTTCAAGCTGAGAAGCCTGAAACCCATGGCCTGAAGTGAGCACTTCTATTCCTTTTTTGCCCATTCTCTCCTTATTTGTTCTTTCTGAATAATGCCTTTTTACCAATTGAATCTTGCCTTTTTCAAAACTACCTATGGCCCACCCCCACCGTCCTGTGCAGAGAAACATCCCACTATCAGTCAGAAGCGATGAGAGAGGGCTGCACTTCAGAGGAGAGATAGCCTAACTTTAGGGAAGGCAACCTGCCCTTCCCATCCCCTTTCCAGCTCCCTTCTCCACTGAGAGCCATTTTCATTGCTCAGTAAAATTTTCCACCTTCCCCATCATTCAGTTCATCCATATGACCTCATTCTTCTTGGACACCAGACAAGAGCTCGGGACCCACCGAGTGCAGGTACCCAGATAGTCTGTCACACCAGCCCTTTGCCCTTGCCAGTGGAGGGTAGTTGCCCCATGTGATGAGGCAAGGGGTCAACTGAGCTGCTAACACACAGCTGTCCATGGATGGCAGAACTAAGAGAATGCTGTAACCCATCCTCTGGGGTTTCAGGGTCACAGGCACCCTGACCTGGGCACTGCCGCAGGCCCTGCACAGAGCTTGCTCCTGTCAGTTGAGCTGCTAACACACAGCCATCCATGGACAGTGGAGGTAAGACAGCACTGTAACACTCCCTCTGGGGTTCCAGGGTTACAGACACTCTCACCTGGGAACCAGTGCAGGCCCCACACAGAGCTTGCTTCTGTCAGCTGAGCTGCTAACACACAGCTGTCCGGGGACAGCAGAGCTAAGAGAGCACTGTTAACATTCCCTCTGGGGCTTAGGGGTCACAGGCACCTAGCACCACCTGGGCACTGCCATGGGTCCCACATGGAGATTTTTCCTGCCAGCAGCTGAACTGGCTGGCAGGATCTTACATTTATCCACATGTGCCTGTTCTGGCTGTGGGCCCCACATGGAGCTTGTTCATGTGCTCCCTCCCACAAAGGCTTGAATGCGGCAGGCCGAGTAAATGGGGTCACTCCTGTCACAAGTCTGATGAAGGGGCCGAGAAAAATCCTGCATTACTGCGGCGAAGGTCATAAGAGAGTAATTCTTTTTTTTTCCCCCAACTTAATTACTGTGGTGGAAATAGTAGATTACTGCACCCATTTCATCCTCCTTCATGTTTTGTGTACTGTGGAGTCTAGAAAGCCAAAAACATATTTTCCAGATTCTCTTTCAGCTAAGGGTGCTAAGGGTGCTGCTATACTCTGTGGCCAGTGAGAAGTTTAATTGGAATTTGGAGACATTCTGGAACATGTCTAGGATTGCCTCTTCCAGTGGTGACCATAGGAAGCCATTATAGGCTCTGATCTCAAGAATGAACATTTTAACTACCACGACATATTAAGAACCTTAACCAACCTCAGTGCTGGCTGAAAGCAAAAGGAACAAGAAATGGAAGGAGGAAGAAGGAAGTTACAAATTGCAACTACACCTTTATGAAGTGAGGACCACAGTAATTAGCCACATTTTCTTCCTCGTCTTTTGTATGTTTTTATAAATGTTAAATTACTTTAGCCTCTTCATTTCTTCTGATATTTTATATGGAGCGTGTTATTGGTAGGTAACTTTCTGATGTAGTTCCCTAGAGAAGGGGCAAGGTTTCACGATGACTGGGACAAATTGACTTATGGGACTTTCTTTGGTTCTCCCTGTTGTGGAGAGCATGAGCATGTTTTCATTTATAAAAGAGTTATTTGCATTATGTTAGTATGAAACAAGCTTATTTGTAACTTCCTCAAGCAATTCCACCTGGGATTGTATCCCTGTCAATTGCCCATCTCCCTCTGAGCTTCAAACAAAACAGAAGAGCAGTAAGTTTCAAAAGGATGTCGGTGGAGACCTTTTATAGATGAAACTGACTTCTAGAAGCCACCTGGCTAAACATATGCACAGCTGGAGAAAACAGATTGTGAAGCTAGGTCCAGCTGTAAAAAATCTCAGGTACCCAATTAGTTCCCGTTATTCTGCATCTGTGGATTTAAAATGATCATCCTCCACAGTAGAATAGACGTGCCCCTCATTGCTCAGAAAATCCACAGCTTGCTTGACTGGGGATACAGACATGCGTTTGAGCTGGTTCTTGAGATCCTGAAAGTTCAGTCCCTCAGGTCTTGGGTAAGACTTAATCACATTCAACACCTGATTTTGGGCCACAGGGAGGCTGCTTCACTCTTCCCTGGATTGCTGATAGGTGCTCTCTCTGCTGAGGGCTGGCTGTTCGCTTTGTGATCATGTGTGCATCGATCACTTCCAGAATATGTATGGTGAACTCATTCATATCCTCCAGGAGCATGATTTATAAAGGCTACCAGGCTCTTTTTGTTCTGAAAAGATCTCAGGTGGCCTGCCACTTTCACATATGTTTCTGGAGGAACTACAGTGTTTTCACTGCTGGTGTCATCTGTGTCAACCCACTGGTGAACATTCATGGGTGCAGCTGTCATGTCATCTATTTTGTAAACAATGTTGGTTGAAGTCTTCTCTGCATGTCTGATGATCCCTACAAGAGTGATTTGTGAAATCTCAGCATTGCCAATTTTGAACACTTCATCAATCAAAGTGGCAGAAAGCAGCTGAGATGTGTGTGGGTTCAATGTGCTGTGCTCTGGCTCTTGATTTCTTTTCTGCCTAAGAAGGTGCCCGCGATCCAAAGCCTACCGGGGACTGCATGTATTCACCGGCTGCCCTATGAGTTGCTGCTATAGCTTTCAAATCCACTGTTCCACATCTAGATTGTGATTCTCTGGGGAAGAGGCCGGGAAGGTTAGGGTCTGGGGAAGTCGCAGAACACCTCAGAATCCGGAGGCTGCCGTACCGCTCTAGCTACTTTTCTCTCCTTTAGTGATTCTTAAGCTGGAATTGAGGTTACACAATATTCACAAGTCACATGCACTTTCTAAGGTTGAAACTTCTCTTTATTTAGTTTGTTTCCTCAGATGTAGATTTCAACAGCTCATGAACTTTGAACTCTCTATGTAAAATCACTTGAAACCAAATTAAAGTCATTAAAAAGATATCAATAATTAAAATTAGAGCACAGACAGCTTATCATTTTAATATCTTCATACAATTATTTTCTTTGTGTATCACTTCCTATTTTATGTATTTAAAATAATTATACTTTTTATGTCCTGCTTTCATTCTCTTATATAGAAATATTTTCTTATTTTAAAAATAACATTGTATCATATGCCTATGTACCACATATTATTTAACCATGGTCCTACTGTAAAACATTTGGATAGCTTCTAATTATTGCTCTTTTAATTAAAATGCTGCCGTGCAAATATTCATATTGCTCCTTTAATTAAAATGCTGCCATGGAAATCTTCATATACCCTGTTTTCCACATATTAGATTAATTTCCCAGAATAGACCCCAGAAAGAAGATTATGGGTTCCAAAGTTGTAAAGCCAGAAGGTCTATATGTGAATTTTACTTTTGGTATTTTAAGCCACATATAATGGGACAAGTTAGTTCACCAGTGAATCTCTGCATCTTTATTTATATAACAGAGAAAATAGTACTTCTCTTAGGTTTGTGAATGATTTTTAGAGAGCTCCCCTGCTGTTCAACTGCTTGAGCCATTGTTTCTTGATATTTTAATATTTCTGATTTTTATTATTTGTAAGTATATGTTTTTTAATCCTTCATATTATTTTGGTTTTCTGATTTTTGTCTCTCAAATATTATTTTTATTTAAAATTATAATGTACATAATATTAGTGGCAGACAGGAAGTATGAATTCTGACTCATATAATACCTGTAGGAGAGTATAGAGACAAACCTAAATAAAGAGAATGGCTTTTTTTTTTTGAGATGGAGTCTCACGCTATTGCCCAGGCTGGAGTGTAATTGCATAATCTCAGCTCACTGCAACCTCCAGCTCCTGGGTTCAAGCGATTCTCCTGCTTCAGCCTCCCAAGTAGCTGGGATTACAGGTGCCTACCACCACGCCTGGCTAATTTTTGTATTTTTAATAGAGACGAGGTTTCACCATGTTGGCCGGGCTGGTCTTAAACTCCTGACCTCAAGTGATCCACCTGCCTCGGCTTCCCAAAGTGCTGGACAGGCGTGAGCCACCGTGCCTGACCAAGGATGGTTCTTCTTAGTAGACACTCTATTTTTCCCAAAGCTGATTCTCCAAGATAATGATTATTTTAACTGTGCAGGTAGTGTATTTGATTTTCTGGTGTGACGATTCTATGATATTCATGTCATGCACAATGCAGTTTCCTTACATGAAGTTATAAAATCTAAAACTCATGAGTTCTGCCATATGCAGCTGTTGATTACTGGGTGAGTTGTGAACTTTCCCCTACTTTTACATTTTCATTCAGTCATATAAAACCATTGAGTAGTTCTTCCTAATATTTTGTCTTTGCTTGTCCAATTTTTCACACTTGTTAAAATTTTTTTTGGAGCCATTTTAGAGTCACAGCAAAATTGAAAGGAAGGTACAGAGATCTCCTGAATCTCCCTGCCCACTACACATGCGCAGCCTCCCATGTTATCAAAATCCTTCACCAGAATAGTACATTTGCTATAATGGATGAATGTACAACAACACATCATCTTATCAACCTTTTTTTTTTTTTTTTACTTATCAAGTTTTAAAAAAAAATTGTCTAATTTTTAGTTTTCCATTTTTTTTATTTCAACAGGTTTTTGGGGAACCAGTGCTGTTTGATTATATAGATAGGTTCTTTAGTGGTGATTTCTGAGATTTTGGTGCACCTATCACCCAAGCAGTGTATACTGCACCCAATGCGAGAACTTTTATCCCTTGCCACCCATTACCATTCCTCCTGAATCCCCAAAGTCTAACATGTCATTCTTATAACTTTGCATCTTCATAGCTTAGTTCGTATATGAGTGAGAACATACAATTTTTGGTTTTCCATTCCTGAGTTACTTCACTTAGAATAATAGTCTCCATTTCCACCCAGGTTGCTGTGAAGCCATTATTTCATTCTTTTTTTTAATATGGCTGAGCAGGATTCCATGGTGTATATACCACATTTTCTTTATCCACTCATTGATTGATGAACATTTGGGCTCGTTCCATATTTTTGCAATCTCAAATTGTGCTGCTATAAACGTGTGTGCAAGTATCTTTTTCGTATAACGACTTCTTTTCCTCTGGGTAGATACCTAGTAGTGGGATAGCTGGATCAAATGGTAGATCTACTTTTAGTCCTTTAAGGAATCTCCACACTGTTTTCCATAGTGGTTGTACTAGTTTACATTCCCACCAACAGTGTAAAAGTGTAACTTTTTCACCACATCCACGCCAACATCTATTATTTTTTGATTTTTTCATTATGGTCATTGTTGCAGGAGTGAGGTGGTATCTCTTTGTGGTTTTGATTTGTATTTCCCTGATCATTAGTGATGTTGAGCATTTTTCCATATGTTTGTTGGCAGTTTGCATATCTTCTTTTGAGAATTGTTTATTCATGTTCTTTGCCCACTTTTTGATGGGATCGTTTATTTTCTTCTTGCTGACTTGAGTTCTCTGTAGATTCTGATATTAGTCCTTTGTTGGATGTATAGACTGTGAAGATTCTCTCCCACTCTGTGGGTTGTCTGTTAACTCTGCTGATTATTTCTATCGCTGTGCAGAAGCTTTTTAGTTTAATTAAGTCCCATCTATTTATCTTTGTTTTTGTTGCATTTGCTTTTGGTTTCTTGGTCATGAAGTATTTGCCTAAGCTGATGTCTAGAAGGGTTTTTCTGAGGTGATAGTCTAGAATCTTTATGGTTTCAGGTCTTAGATTTAAGTCTTTGATCCATCTTGAGTTGATTTTTGTATAAGGTGAGAGATGAGGATCCAGTTTCATTTTCAACATGTGGCTAGCCAATTATCCCAGCACCATTTGTTGAAATGGGTGTCCTTTCCCACTTTATGTTTTTGTTTGATTTGTCAAAGATCAGTTGGCTGTAAGTATTTGGCTTTATTTCTGGGTTCTCTATTCTGTTCCAATGGGCTATGTGCCTATTTTTATATCAGTACCATGCTGTTTTGGTGATGATGGCCTTATAGAATAGTTTGAAGTCAGGCAAATGTGATGCCTCCAGATTTGTTCTTGTTGCTTAGTCTTGCTTTGGCTACATGGGCTCTTTTTCGGTTCCATGTGGATTTTAGGTGTTTTTTTTTTTTTTTTTTTTTTTTCTAATTCAGTGAAGAATGATGGTGGTATTTTGATGGAAATTGCATTGAATTGCTAGATTGCTTTTGGCAGTATGGTCATTTTGACAATATTGATTCTACCCATCCATGAGCATGATGTGTTTCAATTTGTGTTGTCTATGATTTCTTTCAGCAGTGTTTTGTTGTAGAGGTCTTCCACATCGATGGTTAGGTATATTCCTAAGTATTTTATTTTTATTTTTTTCAGCTATTGTAAAAGGCATTGAGCTCTTGATTTGATTCTCAGCTTGGCTGCTGTTGGCATATAGCAGAGCTACTGACTTTTGCATATTAATTTTGTAACCTGAAACTATGATGAATTCATTTATCCGTTCTAGGAGCTTTTTTGTCTTCATGTATACAATCATATCATCAGCAAACAGTGACAGTTTGACTTCCTCCTTACCAATTTGGATGCCCTTTATTTCTTTCTGTTGTCTGATTGCTCTGGGTAGGACTTCCAGTACTATGCTGAATAGAAGTGGTGAGAGTGGGCATCCTTGCCTTGTTCCAGTTCTCAGGGGAAATGGTTTCGAGTTTTCCCCATTTATAATATTGGCTGTGGGTTTGTCATAGACAGGTTTTATTACCTTAAAGTATGTCCCTTGTATGCCAATTTTGTTGAGGATTTTAATCATAAAGAGATGCTGGATTTTGTCAAATGCTTTTTCTGTGTCTATTGAGATGATCATGTGATTTTTAATTCTGCTTATGTGGTGTATCACATTTACTGACTTACGTGTTAAACTATCCCTGTATCCCTGGTATGAAACCCAGTTGATCATGGTGTATTATCTTTTTGACATAAGGATTTTTGCATCTATGATGATCAGGGATATTGATCTGTAGTTTTCTATTTTTGTTATGTCATTTCCTGGTTTTGGTATTAGGATGATACTGGCTTCATTGAAGGATTTAGGGAGGATTCCCTCTTTCTCTGTCTTTTTGAGTAGTGTCAGTAGAATTGGTACCAATTCTTCTTTAAATGTCTGATAGAATTCAGCTGTGAATCCATGTGATCCTCGACTTTTTTTTTGTTGGCAATTTTTAAATAACCATTTTAATCTCGCTGCTCATTATTGGTCTGTTCAGACGTTCTATATTTCTTGGTTTACTCTAGGAGGGTTGCATATTTCCAGGAATTTATCCCTCTCCTCTAGATTTTCTAGTTTATGCATGTAAAGGTGTTCATCATAGCCTTGAATGGTCTTTTGTATTTCTGTGGTATCAGTTGTAATATCTCCTGTTTTGTTTCTAATTGAACTTATTTGGATCTTCTCTCTTCTTTTCTTGTTTAATCATGCTAATGGTCTATCGATTTTACTTATATTTTCAAAGAACCAGCATTTTGTTTCATTTATCTTTTGTATTTTTCTTTTTTTGTTTCAATTTTATTTAGTTCTCCTCTTTGTTATTTCTTTTCTTCTGCTGGATGTGGGTTTGGATTGTTTTTGTTTCTTCAGTTCTCTGAAGTGTGACCTAAGATTGTCTATTTGTGCTCTTTCAGACTTTTTAATCTAGTCATTTAATACTATGAACTTTCTTCTTATCTCTTAGTTTTTTCTGTATCTCAGAGGTTTTGATAGGTTGTGTCACTACTATCATTTAGTTCAAAGAATTTTTAAATTTCCATCTTGATTTCGTTGTTGAGCCAGCAATCATTCAGGAGCAGGTTTTTTGATTTCCATGTATTTGCATGGTTTTGAGGATTCCTTTTTGAACTCATCTCCAATTTTATTCCACTGTGGTCTGAGAGACTAATTGACATAATTTTGATTTTCTTAAATTTACTGAGACTTGTTTTGTGGCCTATCATATAGTCTATCTTGGAGGATGTTCTGTGTGCTGATGAACAGAATGTACATTCTGGAGTTGTTGGGTAGAATGCTCTGTAGATATCTGTTAGGTCCATTTGTTCTAGGTTTTAGTTTAAGTCCATTGTTTCTTTGTTGACTTTCTGTCTTGATGACCTATCTAGCACTGTCAGTGGAGTATTAAAGTATCCCACTGTTATTGTGTTGTCATGTATCTCATTCCTTAGGTCTAGTATTAATTGTTTTATAAACTTGGGAGCTCCAATGTTAGGTGCATATATATTTAGAATTGTGATATTTTCCTGTTGGACTAGTCCTTTTATCATTATATAATATCCCTCTTTGTCTTTTTAAACTGCTGTTGCTTTAAAGTTTGTTTTGTCTGATATAAGAATATCTACTCCTGCTCACTTTTGATATCCATTTGCATTGAATATCTTTTTCCACCTTTTTACCTTAAGTTTATATGAGTCCTCATGTGTTAGGCAAGTCTCCTGAGGACAGCAGAAACTTAGTTGGTGAATTTTTATCTATTCTGCCATTCTGTATATTTTAGGTGGAGCATTTAGGCCATTTACATTCAATGTTATTATTGAGATATGAGGTACTGTTCTATTCATCATGCTATTTGTTGCCTGAATACCTTGTTTTTTGTTTCCATTGTGTTATTGTTTTACAGGTCCTGTGAGATTTATGCTTTGAGGAGGTTCTATTTTGGTGTGTTTTGAAAATTTGTTTCAAGATTTAGAGCTCCTTTTAGCAGTTCTTGTAGCGCTGGCTTGGTAGTGGTGAATTCTCTCAGCATTTGTTTGTCTGGAAGAGACTGTATCTTTCCTTTGTTTATGAAGCTTAGTTTCACTGGATATGAAATTCTTGGGGGATAATTGTTTTGTTTAAGGAGGCTAAAAATAAGACTCCAATTCCTTCTAGCTTGTAAGGTTTCTGCTGATAAATTTGCTGTTGCTCTGATAGGTTTTCCTTCATAGGTTACCTGATGCTTTTGCCTCACAGCTCTTAAAATTTCCTTCGTCTTGACTTTAGATAACATGATGACTATGTGCCTAGGTGATGATCTTTTTGTGATGAATTTCCCAGGTGTTCTTTGAGTTTCTTATATTTGGATGTCTAGAGTTCTAGGAATGCTTGGGAAGTTATCTTTGATTATTCCCTCAAGTATGTTTTCAAAACTTTTAGATTTCTCTTCTTCTTCAGGAACATCAAGTATTCTTAGGTTTATCCATTTAACATAGTCCCAAACTTCTTGAAGGCTTTGTTCTTTTTAAAAATTCCTTTCTGTTTGTCTTTGATGGATTGAGTTAATTCAAAAGCCTTGTCTTTGAGCTCCAGAGTTCTTTCCTCTGCTTTTTGATTCTATTGCTGAGATTTTCCAGTGCATTTTGCATTTTTCTAAGTGTGTCTTTGATTTCCAGAAGTTGTGATTTTTTTAAATTTGTGCTGTGTATTTCACTGAAGAATTTCTCCTTCACATTCTGTATCATGTTTTTGAATACTTTAAGTTGGCCTTCACCTTTCTCTGGTGCCTCCTTGATTGTCTTAGTAATTGACCTTCTGAATTCTTTTTGTGGCAATGCAGAGATTTCATCTTGGTTTGGATCCATTGCTGGTGAGCTGGTATGATCTTTTGGGGGTGTTAAAGAACCTTGTTTTGTCATATTACCAGAATTGTTTTTTCCGGGTCTTTCTCATTTGGGTAGACTATGTTAGAGGGAAGATCTGGGATTAAAGCGTTGCTATTCAGGTTCTTTTGTCCTATGGGGTGCTCCCTTGATGTGGTGTTCTCTCCCTTTCCCTAGCAATAAGGGTTCCTGAGAACTGAACCATAGTTATTGTTTTTGCTCTTCTGGGTCCAGCCACCCAGCAGGGCTACTGGTATTCTGGCTGGCATTGGAGGCTGTCTGCAAAGAGTCCTGTGATGTGAGTCATCTTCAGGTCTTGCAGCCTGGATATCAGCACCTGCTCCAGTGGTGTTAGTTGGGGAGTGAAGTGGACACTGTGAAGGTCCTTGGTTGTGCTTTTGTTTAGTGTGCAGTTTTTGGGTTAGTTGGCCTCCAGCCAAGTGGTGGCACTTTCAAGAGCACACCAGCTGCAGTCCTATAGGGAGGATGCAAACTTGCCCTAAGCACAGCTGTTTAAGTATTCAGGTTTCTCAGGCAGTGGCTGGGGCCTTAGAGTTTTCAAGAAATTAAGACCTTTGTCTTTGGCTACCAGGGTGGATAGAAAAAGACTACCAGGTAGGGGCAGGGATAGCCATTTCTGAGCTCAGCCTCTCTTTGAGTGGGGCTTGCTGTGGCTGCTGTGGAGAATGGGGGTGTGGTTCCCAGTCCAGTGGAGTTATATTCCCAAGGGGATTAGAGCTGCCTCTGCTGAGTCATACAGGTCACCAGGGAAGTAGGGAAAACCCAGCAGTAACAAGCCTCAACCTGCTCTTACACAGCCTGCAGTCCTAAAGGCTGGTCTCACTCCCACCACGCCCCCCTCCAATAGCACTGAGTTTATTTCCGGGCAGCCAGTGATCAAGACTGAGAACTTATCCCAGACTGCATGCCTCCTCGTTGAAAAACCAAGCCGACTCAGTTTTTTAGCATCTCAAGGAGCTTTCAGTGGTGATCCAGTTCCTTCAAAGGGACTGTGGATTCTCTTGGCTTTCCTGGTATGTTCCTTTGGTAGTTCTTGGAGCACAAGTTCACCATGTGAGTTTTCACATGCTGCTCTGTCCATCTGAGCAGGAGCTGCAAGCTAGTTCTGCCACCTATCTGCCATCTTCAGGTTTTTCTTTTTCTTTTTTTTCTTTTTTGCAAGGTCTGATATGGTTTGGATTTATGTCCCCATCCAAATATCATGTCAAATTGTAATCCCCAATTTGGAGGTGAGGCTTAGTAGGAGTTGATCAGATCATGGGGACAGATTTCCCCCTTGCTGTTCTTTTGATAGTGAATAAGTTCTCGGGAGATGTGGTTGCTTAAAAGTCTGTGGCACCTCCCACCTGTCTCTTCCTTCTTCTCTGGCTATGTAAGATGTGCCTGCTTCTCCTTTGCCTTCCTGCCATTATTGTAAGTTTGCTGAGGCCTCCTCAGCCGGACTTCCTGTACAGCTTGTTGAACTGTAAGTCAATTAAACCTTTTTTCTTTATCAATTACCCAGTCTCAGGTAGTTCTTCATAGGATTGCAAGAAGGGACGGTCTCATTTGAGACACGGTCTCATTTTATTTGTCCTGTATTAGTCCTAGGCTGGAGTGCAGTGGCATGATCTGAGCTTACTGCAGCCTGGATCTCCTAGGCTAGAGTGATCCTCCCACCTCAGCCTCCCTAGTAGGTAGGACTACAGGTGTGCGCCAACACACCCAGCTAATTTTTAATTTTTTTTTTTGGTAGCGACATGGTCTCGCTATGTTGCCTAGGCTGGTCTAGGACTCCTGGCCTTAAACGGTCCTACTGCCTTGGCCTCCCAAAGTGTTGGGATTGCAGGTGTGAGCTATCATGCCTGGCCTGCTTGTTAGGTTTTAAAAATACAACTCTTAGCACTTGTATTCTGTTACTTCTATACCTTTAATTGTACTCAGTGATCACTGCTAACTCAATGTTGTACTCCCTGCATTTAGTAGACACCACTCTATTTTCTGCTTTTATTAAATGTAGAAGAAAAATCTTTTTGATTTTTGCATCTTTGAGAGTAATTTTGTCTTTCTACTAATTGGTTTTATTAATAATCAAATTTTGTCTTTCTATTAATCAGTTTTATTTTTAATGAAAATGCATATTGAAATTTGATATTTTACCAGGTCTTGAGTTCTAAAAACTTGTTAATTCAACTATCCATTCGAAGGTATTTTTTGACTCAGTGTTATTTACCAAACACTGTGCCTAGGGCCAACTGAGAATCAATGGTGAGTCAAAATAGATGAAGTCCCTGCCCTCTTGGAGTTACAGTCTACTTAGGGCACGATCTGTTGAATAAATGATCACACCCACAAATGTAAAACTCGGGTTTTGATCAGAGGTTTATGGGAAGCTATATATTGATACAGATCTAACTTGAGGGATAGGACTCCGTGGGCAGGGGCTGGTCAGGGAAGTCTTCACTAAGGCAGAGACAGTTACATTGAAGGCTGAGAGATGATTGGGAGTTCAGCAGGCAAAGGGAGAGGGAAGGCAGAGGCATCCTGTGTGCAGTCTGGAAAGAGGGGGATGTGGGGCTGAAGAAAGTACAGTTAGGCAGATGTGGAGGGTGATCCGTGTGTGGTGCACTTGATGCTGGAGTCATAGATGGAGCCAGATCTTGTAGTTGGCCATGTTAAGGAGCTAGGATTAGTAAAAACCAAAAATGTCCTATGTGCAAGTGTAACACATGGAATGCTTTTAAGCAGGATGAGGCTGGGAGTGTGCCTGTGGCACAATTAGGTTTGTGTTTTGAAAAGATACACACAGCGGTATCAAGTTAGTTTTTGTTTTAAACTACATAAATTAGATCCTTCTTTTGTTAAAAACTTCCTTTTGTTAAAAAGGCTTCCTTTTGCACTTAGAATAAATTCCAAACTTCTCACCATGGCTTCAAGGCTCTACCTGATATAGTCTCTATACTTCTGCATCTCACTTTGTCCACTGCCTTCTAGCAAAATGGGCCTCAAACGTTCAATCACATTCTCAATTTAGAGTTTTTGAGCTTTTGGTGCCCAGTGACTGAAAGCTCTTTTCACAGTTCTCCAAATGGCTATCTCCTTCTTTTCAGATAGGTTTCAGCTTAACCAAGAAGCCTCCTTGGCCACTTCTTTAAAGAAACCACCCCTCCCTTAGTCACTCTCTCTCACATCATTTTAATTTTTAATATAATTATTATTACAACTATCACATGTGAAATTATCCTAATTTATTCATGATTGCTTTATGGTAGCAGATGGAGGCACTCAATAATTTGTCTTACTGAATAAACAGTTGAAATATAAAGGGCAGATTGGAAACGGGTTAGTGTGGATACATCAAGAGCTTTTAGGAGATGTTGCTGGAGTCTTGGTCAGAAATGAGCGTAGCTTAAACTAGGGGCATGGTGGAAGATATAGGGATGTGTATGGATGAATAAATATTTAGAAGATAAAATCAATAGTCTTTGGTGATGGATTAATTATGGGAGTGACAAAGATGGGGCTGTTAAGATTTTAATATTTCTTGAAACATTGGAATTTCTCTATCTTAAATGTCAGAATTTTTTCCTTGTTGCTTTGTTTTTGGAGTTTTGTTCACTTTTTTTCTGTTATTCCTTTTGTTCCATATATTCTATCTTCTTCGCAGATACCTATTATGTATGAGCCAAATCTATTCTGTCTTTCACGTCTACCATTTTCTCTCACATCTTAAAAATAAAATTTTCTTATTGATTTACTTTGCATTCTACAATTATTTCTCAAGTTTGTACTCTGAAGCATTGGTTTAAATAGTTAATACTATCAAGTTTACATCTTATTGCTTCCAATGAATATTTTAGTCACTTTGATTTTGATTTTATTGTATTCTCTTCCTATTCTGAATTGTTCTTTAAATATAAAAGAACTATTCTCGTTTATCTCATTGAGGTTAGAACTATATATTTAAAATTTTTCTTCTGATTTACAAGAAAATCTTTTCTAGGAAAAGGAATTCATACTAAAGCTAATCATTCATTTCCTTCTTTCTAAGGTTTTTCTTCTATATGTTTTTCTCTTTCAAAGATTTTCCTTCAGTCTCATCACCTTTGTGTCTTATCTGACTGATCTTCAACTGTTCTAAAAATGAGTTTAAGGATTATTTGAATGGTGAGACATCCATTTCTAGACTTTATCTCCCAGACCAGTAGTCTATGCTGTGCAGGGAGATGCCAGATTATTGGTTGTTGGTATAAGCCTCTACTCGTATTTTCAAACAACCCAAAGAAATCTAACCAGGTTTGGGCTGAAAACCACAGCTTCATATGTATGAGTGAAGTTGTTTTGTTGAAGAAAAGATAAAGGGCCAGAGGCTATTTCATTGCTTGCTTGAACCTAGAAAATGGGATTTTGAGGCTGGGTCACTGCACAAAGATGAAAGGAAAGAAAAACCTAGAAAACACTCTGATAACTTTGTTTTATACCACTCACTGTGATTGCAGTGAGGACTGTCTTTTCTGATGGTTTCATGGGTGCTTTAAGGGGGAATTAAGGAAAGTTGGTTTTACATGCTTTCGTTCAATTTACTGTCATTTCTAACACAAAAGTTGCAACTAATTTAAATTGAGGGTTAGAGGACAGATATTTCACTGATAGCATAGTTTCACTACTAATTCCTTACCTTCAGATATATTTTGGAATATCATGACCTTTTTCCTGTTAGTGGTTAGATTGCTTTTTACATTCTTCCTGTCTTATACAGCATCTAAGATCAGGCATGTCCTTCTACTAAGAGTTTCAAAATCCTATATGTGGGGAGCACATTTTCCATGAAAGTTGAATTTGTTTTGATTGGCAAAGTCCCTGCTTGCGTCAATTTAGTTCATCTCCAGTTTCCCAAACTCTTGAATTTAGTACTAGATATAGTTATTAAATTGGCTATTCACAATCAATACTTTGAGATATGCTGGCAGTCAGTATTATTAAATTGCATGCATATTAGTTACTTTGTGCCCAGAGGTAATTTTACCATAAAGGATGCAATTTAATGAGTTACATAAAATAAATAAATGATGCTTAGTTAAACTTTTGAATATTTATGAGGCAGTTCAACAGTGATTAGATGATATGAGGTGAGAAAGTTTAAAATGCAGAAGAAACATAATAATGGATATTAGTTACTGAATAAATTTGTATTTATTTTTCCTAGAAGCTGTTATTGCTGCATAAAGAAAATATACTGAAGATTAGCTATAAATATAATTAAATATTTTCCTAACACATGTAGTTCAGTGTATGTCTTTTACAAATATTAGTTGCCTTCTTCATATTCTTTATTGAAACATTTTGAAAGAGAGAATATTGAATAGAAAAAATTCTAAGAGCATTTAATTATAACTGATGTACTTGAATATGTTTTGTGAGATGACCTGTAAATTGAGAAAAGAAATTTTATTTGAGGAACGCAAGTCCTTTTGATTATTATAGCCAGAGAAACATTAAAATGAGACTGCAACCATGCCCCACTTCCCCTTTGAGCAATGTATTTATCTTTTGAAACTGCTTGCTATTGCTACAAGTAGCTACTAATTAATAATGCCACATCAGACACTATAACCCTATAGCTTCACAATGTATAGCCATTCACTAATCAATGCTATTTCTGTAAATAAATGAGAATTCCTGAGAAAGGACTTTGTATCAGCCCACTCCCTTCCCACCGCTGCCCTTTCTTTGCCTTTAAAAATCTATTTGTTACTGCTACTAATCAGAGTGTATATTCAGGGCAACTTGAATCTATACTCCTGGGTTGCAGTCCTCAAACTTGGCCCAAATGAACACTTTATCTATATTCGTTTTCCTAAGCTTCTTCCTTTTAGGTTGACATATTACAATATTGTTTAATATATCTTAATTTAATGAAAGAACAAAAGTTTTGATCTGAAATACTTTCAGGTAGAAGAATATTAATCTTTAAAATTTACTAACTAGTTAATGATATTATATGACATAGTCTGTATGAGATGCTGGGAAGAGAGAATTTTGGAGATGTATAGCCTTAATATATATACTGGAAAAAAATAAAAGCCAAAAGTCAGTGAATATCCATCTTAAGATGTTCAAAATAGAGCAATAAATTTTAAACCTAAATAAAGTAGAAAGAAGGATATAAAAATGACAGGAACAACAAAATGAATTGGAAAAAGAAACATTAAGAAAATGAATAAAGACAAAGTTAATGCTTTGAAAAGATCACATATTTTGTAAATCTCTTTTAATCAAGAGTGATGAAAAGAAGGGGGGGGGAGGAGGACATATAAATACTGACAGAAAGAAAATATCCCACAGATCTTACAGATATTAAGAAAATGATGGAAATGTGGATGAGTGAAATGATTATACAAACCCCGACCCAAATGAGAATTTTAAAATCATGGCAAGCATCCAAAAGCAGACAGAAGCTAGAGGAGAGTTTACTCTTGAAAGTCTGAAACTGCAACAGTAAGAATTGTGAGTTTGTGGCTTATTTTGTTTGTGAATGTTCTTCAATCCCTCTGGCAATGGTGGCAAAAGATTGCAGCTTGATCAGTTGGAGTAGCAAAGGAAGTTAATCAGAAAGAGCCGTTGAAAACACAAAATAGAAATTCAAGAAGCGAGAAAGGATAAGAGCCACAATCTGAGTATAAAGCCTGTTAAATCCTTGGCTGAATGATAAACTATGCTTGCTCAGAGATAAACATTGGAGAACCTAGTAATGTAGGCAGAGACCAAGAGAAACATTGAAGACAGAGTTACATTAGGTATGCTTTTTTAGTTCGCAGCTTTTTACACTGAGGACATTTTCTAACCTGCATGTTCTCAGGAAGCAGAGAGGTGGCAATTTTTAAAAAGCATATACTTTAGAGATTTTTAATGAGATATGTTCTGTGAAACAATATAATGGCTGACAGTTGCTTCAAAATAATATAGGAGATTGACTAAGTGGCATTATACACAAAACAGATTATTCATTGATTCATAATAGATTAAGGTAAGTGCTAAGTTTATAGAAATTCACTATACTCTTCTGTATATTATATATCAGATATTTTTAAAAATTTTCATAACACAAAGTTAAATCTAAATTAAATACAGGATAAGTTAAAATGGCACCAAATAGTAAAACAGAGAAAAATCTAAGAAAAGACTATCAAGACCTGTATACTGACAAAGCTCAAAGAAGGCTTAAAAAAAAGTGGAATATACCATGATTATGAATTAGGAGACTCAATATGGTAAAATAGATAATTCTCCTGAAATTGCTTTATATAGTGTTATTCATAACAGACCCAACTGGAAACAACCTTAATGTATGTCAATGGTAGAATGATAAATTACTTGTGGGGTACTCTTACGATGTAGTTTAGAAGACAGCATTACGAGGCCGGGCGCAGTGGCTCATGCCTGTAATCCCAGCACTTTGGGAGGCCAAGACGGCCGGATCATGAGGTCAGGAGATCGAGACCATCCTGGCTAACATGGTGAAACCATGTCTCTACTAAAAATACAAAAAATTAGCCGGGCGTAGTGGCGGGCGCCTGTAGTCCCAGCTATTCGGGAGGCTGAGGCAGGAAAATGGCGTGAACCCAGGAGGCGGAGCTTGCAGTGAGCTGAGATCGCGCCACTGCACTCCAGCCTGGGCGACAGAGCGAGACTCCGTCTAAAAAAAAAAAAAGACGGCATTACCTACAGTTGCATGTAACAATATGGGTGACTCTTACCAACATAGTGTTGAGTGAAAAATAACAAGACATAAAAAGCTCCAGATGATTTCAAAAACTGGTAAAAACCAACTAGTGTTGTTAGAAGTCAGGATAGTGAAAGAGAAGGGAATACTGTCGGACTCATTTTACAAGCACAGCATCACCCTGATACCAAAGCCAGGCAAGGACACACACACACAAAAATATCTATATGCCAATATCCCTGATTAATATACATGCAAAAACCCTCAAGAAAATACTAGCAAGGCAAATTCAACAGCACATTTAAATAATCATTCATTATTATCAAGTGTGGGGATGTAAGGATGGTTTAATATTTGCAAATCAATAAATGTAATACATCATCTCACTGGAATGAAAGACAAAAACCATATGATCATTTCAGTAAATGCAAAAAAGCATTTGACAAATTCAACATTTTTTCATGGTAAAAATTCTCAACAAATTAGGTATAGAAGAAAAGTACCTCAACACAATAAAGGCCGTAAATAACAAACACACAACTAACATCATTCTAAACAGGGAAAAGCCGAAGGCTTTTCCTTTAAGGTCTGGAAAAAGACAAGGATGCATACTCTTGCCACTTCTCTTCAATATAGTACTGGAAGTCCTAGCCAGAGCAAATACACAAGGGAAAGAAAAAGCTTTAGAATTGAAAAGGATGAAGTTAATTGTCCCTGTTTGCAGGTGACATAATCTAACATATAGGAAACCCTGATGACTTTGCCAAAAAACTCTTAGGAATGATAAGCAAATTCATGAAAATTACAAGATAAAAAAATCAACATACAAAATTTAGTAGTGTTTTTATACACCAGTAGTGAACTACCTGAAAAAGAAATCAGGAAACCAATCCTATTTAAAATAGCTACCAAAAAAAAAAAAAAATACTTAGGAATAAGTTAAGCAAGAAGGTGAAGGATTTCTAAATTAAACACTATAAAACATTGATTAAAAAAATCAAAGAAGACATAAATAAATGGAAAAAAATCCTATGTTCATGGACTGGAAAAATTAATGTTAAAATGTCCATAGTATCTAAAAGGACCTATAGAGTCATTGTACTATCAAAATTCTAATGACATTTTTTACAGAAATAGAAAACACAATCATAAAATTCATAGAGAACTACAAAAGTCCCCAAATAGCCAAAGCAATCTTGAGCAAAAAGAATAAAATTGGAGGTATCAAACTACCCGACTTCAAAATTTACTGCAAAGCTATAGTAACAAAAACAGCATGCTATTGGTATAAAAACAGATACATAGATCAATGAAACAGAATAAAACACCGGGAAATTAATCCACATATTTATGATCAATTGATTTTTGACAAAGGTGCCAAGAACACACAATGGGGAAAGGATAGTCTCTTTAATAAATGGTTCTGCAAAAACTGGATATCCACATGCAGAAGACTGAAATTAGACCTTCAGCTTCCACCATGTAAAAAAATCAATGCAAACTGTATGAAAGATGTAAACATAAGATATAAAACTGTAAAACTACTAGAAGAAAATGTAGAGAAAAGCTCTATGACCTTGGTCTGGGCAATGAGTTTTTGGATATGACCCAAAAAAAACCACAGGCAACAAAAGCAAAAACAAACAAACAAAAAAACCAAATGGGATTACATCAAACTACAAAGTTTTTGCACAGCAAAAGCCACAATCAACAGAGTGAAAAAAAATCCTACAGAATGGGCAAAAATATCTGCAAACTCTACATTTGATAAGGGATTAACATTCAAAATATATATGCAACTCAACTCAATAGCAAGAAAACAAATTAACCGATTAAAAAATGGGCAAAGGACTTGAATGGACATTTCTTAAAAGTAGAGATACAAATGGCCAACAGGTATATGGAAAAATGCTCAATCTCACTAATCATCAGGGAAATGAAAAGGAAAACCACAATGAGATATCACTGCATACACATTAGAATAACTTTTATCAAAAAGTCAAAAGATAACAAATAGAGAAAAGGGAACCCTTGCACTCCATTGATAGGAATGTAAATTGGTACCACCATTATTGAAAACAGTATGGAGGCTCCCCCCAAAATTAAAAATGGAACTACTATATAATCTGGCAATCTCACTACTTGGTATATATTCGAATAAAATGAAATCAGTATGTCAAAAAGACATCTGCACTCTCATGTTCATTGCAACACTATTCACGATAGCCAACATATGGAATCATATCTTGTCCATCAACAGATGAACAGATAAAGAAAATGTGTTATATAGACACAGCGAAATTCTATTCACCATTCAACTATAAAAAAGAAAGAAATCCTGCCATTTGCAACAACATAAATGAATCTGGAGACCATTATGTTAAGTGAAATAAGCCAGGCACAGAAAGACAAATACCACATGGTCTTACCCATATGTGGACTCTAAGAAAGTTGATCTCATAAAAGTGGAGAGCAAAATGGTGTTTATCAGGGTGAGAATGATTGGGAGGGCTGGGACTAGGGAGCAGTTGGTCAAAGAATACAAAATTTCAGGTAAGATCAATAAGCTCAACATTGTGACTCTAATTAATATATTGCATTCTCTAAAAATGCTGAGAGTGGATTTTCTCACCTAAAAATGATAACTATGTGCAATAATGCATATGCTAATTAGCTAGATTTAGTCATTGTATGATGTATATATACTTCAAAGCATGTACATGATAAATCCATATAATTTCATCTGTCAGAAAAAAGGGAAGTCAGCTGGGCACAGTGGCTCATGCCTGTAATCCCAGCACTTTCAGAGGCTGAGGCAGGTGGATCACCTGAGGTCAGGAGTTCAAGACCAGCCTGGGCAACATGGTGAAACCCGATCCCTACTAAAAATACAAAAATCACCTGGGCACAGTGGTGCGTGCCTGTAATCCCAGCTACTTGGGAGGCTGAGGCAGGAGAATTGCTTGAGCCCAGGAGGCGGAGGTTGCAGTGAGCTGAGATTGCGCCATGGCACTCCAGCCTGGGCAATAGAGCGAGACTCCATCTCAAAAAAAAAAAAAAAAAGAAAAGAAAAAGAAAACAGAAGTCAGGATAGTGTTTTTTTGGGGGTAAGAATAAGGATAATGACTATAGGAGACCCAAACTGGGTCTCTGGGGTTTAGTAATGTTCTGCTTCATGGACTGGATTATGGTTAGACAAGTGTATTTACTTCATAGTAATTCATTCAGCTATTACTATATGTTTATGATTTGTACACTTGTCTGTATGCAGATTTAAAGAAAAAAGCCTTGCCCTTTGGAAAATAAAGTCTCGGCTATTTAGTAATTGGCATTTAGTCAATTAGCAATTAGAATTCTTACAATGCTAAATATAGATTTTGTAAACCTTTTTCTTTTTGTGTTTAAACACTTTATACAATTTCTTCATTTCCTAGTTTATTAAGCAAGCCCATGTCTGTATGTATCTGTGCAACACTCATAGATTTAGTACTCCTCTATCACAAGTACATTGTCAGGTGCTTAAGGTATAAACCCAGCCCTCAAGAGGAAGAAGATTTTTTCACAATTTAGAAATTTTTAAATGGGCTGTTCTCAGAAAATTTCACCAAAAATGTTCAAATATTTGTAAAATAAAATAATTTTTGCACTTTTCTGTGTGCAGATTTGTTAAAAAGCTTTGCCCTTTGGAAAATAATGTCTCAGCACTTTACTAATTGGCAATTAGTCAATTAGTAATTGACAATGTCAATTATAAATAAATTGCTCTCTACATTTGTGATTTCATATTTTTGCGTGGATGCTCTGCTTGTGCAAATGTGCATTATATAATACAGTGAAACTGAGGATGGACATTTGATGAACTCATGGATGGCTGGGTTTAGGGATGAGAAACCCCTGTTTAGAGGTGGTGCAATAAATTCACATTCATGTTGAAGAGTGAAAAAAATGAGACTTTTTTTTTTTTTTTTTTTTTTCTGAGACAGAGTCTCGCTCTATTGCCCAGGCTGGAGTGCAGTGGCGCGATCTCGGCTCACTGCAAGTTCGGCCTCCCGGGTTCACGCCATTCTCCTGCCTCAGCCTACCGAGTAGCTGGGACTACAGGCGCCCACCACCGCGCCCGGCTAATTTTTTGTATTTTTAGTAGAGACGGGGTTTCACTGTGTTAGCCAGGATGCTCTCGATCTCCTGACCTCATGATCCGCCCATCTGGGCCTCCCAAAGTGTTGGGATTACAGGCTTCAGCCATCGCGCCCAGCCGAGAAATACTTCTAAATATGATAAAACATATCATCAATACTTTTTTGGTTCCATTTGTGTTTCAACAATATGTTCAGGAAAATATCCTAAGAGTCTTAAAATGGTTTGTGTCAAAATTTCAGTAGAAAAGAAAATTTTAAAGTTGTTTTAGTTACAGAATTTCAACCATGAAGCCATGCATCTAGAATCAAATGAAACAAAAACACAGTAAAGTGAGTAACTATTTTTGATAAAAATTATAGAGTTGTGTTTCAATAGGACAAGAAAAGAACAGGTTAAACAATTGAAATATTACTTCAATTTGCTTTTGATTTGATGATTTTCAGAAAACGTAATTTTTAGTTGGCCTCAGAGTCTATGAAAATAAGCCAAGAAAGAAATCTAATGATAGTGACATAAAAGCTCTTTGATTTAAATGAGAGTCCTCAGAATTTCAGAAAAGAAAGGATAAAATTGGCATTTTATTTTTTCTTATTGTTTAGTTTCTTATATTCTTACTTTAATGTAGTATTAATAAAAAGCCAAAGAGGCTCTGTAAAATGGCGGCTACCCACACAGCATATGGAAAATAAAACAACCTTTGTTAGCTTTCTGGTAACTAGCTTCATTTTAGCTTCTTTTTCCCCTTTTACTTGTATCTTAAAGTCCATCTTCACACATATACATTTCCTCCCCCCCATACAAAGTAAATACAATCTGCCCAGCATGAGTTATTGTCAGAGAACAGGGAGGCCCATTTATTTTGTCTCCTTCTCTAATGATTAGAGTCAGATCATAAAATAAAGAACAACAGCCTTGTCGCTTCTCCCCTGAAGGAATCCCCACCACGACATCTTTTATAGAGCAAAACACAATTGCTGTCCTTTCAGTGCAATCAATAAGTGGAAATGGCTTTAGTGACATGTCTAAAATGAACTTCTGAGTTGCATATCCTCTGGAAGGTTTAAAA
The DNA here is from genome assembly GCF_000001405.40 of Homo sapiens. NCBI lineage: Eukaryota > Metazoa > Chordata > Mammalia > Primates > Hominidae > Homo > Homo sapiens. The sequence goes on along the minus strand of NC_000011.10, from coordinate 100,317,010 downwards.
TGAACACATGTGAACCTTGCACGTAGCCCAAACAAAGAAGTTGCTAGAGGTGCCTTTTAGTGAGTATTGTAAAATGGGACAAGCTGTTTTGTCTTTTGTTTTTTCTTGATAATAAGCACTAAAATGTTCAGAACTGAAACCAGGACAGTGTGCACTTAAACTCCTGCTACAAAATACATTGTTGCTTATTGTTAAAATGAGTCCAGCTATTAAAAAGATAAAAATACAGTTAATAATTATCTTACAAGAAGGGATGAATGAATACAAGCACCATAAACTTGGCAATCATGGAAGACTTTGTTCCACAGGCAGAATATGAAATATGAATGTTTTAAAAATTACCTCTAGTGAAAAAAGTTTCATTTTTATTTTATTCAGTTAATATAACTATTTTATTGTTGACTTATTTAGAAAATAAAGGAAAATTTCAGGACAGAAGCATATTCTCATGAAAACAGAGAAGCTTACACCCATGTAAGGCATTGGCACAGATTTATTCACACTGTTTCTTCAGAGGATCAGGATGCTAAGAAATCCTGGGGTAATTATAGACACGAGAATTATATTGTTCCAACGTATTTCTTTTTTGTTTACTTCAACTTCCCATAAACCTCCCTCAATATTAGACTGTGAGCTTTTTGAGGGTAAGGACTAGATCTTATTTATATGTACATTCCCATTGCCCAGCATAGTGCCCGATACTGAATAAATGCTTGATGAGTGAAGGAGTGAAAAAAATGAATCATCCAACATTCCATTATCACAATTTACTTTGTCTGTTTTGCTGATCTGGGAAAATCACAGAAATGATTATGAAATTTGGCCTTATCCTTTACCCTCCCTTCTTGCCAGACTGGCATCTTCTCTGAATTTGTATGCACATAAAAATCCTTTTATGTTCTGAAAAGCTTGAGGGACTCTGCTCTAGGATTCAGAGATTACCATACACAGGACACTTAATGCTGGTGGGTTCATAAATTCAAAACTGAACCTAATAATTTACTTGTATGGGCTAGTGACAGAGATGGCAATCCAGATGGGACAGTCATGGTTATTCATGAATCAAAGTTGTTCAGTAAATACAGCCCACTTTCAATTTTCAATCATGCTGCATATCATAAGCTAGACATTTCACATATCTCAGTGTCAGTGCTTTCTACATTTAGTCCCTGCTACCATAAAATTTCAAGCTAATGCCATGTAGGTAACCAAAATTTACAAATGGGTGGTTCTAAGCGGATGTTGACAAAATTTCTCAAATATTTGAAAGATACAAATAGATGGATTAATGTCTACATTTGGAATTTCATATTTTTTTTTCTTATTTCTTCAGATGGTCATTTTTGTGAGGTACTGCCATTCTTTCAGGAGGCAGCTGGTTGAAAGGAAAAGACCACCATTTTTCTTTGTACAGTAGAGTTCTCATGTAGCCTAATTGTTACCTTTTAAAATGTCTAAAGATGGATCCACTCAGAAACAGAAAGGGATAAAATTGCTAAATTGTCCTCAAGCCCCTTACCATTGATCACTTTGTCTGGCTGTCATCATTCTGACCTTGTCTTTTGCAAAACTATTCTTAGCATCTTAATTGCCATGACCATTCTATTAGATAAAGCAATTCATCAATTTAATAACAAAAATCAATCACTATTTGATTTGAATTGTTTCATGTACTTGAAAGTGTTGGGTTAGTTAAAAATGAAAAGTTTAAGTCAAAATGCTTGGTTTATTATTTCTTAAACCAATTAAGATGTAATGGAAGCTTCCTTGCGAAAGGCCAAAATGCCAAGTGTAAGTAGATTACTGACAAATGCTACCAGGGGAAGCCTCTGACTGAGATCCTTACTGCTGTTCTGCAGGACTGCATCAGGGAAAAGATTATCAAAACCAAGTTATCAGCAAAAGGAGCTACCAGAAGTTAGGATCAAGACCCTAGTTGAGGATTGAAGCAAAATACAAAAATTCAAGAAAGCAGAAATAGTCTCCCTTGCTAGACTGCAAACTTCATAAGGTCAGGAACTCAGTTGTATTTATTGTTTCAGCCTGAATATTGCATCAAAACATAGCAGGTATTTAATAAATACTAGTTAAATAAATAATAAATGAGATTCAAATGAAACATACAGAAAGCCAGGTCAGGGAAATGTGAGATGAAATTTGACTGCCAACTTAGGGTCAGAATCAGAGTCAGGCTGCAGCCAAATCAGGAGAACCTGCAGTCAGAAGTGGGAAGGGAGAGCCTAATGATAGCAACTTGCAGGAGGGAGATCAGGTAAGGCTGTTAGAGATTTAAGGCCTTTACTGCCCTTAATGATGCCGTCTTCTCTCCAAATGACTCTTGCTCAAGTGTAGCTTCCCTCAATTAGTAGAGAAGAAAATACAAAGATTTCAGAGACAAGTGAATCACAAATAGGTTCCAGTTTGATTATTTATTAAGGAAAATGCATTGAGGTGTTACTAGTTAACACCACGCTATGTATTCCAGGGATACAGTCATCAATTTCAAAGTGGAACATGGGTATGGACTTGACAGAAAACATATTCTAGAAGGAAATAAATCTGTGTACATGACTTCAGAAATGATATCTTGTTTCTAATTTACCTGCTCTATAATACCTGGTACATCAAGGGAAACACCATGTTAAAGTCTCAATTTGACTTCTTTTCACTCTTTTTGAGGCTAAAAGAGTTTTCTGCAGTGGCTAATTATACTCACATTATAATATGTGGTGCAAAAATATATTCAGATGTTGAATTTTGCTCTTAACCATTTCTGATACCAACACTGGAGAGCTGTGATTCTCAACACAAGAATGAATACCAAAACCTGTTGGTGTCCTGACAAAATACAGGAAATTCCACATCAAGTAAGGTGCTGATGGGCTGAGAGCTCTGAAATGACGTTCCCTTGCCCTCAAACTATTTCCACCAACCATTCTTTAGAAGCAGTGGCATTATTAAGGTTACTAAATGTCTACAACTTGAAGTTACTAATTGACAACATAAGGGATATTGATTATTTATTTGATTGTGGAAGTTATCACCAATAACCTGTAAACCAAACAGGCACTTTTCCCTCTTTATCTCACTTGATCTCTTGGCAGCATTAAGCATAGTTGACCAGTTCCCTCTTTTTGGTCAACTCCTTTAACTTTTTTTATTCATACGTGGTATTCCTGCTACAAAACTGATTTATTCTTGCCAGCCTCCTTGCTGATTCTTCCTCTTCAGCTCAACTTCTAAATGCTGAGTGTGCCAGGACACAGCAGGACCCTCCTCATTCCCCTCTGCTCTTGTTCTCTCCTCTTCTCTTGAAATTTTGTCCTCAGATGCTTTCCTATGGTAGCATGGATTTAAATACCACTTCTATAATGGCCATCTCTATGTTTTCAGCCCTGTTCTCTCAATTTGACTCCAAACTGGCATGTTCTACTGCCTATCTGACTTACCCTCTTAGATGCCTCTAATAGGCATCAAAAATTCAATGTGATTAAATAGAACTCTTGATTTCCTAGCTTCAAATCTGTTCTTTGTTCAGTTTCCTTCATTTTTTTTTTTTTTTGTAAATGGCACAATTTACCTATGTGTCCAAGCCAGATATGCAGGAATCATCATTTCTCTTTCCTCCACATCAGATCAATCAGCAAATCCTGCCAGCCCTGCCTCTAAAATACATCTGCTTCTCTCCCACTCCACTGCTTTGGCTGAAGTCTAGGTCACCATCATTTCTTGCTTGGATTATTGTGATAACTCTTAACTTCAATTCTCTGACCTTTCTTTCCTCTCCCTTTCATTCTTCATATAAGAGCAGCCAGAGTGATTAAAAAAAAGAAAAACATAAATCGGACATTGTGACTTCCCTCCTTAAATTGTCTCAATGGCTTTCTACTGCACTTCAAATAAAAGACAAACTTTTTTTCATAACCCATATATCTATACATATCTTGTCTCTACCCAACCCTCAAACTATTTTAATTTCCCAGTGCTTCACTTTCTTTCTGTTCTCACAGGAACCAGGTTTGCTATACCTTTGACCCTCTATGTGTATTGTTATCAGAGTTTATCTTATTACTTATGTGTTTCCTTGATTTTTAAAAAAAATGTTTTCCCCCATTAGGATGTAACATTCATAAGATCAGAACCTTATCTATCTTATTGATGTTCTGATTCAGGAAAAATAAGAGGGGCAGCTGAAAACACTGTCTTCTCTAGTTTCAAAGTGGTTCATAGTTAATGCTTTTGTAGTAGCTTGCTGTTTTAGATTTTGCATGTGAAGTTAAAATTATGGCTAGAAAAGTGACTCATAGGACTGATATTATAAGTACATAAAATGTGAAATTGATCATTTTGGTTTTGATGACAAATGCCCTTGTTTCAATATTTGTTTTATTGTCACCATGCTCTGAATTCGACCATCAGTAAATATAGGTAGAATTGTGGTAGGGATAGAGTGAAAAAGAGGGATAAAAGTAAACAAAATTGTTAAGCTTTATGGGTTCATTATATTTTAGTAATAATTAGGGAAATCTTTTACTAAGTGACATTTTTGATAGAGAAAAATAAGTGGGGAGAAGAGGAGAGCAGTAAGTTCCAGATGTGTTTGGTGAAGGACAGAGGCAGAACTCTCTTTCGAGGGAAAAAGAATACAGAAAAGAGAGGAAAAGAGAGATCCTGATAGCTTCACCTATATCATATTTAGTGTTAAATCTACATGCAGCTATTCAGTTATGAAACAGTATAAATCAAAAATAGTCTTCACTGAATATACTTAAAATAACAGTTAATGTCATGTTTAGCCAAAGTTTTCATTATGTTCTGTTTATAAAAAGTAAAGAATTTCACAATTAATGAGATGTTGATTTTTATTTTCTGGTAACAAGATGCCATATTTTGAAACTACAATTTATAATGCGCTATGAAATAGAATAGTTACTATGTCCATGAATTCTGTCCCGGTTTGTTTGTATAAAGTCATTGTCAGAATTTTCGTTGATTTATTTTAATTCAAAAATGTCATTGTGATGATTATTTCAGAATTTGATTCATCCTTGTTAACTTTCTGTTTTCAAATATATTCCATTTTTGCTTGCAATAAGTTATTTTGAATGAAGCTGATCTAGTGAAAACATTGTGCTCTGATGGTCTTGACTGTCACTCTTGAGTAATCTTGATCTTAACCTCCAGTTAAGCCTTCATTATCAGCATTCCATAAAATCTCTCTCATCAAGGTTACTTATGGTCTCCACATTGCTGAATCCATCTGGCAATCTCAGGTCTCATCTTTCTGAATTCCCCAGCAGCATTTGACAGCATGGAACATTCTCTCCATTTTGAAATTCTTCTCTTGGCTTCTGAATTTCTTCAGTGTCTCCTCCTTAGTTTCTTCAGCCAGACCCTCTCCTCTCCTTTATTGAGTTCCAAATTGTGGGCCACCCCAGAGCTCAATTCTCAGGCACCTTCTTTACCAAATATTCAGTGATCTTAGCTGGTATATGCATACAAACTATTTATAACCTTATGATTTCCCATAGTTATAGTTCCATCCCCAGTCTTCCTCTTAACTTAAGACCTGCTTGAGAACTCTTTTTAGAAATAAAAAAAGTTCCTAAAATTTAAAACACCCGAAACAGAATCCTTGATTTTCACTCTAAAACCCACTCTTCTTTGTGAGTTCCTCATCTCTGTGAATGACAATGCCATTTACCTAGTTTCTTGGGTCAAATATCTCTGCAATTATCTTTGTCTCATCTTTTTCATAGCCTACATGTAATTTATTGTCAAATTCTGTCTCACCTCAATTCAAAATATATTTTAAAAGGTCCACTTCTTATCAACTCCACTGCTACCACTCTAGTTGAAAGCAACCTCATTGTCACTGAGGTTGGAACAGCTGCCCCTCTGCTCTTCTGTCTGAGGCCCTCCCCAGGGTCTATTATCTACCTTCCAGATTGAGAGAGGCTTTAAATATGTCAGATCTTGACTTGTCCCTCCCAGTTTGAAATACTTTATGACTTCTTATACTTTGGATGAAATCTGAACTTCTTTCTATGGTTCCTAAGGCCCCAGAAACCTGTTCCTTGTCCTGCTAATCTCTTCATCATCATCCTGCTCCCACTCTCCCTGTGCTCCCTACTCTCACCAAAATCATTCACTTCCTATTCTTTGAAGAAGTCCAGCACGCTAGTACTTCAGAGCTCCTGGGCTTGCCGTTCTCTCTGCCGTCTCTCATTACATCATGTCTCTACTCACATGTCGCAACCACAGAAAGGTTGATTTCTCAAACCTCTATAAAATATCAGACTCTCTCTCTTTACCTTCTTGCCCTATTTTTTCTACATAGTCTGTATCATCAACTGAAATTGTATCTCATATTTTTTTTAAAAAATCATGCGCTTATTTCTTAGCTTGTTGATTGTGTGCCTTCCCTACTACAATACAAGCTTCAGAAGAGCAGGGACTTTGTTTTGCTCATTGGTTTGTTCCTGGCATTTAGCTCATTGTCTGGTACTTAATAGGTCTACATAAATATTTATTGAATTAAAGAATGAATGATTTATATTTAGGAAGAGAAGAATTGTGCACATGTGATCTTTGCAGGACCTCACAGAGAGATGTCAACACGGTGAATCATAATGGTTATCTGAGTGTCATGCTATTAGGGCAGGTATAAAAAAAGCTTGAGGGTGACTGGCTATATAAGGGGAACATCCCTTTGAGATATAGGAGCCTGGGTTGTCACTCTTCCGTGCACCAGAATATACTTTGTGGCTTTCTGAAAGGTATGCACACCAGACGTCTGCCCCAGATGTTCCGATTCAGAGGTTTAGAGTGAATTCACACTAATGTAGTTCTTTTCAGTTGAAGTCCCCAAAAGCAGAGCTTGAGATAGGGATTTTGGTGCATATTATTTACTGTGAGGATGCTTACAGGTTTAAAAAGGGAGGAACTCAGAATGGGGAGCTGAGCAAGAATGTGGTTCCAGGAAATCTGGCTTTGGCCTGATGCACGCAGCAAGGCTCTGTATCATAAACTACACCATAAAGTTCTTTCCTCCTTGAGGTAAGAGACAAGTATCAGTCAGTCATTGATCTTAGGCTGACTAAGTGTGGCGAGGTCACTTTCCAAGCAATGTAGCTCTCCTCAGTGGAGGGCAATTATCTATAGTGGGAGCTGAGAACCATTAGCAGTCAACACTCACAGCAGTTGGAGGAGGCACGTGTCCCTCCTCCATAGAGAAGGGAAACTGGACAAACCACCACAGTGTCTTCTACGGTTGGATAGAAAGGGGCTAATTGTGCCACACAAACATTTATTCATTCAACATATTTATTGTGGTCAGTTATGGGCCAAATATATATATTATCATTTGCTGAGATTTAATGATGAACAAACATGGTCCCTGAAGCATGGATTGGGAGAAACAGAAATATTCATCACATTAAACATGCAATCATAATGAGATACTAAATTATCATTCCAAATAATTAATTGAAGCAAGATTGTAGAAATAAGTCCATGATATTGTATAAGTAGGTAATGGTTTCCCATAAATTGTTCTTGCTGTAACTCTTAGAAAGATTGTATAAATTTTTTTATCATAGAAATCATTATTTAATGCCAGCTGTATGTTAATCAAATAATTGTTGGGCATTATTTGAAAACTCAAATAGAATTAAAAATATGTTTCAGCCTGGAAACCATGTTAGTATACAAGTCCTATACTTGATCATTGTTCAAGACACAAGATGATTTTCTCTTAATGGGAACTGAAGCAGAGGAAAAGTAAGAATAAATTTTTTTAAATGCAACTAAAGTCTTGGGTCAGATGCTAATTCTTTTTTTCTTTTAGACATTATCCCCCTAATTCCTCTCCATGACTGGCCAAGCAAGGCAAGAACAAGAACAAGAGCTGTGTGAGAAGCCAAACCTTGTTATCATAAAATATTCATGTTCACAGACTACTCACAATCTGCTATTCTCTGCGGAGGCTAAAATTTCATTGATGTTATTCATTTGATATGAAATGTTCACCATTATAAGGCTGGAATAACTATGTTTAAAAATAGCAACATTTAAGGGACCAAAAAAACTATCTGAATACATAGATACAATACAGATCATTAAATTCCAAGCAAAATTTGATAATTCAGCACTGAGGGTAAGAGATACCAATAAAGTACAAAAGGAAAACTTGTATTTATACATTAAATTATTAGAAAGGAAGACACAAAAACTTTTAAAATGACCAGTAAATTGGATACAATTAAATATCTACCTGTAGCTCCTGCTTTTGTCTAAAACTCTATTTCATCTTTTAAAAACATCTTTGCATAGTGCTACGGAAGCTACTGTACTGAAAAATAAACCAGTTAATGAGCAACATAACACATCCCAGTAAAATAGTATTTCTTAGTTTCTTTAACATAGAGCAAAATTTCTAAGAAATTCTGTTGAAATTCTGAGGTGTCACCAAAACCTCTCTTTAGGAGAATGTGATGTCAGAAGAAACAATAAGGCTTATTTTCAATCATTCTGTTCATACCTCAAATCCCTGTGGTCTTCCTAGACTCTCTTTAATGTGTTTCCATGCAACAAGAATCTCTGACACAGACACACTTGTCGCCTTGACATCTGTGGGAGCAGCACTGGGTTCTGTATGAAGGAAAATAAACCACAATTATAAAAAGTTTATGTCCATCAAAGTATTGCGCCTGAGTCTGTCAGGTGTTAAATTCCTCTTACCTTATTTTTGAAATGAAGTGCTGTGGTAGTTATAAAAAACACAACAAAATATAAAGGTGATCCTTTTGGATTTCTATACTTGGGTCAAATCTCATCAATACCTTACCAATGACAAATGACAAATCTAGCAAGACAGGCAAAGACATTAATCCTTGGATTAGCTAAGACATTTCTGGGGAACTTAAATTTTCTGCCAGTCTAGCATAATTCCTATAAAAATGGACTATGGAGTCAGTGTTTGCTTTTTTTTGTTGTTGCACTGCTGTTGCTTTTGGCCTTAAAACATTTATTTAGCTATTTATTTACCTTTGGGTAAGTTGTTTTATCTCTTTCTAAGCCCTAGTTCCCTCATCTATAACATGACTATAATGAGAGTATTTATCTCATAGATTTAAAGGTTGGCTTTAATTAGAATGTATATATAAAATATTTAGTACTGTGCTTGGCGTTAAAAATGTTCATTCACAAAATACCATATTATTATTATTTTATTTTTTATTCTGTGCATCTAAATTTTTATTCTGTGTATCTAAATTTCATTAGATACTTTTTGTTGTTCCAACCACAAGACTACATTTTCATGATTATATAAGGAATATGTTATGAATCATGATATTTAAAAGGCATGCATTGACTTTTAAGACAGGTGCAGGTGGGAAAGAAAAGTCCCCGAAGGGTTCAGTGCCGTGGCTCAAAACCACCTTTTCATTTGTTTCTACATTCAGTGACCTTTCACACTATTTTTTTTTTTTGAAATACACAATTTCTGACTGGCATCCATCAAAAGGTGTACTTTATTCGAGGCTGCACTTGATGTGAGGAACAAAATATTTCTAGTGTTGACATGGCTGAATCATAAATACTGTGTCACAAACACAAGTTAAATGAAATGGCAGAATAAAGGCCATACATTAGTTCAAACAGTTCTGTACAAAGTCTATTAAAATTCTACCCCATAAAAATGGTACAGATTTTGGTACTAACCCTTTATCACTGATTAGAGTTGAGCTTCATCTATGAATTTTTTTTTTCAATTTATGGAACCATATAGCAAAGATTGAGTTCTAAATAAAAATGTTAAGAGGCGAACATTGAAGACATAATCATTTTCTGAGGTCTTTCCTTTTCTGAAAGAAGCTAGTCATACATGTGTCTGGAACGCTTTTATATATTATTAATTGAAATATATCAGTCAAAAATATCTACCCTGTTACTGCAAAAGGAGCCTGCAAAAGACTTGGTTGGTCCACCTTTGCACCAAGCAATGATTTTCTTTTGGCCAAACCTTTGTTAAAAACACTTGCTATAATTGTGTCATCTCAAAGTGCTTTGGCAAATTCACATTAATTTTTACACAGAAGCTGACATTAATTCCTGCCATGGTATAAGTTGAAATTTCTCATTCTGTCACCTTTTGAATATTTTTTATTATTTTCTTTTGCTCCGTGGTTTCCCTCATCTCACTTTCCAACTCCCTATTATTTGTGCATCTGTCCAATTTAAAACATGCATTCTGGAAAAATCTTCTATCTTATTCTAGAATTCTGATTACCAGACTTGCAATGGACATTTTCCCCATGCTATTTAGTGGGAGTTAAAATTCTTGATTTTGCAAGTAAATGAAAGAATGTTGATGTTTCTGAGGTGTGTACAACTTGATCTCTGGGATTTAGGATACAGTTTATTTGAAAGGAAACCACACTTTGAATATCGTTTGCTATTCCGTAGCAGTTTTACTTCTCTTCAGAATAAATGCATTACAGAGATTTGTGTGCCAAATGCCTTCTTTCAGCTTTTATATTGCTGAAGCAATTACATCTTTGTCAAAGAAGATTGCAGGGGGATAAATAATTTCAGAAGCACAAAACATGTGGTGGGGTAGCAACCTTTCCATATCTCTTTATCTCCAAAGAAAGGAATTATTTCTCTATCAACTTTCAGTAGTACTGTACAAGTTTAAGTATTTCTCAAATAGAAAGTTTAAAAAAATGTTAAAGTAAATAAAAATGTTCAGGAACCTGCCTCTCAAACAAGCACCTTAACTTTTATTTAAAAGCTCTAAGGATTTTAAATCAGGGTCATACCACACCTACATTTCACATTTGCATTTTGGGGAGCTGCATGTTATAATTTCATATAACTGAATGACAGTGAATCAATCAAACAAGAACTGAAGAATCATTTTAATTTTTTTTCACCCTCTTAATCTAATCAAGTGTGTCCAGCCTTGGCCCAGGACAGCTTTGAATGTGCCCCCCCCAAAATTTGTGAACTTCTTAAAGCGTTACGAGATTTTTTTTGTAATTTTTTTTTTTTTTTTTAGCTAATCAGCTATCGTTAGTATTAGTGTATTTTATGTGTGGTCCAAAACAATTCTTCTTCTTCCAGTGTGGCCCAGGGAAGCCAAAGATTGAACATCCCTGAATGGTATCAGAAGTTGATCTATGTTGACCTGAATTAGACATTTCAGCATGTAAAAATAGTGACCTCTGTCAGATTTTCCCAGAAATTTTAGTATGTACTATTTATACCCAAGTGAACATTTTCAACTGGGTCAAAAATTGGTCTGCAGACACAAGTAGCTAACTGGATCACAGAACATCTGGCTTGCATTGAAACTGGCCATTCGCTTTGGGCATCCCATTGTAACTGAATGATGGAAAGTTGCAAATGGAAAGGACTCTAGAAGTCACTTGGCTCCAAAGTCACAAATGCAGGGGCAGTGGGTCTTTAGTCATATTTTGTTTGTCTACATCATGTGTTAGATTAATTTAAGCCAACATTTGAAAATAAGAATTTCTGGCTTCTTTTGGGGGATAAAAGGAGACAGTATGAAGCCTGAATTCTTGAGTGTTGGCCGATGAGGGTTAGTGGTGGACTCCCTCAGTCTGGGCATGTGCTTCTACATATGCCAGAGTTCCTCCCACTCACAATTGTCTCACACAAGGAGTACTTTATTGTTTTTATTTCTTACCTCACTCCTATGTGCTTTGGAGTAATGGACCTGTTTTAAATCCATGCTCTCATTTTGCAGATTAGAAAAGTAAAACGTACAGAGGTTAATTTATCCAGACTCTACTTTCAGCTGTGAAAAAGCTAGAACTTGGGTCTCAAATGCTCTTTCCTCTGTTTTTAAATTGGCATAAAGAAAGAGGCTGGCTCATTCTTCATCTCCTAGGGTCCATTTTAAGTCACAGAATAAGTTTTACAGAAAACATAGATAGTTCCCTCTTTTGTTGCCTGGTTGCTTCCAAATAACTGACAGAGGAATGGATAGAATAAGATTAGAAGTAAACAAAAAAGAGGCAAAATAGATGTGGGGATAACTCGAAATACTAATAATTGCCATTTATTGAGGCTCTGCTGTGTTCCAAACCCTGTTCTTAATTCTTTCCATGTCTTAGTCTTCCCAACAACCATATTACTACTACTAGCATTTTTCAGATGAAGAAATCAAGCAGAAGAGAGGTTAAGCTACTTACTCAAGATCCCACAGCTGCTTAAATGTGGAGGGAGGATTTGAATACAGGTAGTCAGGCCCTGAGCACTACACTGTTCTGCTTCTGTGCCTATGTCTATGTTACACTTACCTGATGCTTTTTCCTTTTCTATTTCTCTCTTTCCCCTTGCCACTCCACATCTAACTTCTCTCAAGAATGTTTGTGTTGGGCTCCCCATTTGGGCTATTTCTAGATCTTGCCAGAAACCATCTAGACCCCCGTCATCACCCACTTAACCCTGCCACAGGCTCACTATTAACTCCTTTGATTCCTGTTTCACTGACTCCTTGGTAATTTTGAACCATAGCTGCACAGCTCCTTCTCAGTCATGTCACATTCAGGCATCTCTAAAACTCTTCTGATCTCTAAATCACAGTATGTTTTCTGCCACTCTCACTCCCATCTATTACACTGGGGTAATTTAATAAAAGTTTAGAAACTTATTTCTGAGACTGTACTAGCATTATATCTAGTGGAATCAAAGACTTAGAGGGAAACCTCTTTTTTTTTCTGTTACTTGTGATGATATTAATTAGGCCATGGCTAACTCCTTCACTGTAATCTTGGGATATGTAGTGGACAGGTTGATTGATACGTTTGTTTCTGATAGATTAAAAATGTTGAACAGCATTACCGTGTTCATGAATTTCGATGATACATTTGTATTAAGTGACCTAGCAGCTGGAGTTCTTCATGTAATATGGGGGTATGTGCTTGTAATATTGATTATACATCTGACTTTCCAAGAGATCCCTTCCCAAGAGACCCTTAGAGCAACAGCATTAATCAAAAGAGACTTTAATAAACTCCTTGAGAGAAAGGGTATGGTTTCATTATTTAAAAATTCAGTGAAGACAGCTGTAGTTGAACTTTTATAGGCACTAATCCAAATAGATCATCTGGAAAAGACAGGAAATTATTTCTTGTATTTTACAACTAACATGTCAATTTATTAATTTTCAAGTTCACATAAATCCCAGTGAGCTCAGTTTCAGCTAAGGATGGATCTGGAGAATAACACCTTAGGAATATTAGGTTTTAATTTGAGCTGTGGTAGCTCCACTTGCAATGAGATAATTGTCTATTATATTCTGCAAATGAGGACAGGCTTTTTAGGTTTAATAAATATATGAGCAGGACATTTTTTTACAGATAAGGCAAAAGCCAAGAAAACTAGAAAGGATAAAGGATAAAGGATAAAGCGCATCACAAGTAAATAAATCTTTCAACCTATAATTAACTGTATCAATTTTTCTTCTGTTTTTCTATTAGGTTTAATTGAATGCTCCAGTTCTTTTCATTTCCGAAGTTATGGTGAGAAGAACTAAGTGGAAAATGGTATGTTTGAGTATTCATTATTTCTTGAAATGTGGAAGAAAAAGCCAATTTAATTTTTTATCTTGGAAAAAAATTAATTTTTATCAGTTTTACCATGCATTTTGAGAACTTATTTTGAAACTTCACTATTCTTTTTTTTTAAAAATGGAATTGTTTCCAAAATTAGCGTGTTGTATAGAATTATATCATACCCTAGAGGTCTGAAGTCAGGATTAGGAATGCACATAAACCTTGCTCGGTTTAAAGGACAAAGATATTTGACACATGTACAGGGTACATGGATATCTTGGCAGGCAAATATCTCTTTTTCCAGGGCTTATGTCAGATGCTGCTTGGCACTGACAGAGTCATTAAGGTTTGCTTCTCTTGTGGCAACATTGAAAGGTTTCAAAGGCTTACGGGTGTTAGCAGAAAAACCATTTGAAACTTTTTCTGACAGTACTCTAGGGCAATAGTAAACCTCAGAGTTGTGAGAGTTAAGGTCATATCCCAAGTGATTTATTGATCAAGCATCAACATTTGCAAATGATTTTTTCTTTGAAAAACATGTCAATTCAAGGTTTTCTCTAAAATAATTAATTTTATTTGCATTCTGATACGCTTTATTGGGAGGAAAAGAAAGGGATAGAGTGGAGAATGCACATACACACTTATAAAAGCATGTTCTGGGTATGAATGTCATCTATTATCCATGTTCCATTGGGAAATAGGTTGAGAAGTAGTACTGTAAGGTGTGCCTTGTAAGTTTTTCTGTTCTCTGCTTCCCTCCCAATAACATAAATTCTGGTAGCTGCATTTGACATTTTTCTTCCCAGCTTGGTGTCGGCTGTGAAAAGGTGGCTTTTTCACAGTGCTTAAGGCATGTATCTGGTAAGCTTGAAAGGAAGAGGAGGAACTAAGCCCATAAACAGAAATAGTAAGGCAGTCTCACTCCTCTTGTTCTTTACTGTATCTAAGAATGTGGAGGAATTTCAAGGTGATAAACAAGTGGATTGGGTTAATGGAAGAATAAGGAAGCAGGATTTGTCTTTTGGAGAAATACAATTTCGCTCAGATTAGTTGGGCTTTGGGCAAGAGTATAATGATAAAAGACACACTGTGAAGCTGTATGAACATCCATAGACACTGAGGGGAGAAACCTGCACTGGCAAGAGTATAATATATTATTTTACAAGTTTATTTCAGGCCTTTACTCTTTTTTAAAATGGTTTAATTTTTGAAATGCTCACTCCTTTTTAAGTAAAGCAAATTGCGAAGTGACTAAAAAAGAATGTTGATTTTCCCTTTTTATTGTATAGCAAAAGTTGATCTATTATTGCTATCTATGTTAGGACAATTGTTACAAAGAATGTTTTATTTTAATCCACTTATTATTATTATTATTTTTTGAGACAAGGTCTCACTCTTTCACTCAGTTTGCAATGTAGTGAAGCCATCATTGCCATAGCCCACTGCAGCCTCAAATTCCTGGGCTCAAGCAATCCTCCTGCCTCAACCTCCCAATGTGTTGGGATTATAGGCATAAGCCACTGCTCCAGCTAAAATAATGTTTTAGAATATAGAATAAATTGACAGGGTTTTAATTTTAGATTTGTATAGGATTCCAGAGATGTTCTATTTTGAGACCTTCATTTTTAAAGTGGAGGAAGCTAAGCCTCAGAGAGGTGAATAAACTGCCCAAGATGGTCTAGTTAGTGTGATCAGATTTGAGCTCAGGTTAATGCTTTTCTTTTCCCTTGTCCTGCCTTTCTTGGTTGACACACTCTAATGATGCTAACACTTTACTCATATTTACATATAAAGTTCCACATTTGTAAACTTAATTAGTAAGCGAATGCCAAATATATGCTTGAATTTCAGTGTCAGAACAAAGGACTCTATCCAGATTTAATTTGCCTAATATATTTCATATTTCAGTTGATTAAAATAAATGAAGTGTTACATTACTATGAAATATGTTACAGGAATAACCTCAGTGTCTTTAAAAGAAAATATGCATATTTTCTATCTAGCTTGAAAGAGAAATTTCCAAAGGCAAGCCATTTCAAGTTTAAGAAAACACAATGTAAAAAAACCCATGGTGGCTGCTATAAATTAATTTCAAAGCAAAGATTGACAAAGAAATTACAAAGCTGAATTTCTTAAAGGCAGCACTGTTGTTACTATACAAAGCGTGTTCAAAAACTTCTCCAATTAATCTCTCATGCGACCTTTGGTGCTATGTAATTGATAATTAGTTTCCAACATTTTAAAAGGAAAAAGAATATGTACTTTCTGAATAACACATATACTTCAAAATAGATCTTTTGAGCAATAAATAATAGAAAATATCACTATTGTGTACATTCCTGATGAGGCAGTATAGTGTAGTAGTTAAAAAATGTGCTTTCCAGTCATATAGACCTGGTTAAAATCCTAGCTCTGTCACTTACTATCATTTCTTGTAACTGTCACTTACTGGTGTGAATTTGAGCATGTTACTTAACCTCTCTGAGACTCAGTTTCCTGAAATGTAGATTAAGGTTTGAGATTCCAATTTCATATTTGGTTTTAACCTTTACATTAGATAACATAAGTAACATGGTATATGGACTTTATCTGAAAACACATCAGAAATCTGAGATGCTAAGTGCAATTGGTATCTCATCAGAATACCTCTAGTTCCTTGCCATTACTTGATTTTTCACTTCCCTGGTTATTCTTATGCTAAGATAAACTTTCTGATTCTGCTTTAAAATTTGGCTCTATATTATAAAAATATGAGGCAGCTTACTATTGAAAAACTACATCTTCCTTAAATCAAACATTATCTTTGTTTTTAAATATTCACATGACTATATTTATATCCCCCGTGAAGCTCATAGCTTCATGGGGGGATATAATAATTAATTATGAATAATACTCTTGAGCTGTTCAAGTCCTACATGTGGGCACAGAGGAAGTATAAGGGTTAGTTTATATTTACCACACTTATTGGTATGGGGAAAGTGAATGCTGCCTTTGGTAGAACATTTTCTCAGTCATTTGTAAATTTAAGAAACATAAGGCTGTCTTTTCCTTTTCTCATTTTTTTCCCCCACTTGTAAGGTTAACTGAAATCCTGAATTTGAATAAAAGAAGGACTAAGAGGAAAAGCTAACTTTAGGGGGCTAGATCTATTATTATACTTTCACCCAGAAAATTGCATTTTTATATTAAAACTTGAAATAATTCAGTATCTTTGATGTAGGAAGCAGGGTTTCCACTGTAGCTCTATCATGTATTGAGTATAACCACTTTACAGTTTACTCATCTGTAAAATAGGTATATTGTCTACTCGGTACTGCCTACCTATGAGTTCTATCTTGTGAATTAAACATGGTCATGCATATGAAGGCAGCAAGTTATACAAAAATCAAGGAGTTAGTGGTTAGACAAACCTGGATTTAATTCTCAGTTACAAGCAGTGTAACCTTTAGCACGTTCTTTAACTTTTCCGAAAGTCAATTTCTCTTTCTACATAACGGAGGCAATAATGTCTATTTCATAAGATTTCCATAGGATTTAATGATGTGTTTGAAAAGGTTCCAAGAAAAAGCCCTGTCTGAAACTTCCTTATTAGTACAGTGCTTTATGCATAGGGTTAGAAATAAATATTTATTTGTCACATAAATGAAGCATTTATTTAAATCTACTTTACATATATATTGAAAAATATAAAAGTATCTAAATTTCAAACCAAAGAGGATTGGCTTAATGTCCACCCAGAGAAAGGAATACACTGCAGGGATTACTGATATTGTTGTTTTCATGGATATATGTTTGCCATATATTGTTAGGATGTGAAAAACTTAAAGCAACATATGTGGAATAATCAACTTTTAATTTAAAAAATTAAAAAAAGTTTGGGAAATATATATCCAAAAAGTTTAGTGAGATTATGAATGAGTTTATTTTGCCTTATTTGTATTTTCTAATATGTGTACAAAGGTGTCTGATTATTTGTATAACAAAGTAAAATGTTAAATAAAAATAATAGGAATAAAAAAACTGACCTCCTTCAGCTGAACAGATGACCACAATTTGACTAAAAGGCCCATCTCCTTTATTGTTATAAACGCCAACTTTCACTTCAAAGGGAGTAAGAGGAGGGACACTTTCATCTCGATAAATGAATTTGGAAGCTTCAGAGGATGTCACCATTTTTTCCTTCCAGCCACGTGTTCCATTGGGTCTGAAAGCCACAATATAGCCGAAGCCTTCCCCATTCTGAAACTCTTCAGATACTGGCTAAAGAAGAAAAATATAATTAATTATCAGCAAAATGATTGATTAAAAATCCACTTTCTCCAAATTCTTAATTAAAAAAAATTATAGATAGCTAGAGAAAGGGAGAATCTCAAATCTTTATACTACATTGGAAGCCAAAATAGTACAATCACTTTGGCACTTCTTTGAAAGTTAAAAAGCTTTAAAGGTAAAAGAAGAAAAATTGTATCAGTTGAAATGTACAAAAACTCTCAAGAGAATTGAAAACTTTTGAAGTGAAACAAATTTGCTCCAATTAGTCATGTATATGAAATGAAGATCTTTGGATTAACATGTTGGGGAAAATTGTCCTATGGTCTGGTGGTCGGGAATATCTTGTCACTGGTAATGCTCTGCAGAACCCTTTAGACCACAAAAGTAAGATATAATGATGTTAAAACCTTTTTTGTAGTGTGCTTTGCAATTGCTTTTATGGTTACTGACATGAAAAAGTTGGACTATGGTATTCAAGAAGCTTCTTGTGCTATATGGCTTAGATTTAAATTGGTTACATGGGCTTCAACTGCACACCATAGAAAGGAGTAATTGTGATTGACCAGTCAATGTGGAAAAGTTACCAGCCACTGTCTAGCACAGTGCTTCACACACACTAGATACTCAATAAATATTTGCTAAGTAGTTTTTTTCCTTGAATTTTGATATGAAGAAAAGCCATGTATTGAGTGGTGGCAAAGAAACAAAGCCCGTTATATTAAAGCTTACATGGAAAGGCAATTCCATTTAGAGAGATCTGGTCTCAGTGAAGGTCAGCTATTGGAAAGTTAATACCTCTGTAGACATCAAAAAAATATATGAAGTTTTATCGAAGAAAAGGGGGAATGGACAAAAAAAATAGGACAGATTATGTGCTCATGGAATAATTCTTACTGGAAAAAGAGATCTCTGTATACTTTCTCATTGTTCTTAGAGATTGTCAAGGAGTTGCTCTATTTACTCTAACAGGCATTTCCATTTCTATATATTCTAAGATCTCTGTGAGCTATTTACATTTAATAATAAGGTTATTTAACATCAAAAAAGGAAGGTGGCTTCATGGAAAATAAATGTATTCTTCACACCCCCTCCCCCTTCATCTCCACTCTTTTTCCTTGACAAATGATACTTTGGAGGCATATGATGAGATAGATAAAATGACACAAATTTTGTAATCAAAGTCACAATTCTGTTTATTAGGAAAATATGTAACAGTGCCTCAGTTTCATGATTTGTAAAATGAAGAAAATCATTCCAACTGATAAGATTGTTGTATGGGTTAAATGAGATAACCAGGGTAACGTGGCATTTATTCAGCAGTGGTTCATTCCTTCCTCCCACTGTTTTTAGCCTCTAAATGAATCAAGTGGACTGCTTAATCATAAAATAATTAAATATCACACTAAGCCAAACAAACACGTGGAGTAATTTGTGAGAGGATGTGTTTTTCTTACCTCCCAGGCAATGACTAACTCATGCCTTCTTCCACTTCTTCCGCTTACATTGGTGGGTGCTGTCTTCGGAACTGTGGATAAAAATGGGTGGAGAGTGAGGAGAAAAAAACTCCCAACCTACGTTGGATAAAATCCTGAGATAAGTCAGAAGTTTGTTTGAAGTCAGAATGGTCATATTAAAGATTAAAACAAAATATTGGTGACAGAAACACCCTGCTTTCAAATCTATGTGGCAGATTTTGATACACTTTTTTTTTCATGACCACTTATTGCACCATGCCTCTTGAAAATGCTCTGTGGTAGTGATTTCTAAATAATAATTAACACTATAGCTAAGAACATCTAATAATGATTAGGTAAATTTTGTCCTTAAAATTGCTCACTGTTATCCTCTTTGCTAATGACGTGACTCTTTTTTGTTATCCCGGGGCTTGCAGAGCCACTGAAAAATCCACAGGTCAAGATTAGCATTACTGCCTTACCAGAACCCCCAGGAAGCTTCAGTACATTTCTTTTGTTGTTGTTAAACCTTAGCAACAATTCCATGGAGTGAGAAACTACTTAAATGAATAAACATTTTAAAAAATCTGTCAAGAATGAATCTCTCTGCAAACTGCAAAATTTATAGGCAACCAGTGAAACTTTTTCAAATGAATAACTATTAAAAGAATAAATGTGTCAAAGGAATAAATTTCCCCTTCATTGCACCAAACCATGAAATCTGCAGTTGAAAGGGAACATTTTCAAATGAAGAACTTTTAAATGAAGAAAACTATTAAAAGAAATCATTTTACAGGCTATGAGCCTGCATTAACAATTTTACACTTCAGTGTTGCCTTTCTATTCCGGCATATCATTTTTAAACGATATTGATATACTCATAAACAATAAATTCACTCCTATATATTACTTACTTGGAATGAAAGGCTATTAATTACTGGTAGGTATTCACACAGCCTTTTATACACCAGAAAAACTGAAGTGGAATTTATATACTCCTGGAAAGGAAGAAAACAAATTCTCCTTGGGCCAGAAAAGAGGGTGAGCAAAACCTGTGAATATATAATTGGCTCCATTGAAATAAATAACCTTCCTTTGTCAGGGTCTACGTTTCAGTATCGTTTGGCCCTTTTCTCCATGAACACAATTCTCTTGCTCAGGCACATGCAGCTGCTACCAATATAGGATTATGCAGCAGCAGTTACCAATCTTTATTCTTTCACTGTTACATACATACTGAGGATTATTCATATGTGGAGTTCATCTCACGGATTCCCTCAGAATTGCATGGAATTGGATACCCTTTTTTTCTCTCATTCAAGAAATCACATGGAATTCAACTGAGAAAAATGATGCAATTAGAGCAATAACTGTAAATATGACCTAATTTATATGAACAGCAAACAAATCATTTATTGAGTTACGTATTAGTAGTCATAGTTGTTGCCACATGTAACAGACTGTGAGATATCAGTATGCCTTATAACCATGTCTGAAAAACCACTGTTATGTAGTATTAGTCTAAATTTATTTTCTGCTCAATGTTACGGGTAAGACACACAAGAATGGAGCTAGTTTAACTGTATATGTAAAAGGACAGGGATCCAAATTTTCAAACATTGCCTTTTTTGCTAATCTCAGACTTCTGAATATTGTGACCATCAAAGCATAGTCAAATAAATAGTGGATAAAATATATTAATAATTTAGTGATATCATGC
Source organism: Homo sapiens (assembly GCF_000001405.40). Lineage (NCBI taxonomy): Eukaryota > Metazoa > Chordata > Mammalia > Primates > Hominidae > Homo > Homo sapiens. The sequence goes on along the minus strand of NC_000011.10, from coordinate 100,295,975 downwards.
CATTACTGCTTCTCTTAGTATTTTTGTTTTTTTAAATGTATATACACACACATACATACACACATACACTCCTCACATTTATCTCTGAAAACTCACATTTAAATAACATTATGGGTAATGTATACCAGACCCAGTACTTTGTCTATTAAATTGGACTAAATCTGTACTCTAAATTTAGGGCTTTGAATCCTCTTCTTTGAGGACATCATTCCTATGATCATAAGTTTCTGTGGAAAGACTAGGCATTGAAGATCCTTTTCTACTTTGTTCAACCCTAAAACATCATCTAAAAAAAAAGGATGCTCAGAAACTCTAGATTACAGTTTTAGAGTAGGCTCTAGGCTCTCTAGTCAACATCTAGAAGCCTATTTAAAAGATATTAATAGAATAAAACAAAGTAACTATTTGAAATCAAAACTGTTGAAGCTTTGGTAGTATTGTTTCACATCCATTGATACTTTTATTTTTAAAAAAACAATTTACCAATTTAGATTTTTAAAAGTTTTAACTTTGTGAGTAAAAAATTAAAAAAAAACAAGTGAACATTTTGGGGAAAATTTCCATTTTGAGAAACTAAGAAAGCAAAAGAGGGCTTTCTTCTATGATTTGATTCACTTCTATTTAATTCATTTTTTGAAAGTATGTGATTTCAAATTTCAACTAATGATCTAAGTTTTAAAAACATTTGTTTTACTACTTGAAATCAGCTCCGTGAGGTTTTCTTACTGCTGCTAATTTATTTTCAAGACAAGATAGCCCATCTTCAACTTAATGTAAAGAAATAAGATCATCCTTCTCTTACCTTACCTCCAATTTTAATGAACAATAACTGACAAGAGAGGCATTATGGCTCACCGTGTTTTAATAGCATATGTGTATAAGTAACAGCTACTCAAATTTTAAAAAAAGTTTACTAGATATAATCGGATTCACTAATGGAAAACTTTAGGCTGTAATAGCTGCAGCTCACGCAGTGTTTTGTTGTCATGGGCACAGTGTTTGAATTGGGTACTCTAATTCCAATTGGCTTAAATTTCCTAATTACATGCAGCTAATCAGCGAAACCCATGTACATTCATTTTCTTTTCAAGTTGGTGGCACACAGTTATTATCTCTGCACTGATGGAGTCCACTGGTTTTAATTATATCCCTTTATAAAACAACATATTCCTGATCTGAAGGGATTTGACTTAATCTTTCGGAGCGCTTATGGTGTAAAAGTTCTATAATTCTTGCTAGAAGCACAAAATTAATATAATCAAATATCTAATAAATGCTTTTGCTGAGTCCAGAGAAATACATATTTACTTTAAAACAAAATATATTTTAAATATAATTAATAAAATTTGAATCCAGGATTAAGCAGCTAGACTCTTCTTCCTCAGTCAACTACTGATAAATGTCTTGAGCATATTAGCTTAGAGAATCAAGTTTATACATATGGTTAGCAGGTTTAAGTCTGATTCTTCTGAATTTCTTTCTGAGCAAAGCTCATCCATTAGTGGATAATGTAATTGATACTTTATCCACAAGCTACAAATGCCTAGCTGTTTTAAGTCTTACCTGGCATGTTGAAATATAAACTCATGTCTCTTTTCCTCTTAAACATTGAAAGCATTCTTGTAAACACAGAATGAAAAAAATATAGTGTACTACCTTAGTTTAGCCACGGCAGAATATCAAAGGACTTCTCAGTAGGTTGAACAAAGTGAGTCACACTAATAATATGCTTTAATTAGCGTTTAACTAAAATAAAATGTAATGAAATCATTTACCAATCTTTTTTTACCTGAAAAATTTCCAATTTATATTACAGTAAGCGCTTACCCCACTCATTAAAAAATACAGCTCTTTTCGAGACCTGGGACAGGCCATACAATTTTGGAGCTTAATGGTTATCTGGCAATTGGTTTGGAAAGAAAGGTGCTGAAGAATGAAAAGAGGGAAGGGAGGGAGTTTATATAGCAAAGGTAGAAGTCAAGAGGAACATTTAAAAAATAATTTTTTTTTCTACTCAAATTGAAGTATGTAGCACAGGAAAATTTCAATTAATTGATTCTAACTCAGGCTTAGTTTACAGAAAGAGTTAAATTGAAGGAGTTCCCCTTGCCCACCATCCCCCAACCCGCCCAGAAAAACCAGTGTTATTTCCTTAAGAGTTTACATAATGCTTTTATTCTTATTAGGGTAGATAAAGTGGTATGTACAAACGGTAAAGGTTTTCTTGTGGGAGTGAGAAGTGGGAGTAAGAAAGATCTGGGTTTGAATCCTAGTTCTACCCCTCTAATTGCTTGGCTGAAAATATTTTTTAACGTGTATTTCCATTGTCTCATGGAGATACTAATTATACCTGTTTCTTAAGGTTATTTTCATGATTATTCATCACAGTACCCGGAATTATAATCAATAAATATTACTTAATATTATTTTCTGTTTAGATTCGAAAAAGAGAAAGTGGTGAAGTCTTCTATGAGAAGTGCTGAAAGTTCATCGTGAGTCTATACACACGCAATCTTGAAACAGAATATCCTTCTTGGATATTCCAATAATATTGTTTTGGTAGTACCAAAGGAATTATGCTTTCAGTTTTGCCATAGTTTGTTTCAATCTGGAAATCTAGGCAAAATACCTATTTGAATTTCTGAAAGAGATTGCTAGGATATTTCAGGAAATGTAAGAATTTTCTGATTTATAAACCTCCTTGTAAGTGGCAATAGTCAAGAAGATAGGAGGTGAGTGTACAAAATGAATGGTATTTATCTCAACTCATATTCCCTTTGTTTATATGGATCCACAATGAACTAAATGCAAAGAATAGGTAAAATAATCTTTGTATAAGATTTGTTGCTAAAAAGGGGAGAAAGAAAAGGCAAGAAGAAATATATACAAAGCCTATTCACATACCCCCAGATAAAACTAATCCAGCCCATCTTATAATAATATTCCATTGTGTCTCTTCCATAATTTTTGAACTCAAGGGAATTTTCTAAGTCACCATCATGGACAAGAACTGTGAAAATACAAATGTCAACAGAGCAGGATCCTTTGTAGGTGTCAGAAGGTAATGTACAACTTAAGAAATTGTAAGAGGACATTAAACGACTGTTTTCTGAACTTGGAATGAGTCACATGTAATCTCAGATGCTGAATTGAGAGTGGCTGAAGAAAACTAGTCTCGCTACGAATTAGGGAAACCAATTTTATGACTCTTTCTCATTGCCTGCCTCCAACTCATATACATACATGCACAAGTAATGCTGTCTTAAAACAAGGTTGTCAGTTTAGAAGATGGATTTGCTATGGCATCTCCCTCCAACCCCAGCTGTCAATAGAGAAGTGGGGATATTATTTCTTCATCAAGGTAAATAAGGACAGGAGCAAGACAACCACTATAGAGAAGTTCAGATGCTTACCTATCACACCTTGTACTGAGTTTCGGAGTTTTCTAGAATACCTCAATTTCATACTGAGCTACTTGAGGAAACTTCAAATGAAGAACAATAAATAATAGTTCCTGAGAATATCCTATAATTCTAGATTTTGGCAGCCCAGGAATGTGAAATGGTTACTGTGAACCAAGTGGTCATGAAGATAGGTTTGAATAGGGTTGTTAGGATCACACCCAATAAGGCTGCCTGCTAGGGGGCAAGATGTCTTCAAAGAACTCAATGCACCCCATGAGAGAAAGCAGCAGTATGTGGATAAACGCCATCATGTTGAACATTTAACACCCATGTGAGAACCACAAATTGTACCATCTAAGTGGAAGCTTTTCTCCTTCTTGTCTGACCTGGAAAGTACCAGAGCACCGCTGGAAAGTACAAAATAAAGTGGAAAGAAGAAAGAAAAGACAGATCATAGCTGTTGGGTCAGGTCTGTGCTGGGAAGGAATGAGAGACCATGGAATTAGATGTGAGATTAAATTTTTTTAATTAAATTAAACTGGAATTTTTAAATACCTGAAAATGCGACTGCTCTAGTACGTAAAAGTGCTTAGGATTTATTTGAGGCTGAGGTTTGGGATCACATTGAGCATAGTGGAGAGCAATGGCGGGAGAAGAAAAAACCTTTTTTTTGTTGTTGTTTGTTTGTTTGTTTTAACCTCTACAGCTATTTATTGGCGTTTGAGTTTTCAAATGTAGAAAAAATATTTTTCCTTTTTTTAATTTTTTATTTATTTATATTTTTTATTTATTTATTTATTTATTTATTTATTTATTTATTATTATACTTTACGTTTTAGGGTACATGTGCACATTGTGCAGGTTAGTTACATATGTATACATGTGCCATGCTGGTGCGCTGCACCCACTAACTCGTCATCTAGCATTAGGTATATCTCCCAATGCTATCCCTCCCCCTTCCCCACCACAGTCCCCAGAGTGTGATATTCCCCTTCCTGTGTCCATGTGATCTCATTGTTCAATTCCCACCTATGAGTGAGAATATGCGGTGTTTGGTTTTTTGTTCTTGCGATAGTTTACTGAGAATGATGATTTCCAATTTCATCCATGTCCCTACAAAGGACATGAACTCATCATATTTTATGGCTGCATAGTATTCCATGGTGTATATGTGCCACATTTTCTTAATCCAGTCTATCATTGTTGGACATTTGGGTTGGTTCCAAGTCTTCGCTATTGTGAATAGTGCTGCAATAAACATACGTGTGCATGTGTCTTTATAGCAGCATGATTTATAGTCCATTGGGTATATACCCAGTAATGGGATGGCTGGGTCAAATGGTATTTCTAGTTCTAGATCCCTGAGGAATCGCCACACTGACTTCCACAATGGTTGAACTAGTTTACATTCCCACCAACAGTGTAAAAGTGTTCCTATTTCTCCACATCCTCTCCAGCACCTGTTGTTTCCTGACTTTTTAATGATTGCCATTCTAACTGGTGTGAGATGGTATCTCATTGTGGTTTTGATTTGCATTTCTCTGATGGCCAGTGATGATGAGCATTTTTTCATGTGTTTTTTGGCTGCATAAATGTCTTCTTTTGAGAAGTGTCTGTTCATGTCCTTTGCCCACTGTTTGATGGGGTTGTTTGTTTTTTTCTTGTAAATTTGTTTGAGTTCATTGTAGATTCTGGATATTAGCCCTTTGTCAGATGAGTAGGTTGTGAAAATTTTCTCCCATTTTGTAGGTTGCTTGTTCACTCTGATGGTAGTTTCTTTTGCTGTGCAGAAGCTCTTTAGTTTAATTAGATCCCATTTGTCAATTTTGGCTTTTGTTGCCATTGCTTTTGGTGTTATAGACATGAAGTCCTTGCCCATGCCTATGTCCTGAATGGTAATGCCTAGGTTTTCTTCTAGGGTTTTTATGGTTTTAGGTCTAACGTTTAAGTCTTTAATCCATCTTGAATTGATTTTTGTATAAGGTGTAAGGAAGGGATCCAGTTTCAGCTTTCTACATATGGCTAGCCAGTTTTCCCAGCACCATTTATTAAATAGGGAATCCTTTCCCCATTGCTTGTTTTTGTCAGGTTTGTCAAAGATCAGATAGTTGTAGATATGCGGCATTATTTCTGAGGGCTCTGTTCTGTTCCATTGATCTATATCTCTGTTTTGGTACCAGTACCATGCTGTTTTGGTTACTGTAGCCTTGTAGTATAGTTTGAAGTCAGGTAGTGTGATGCCTCTAGCTTTGTTCTTTTGGCTTAGGATTGACTTAGCAATGCAGGCTCTTTTTTGGTTCCATATGAACTTGAAAGTAGTTTTTTCCAATTCTGTGAAGAAAGGCATTGGTAGCTTGATGGGGATGGCATTGAATCTGTAAATTACCTTGGGCAGTATGGCCATTTTCACGATAAAGATTCTTCCTACCCAGGAGCATGGAATGTTCTTCCATTTGTCTGTATCCTCTTTTATTTCCTTGAGCAGTGGTTTGTAGTTCTCCTTGAAGAGGTCCTTCACATCCCTTGTAAGTTGGATTCCTAGGTATTTTATTCTCTTTGAAGCAATTGTGAATGGGAGTTCACTCATGATTTGGCTCTCTGTCTGTTGTTGGTGTATAAGAATGCTTGTGATTTTTGCACATTGATTTTGTATCCTGAGACTTTGCTGAAGTTGCTTATCAGCTTAAGGAGATTTTGGGCTGAGACAATGGGGTTTTCTAGATATACAATCATGTCATCTGCAAACAGGGACAATTTGACTTCCTCTTTTCCTAATTGAATACCCTTTATTTCCTTCTCCTGCCTGATTGCCCTGGCCAGAACTTCCAACACTATGTTGAATAGGAGTGGTGAGAGAGGGCATCCCTGTCTTGTGCCAGTTTTCAAAGGGAATGCTTCCAGTTTTTGCCCATTCGGTATGATATTGGCTGTGGGTTTGTCATAGATAGCTCTTATTATTTTGAGATACGTCCCATCAACACCTAATTTATTGAGAGTTTTTAGCATGAAGCGTTGTTGAATTTTGTCAAAGGCTTTTTCTGCTGCTATTGAGATAATCATGTGGTTTTTGTCTTTGGCTCTGTTTATATGCTGGATTACATTTATTGATTTGCGTATATTGAACCAGCCTTGCATCCCAGGGGTGAAGCCCACGTGATCATGGTGGATAAGCTTTTTGATGTGCTGCTGGATTCGGTTTGCCAGTATTTTATTGAGGATTTTTGTATCAATGTTCATCAAGGATATTGGTCTAAAATTCTCTTTGTTCGTTGTGTCTCTGCCCGGCTTTGGTATCAGGATGATGCTGCCCTCATAAAATGAGTTAGGGAGGATTCCCTCTTTTTCTATTGATTGGAATAGTTTCAGAAGGAATGGTACCAGTTCCTCCTTGTACCTCTGGTAGAATTCGGCTGTGAATCCATCTGGTCCTGGACTCTTTTTGGTTGGTAAACTATTGATTATTGCCACAATTTCAGATCCTGTTATTGGTCTGTTCAGAGATTCAACCTCTCCCTGGCTTAGTCTTTGGAGAGTGTATGTTTCGAGGAATTTATCCATTTCTTCTAGATTTTCTAGTTTATTTGCGTAGAGGTGTTTGTAGTATTCTCTGATGGTAGTTTGTATTTCTGTGGGATCGGTGGTGATATCTCCTTTATCATTTTTTATTGTGTCTATTTGATTCTTCTCTCTTTTTTTCTTTATTAGTCTTGCTAGCGGTCTATCAATTTTGTTGATCCTTTCAAAAAACCAGCTCCTGGATTCATTAATTTTTGGAAGGGTTTTTTGTGTCTCTATTTCCTTCAGTTCTGCTCTGATTTTAGTTATTTCTTGCCTTCTGCTAGCTTTTGAATGTGTTTGCTCTTGCTTTTCTAGTTCTTTTAATTGTGATGTTAGGGTGTCAATTTTGGATCTTTCCTGCTTTCTCTTGTGGGCATTTAGTGCTATAAATTTCCCTGTACACACTGCTTTGAATGTGTCCCAGAGATTCTGGTATGTTGTGTCTTTGTTCTCGTTGGTTTCAAAGAACATCTTTATTTCTGCCTTCATTTCTTTGTGTACCCAGTAGTCATTCAGGAGCAGGTTGTTCAGTTTCCATGTAGTTGAGCGGTTTGGGTGAGGTTCTTAATCCTGAGTTCTAGTTTGATTGCACTGTGGTCTGAGAGATAGTTTGTTATAATTTCTGTTCTTTCACATTTGCTGAGGAGAGCTTTACTTCCAAGTATGTGGTCAATTTTCGAATAGGTGTGGTGTGGTGCTGAAAAAAAATGTATATTCTGTTGATTTGGGGTGGAGAGTTCTGTAGATGTCTATTAGGTCCACTTGGTACAGAGCTGAGTTCAATTCCTGGGTATCCTTGTTGACTTTCTGTCTCGTTGATCTGTCTAATGTTGACAGTGGGTTGTTAAAGTCTCCCATTATTAATGTGTGGGAGTCTAAGTCTCTTTGTAGGTCACTAAGCACTTGCTTTATGAATCTGGGTGCTCCTGTATTGGGTGCATATATATTTAGGATAGTTAGCTCTTCTTGTTGAATTGATCCCTTTACCATTATGTAATGGCCTTCTTTGTCTCTTTTGATCTTTGTTGGTTTAAAGTCTGTTTTATCAGAGACTGGGATTGCAACCCCTGCCTTTTTTTGTTTTCCATTTGCTTGGTAGATCTTCCTCCATCCTTTTATTTTGAGCCTGTGTGTGTTTCTGCACGTGAGATGGGTTTCCTGAATATAGCACACTGATGGGTCTTGACTCTTTATCTAATTTGCCAGTCTGTGTCTTTAAATTGGAGCATTTAGTCCATTTACATCTAAAGTTAATATTGTTATGTGTGAATTTGATCCTGTCATTATGATGTTAGCTGGTTATTTTGCTCATTAGTTGATGCAGTTTCTTCCTAGTCTCGAAGGTCTTTACATTTTGGCATGATTTTGCAGCGGCTGGTACCGGTTGTTCCTTTCCATGTTTAGTGCTTCCTTCAGGAGCTCTTTTAGGGCAGGCCTGGTGGTGACAAAATCTCTCAGCATTTGCTTGTCTGTAAAGTATTTTATTTCTCCTTCACTTATGAAGCTTAGTTTGGCTGGATATGAAATTCTGGGTTGAAAATTCTTTCCTTTAAGAATGTTGAATATTGGCCCCCACTCTCTTCTGGCTTGTAGGGTTTCTGCCGAGAGATCCGCTGTTAGTCTGATGGGCTTCCCTTTGAGGGTAACCCGACCTTTCTCTCTGGCTGCCCTTAACATTTTTTCCTTCATTTCAACTTTGGTGAATCTGACAATTATGTGTCTTGGAGTTGCTCTTCTCGAGGAGTATCTTTATGGCATTCTCTGTATTTCCTGAATTTGAATGTTGGCCTGCCTTGCTAGATTGGGGAAGTTCTCCTGGATAATATTCTGCAGAGTGTTTTCCAACTTGGTTCCATTCTCCCCAACACTTTCAGGTACACCAATCAGACGTAGATTTGGTCTTTTCACATAGTCCCATATTTTCTTGGAGGCTTTGCTCATTTCTTTTTATTCTTTTTTCTCTAAACTTCCCTTCTCGCTTCATTTCATTCATTTCATCTTCCATTGCTGATACCCTTTCTTCCAGTTGATCACATCGGCTCCTGAGGCTTCTGCATTCTTCACGTAGTTCTCGAGCTTTGGTTTTCAGCTCCATCAGCTCCTTTAAGCACTTCTCTGTATTGGTTATTCTAGTTATACATTCTTCTAAATTTTTTTCAAAGTTTTCAACTTCCTTGCCTTTGGTTTGAATGTCCTCCCGTAGCTCAGAGTAATTTGATCATCTGAAGCCTTCTTCTCTCAGCTCATCAAAGTCATTCTCCATCCAGCTTTGTTCCGTTGCTGGTGAGGAACTGCGTTCCTTTGGAGGAGGAGAGGCACTCTGCTTTTTAGAGTTTCCAGTTTTTCTGTTGTGTTTTTTCCCCATCTTTGTGGTTTTATCTACTTTTGGTCTTTGATGATGGTGATGTACAGATGGGTTTTTGGTGTGGATGTCCTTTCTGTTTGTTAGTTTTCCTTCTAACAGACAGGACCCTCAGCTGCAGGTCTGTTGGAATACCCTGCCGTGTGAGGTGTCAGTGTGCCCCTGCTGGGGGGTGCCTCCCAGTTAGGCTGCTTGGGGGTCAGGGGTCAGGGACCCACTTGAGGAGGCAGTCTGCCCGTTCTCAGATCTCCAGCTGCGTGCTGGGAGAACCACTGCTCTCTTCAAAGCTGTCAGACAGGGACATTTAAGTCTGCAGAGGTTCCTGCTGTCTTTTTGTTTGTCTGTGCCCTGCCCCCAGAGGTGGAGCCTACAGAGGCAGGCTGGCCTCCTTGAGCTGTGGTGGGCTCCACCCAGTTGGAGCTTCCCTGCTGCTTTGTTTACCTAAGCAAGCCTGGGCAATGGCGGGCGCCCCTCCCCCAGCCTGGCTGCCACCTTGCAGTTTGATCTCAGACTGCTGTGCTAGCAATCAGCGAGACTCCGTGGGCGTAGGACCCTCCCAGCCAGGTGCGGGATATAATCTCGTGTTGGGCCGTTTTTTAAGCCTATCGGAAAAGCGCAGTATTAGGGTGGGAGTGACCCGATTTTCCAGGTGCGTCTGTCACCCCTTTCTTTGACTCGGAAAGGGAGCTCCCTGACCCCTTGCGCTTCCCAAGTGAGGCAACGCCTCGCCCTGCTTCGGCTCGCGCACGGTGCGCGCACCCACTGACCTGCGCCCACTGTCTGGCACTCCCTAGTGAGATGAACCCGGTACCTCAGATGGAAATGCAGAAATCACCCGTCTTCTGCGTCGCTCACGCTGGGAGCTGTAGACCGGAGCTGTTCCTATTCGGCCATCTTGGCTCCTCAGTATTTTTCCTTTTGTGGCCAGAAATATGTGTATAATTTTCCATTTGAGTCAGAAGAGAATGAAGGGACGGAATACAGTGTAGGAAAAAAATAACTAGAAAGCAAAGACATTTGAATGTGTGGAAAAATGTGTTAGCATAGTCTTTCATTCAACACTTCTTTTCCTCTACTCCTTTCGCCTTGTCTGTGCTACAAGAACCAAAGAAAATGGCTACATATTGAGAAATAGTACTAATTAGATAAGATGAAAAGGCATCATGGGAAGGCCAGCCACGGGTTTGCAAGGATGATTTAGAAGGCATGCATGCTCTGTGGAGTGTGCCATGTGCTAAAACATTCTCTTGACTCTCCTGTTGTTCTAGTGGGCTGGATGATAGGGCATGATGGAACGCTGGCTGTCTGCAGTGGAGACTTCTCACAGTGAGGGTATCTTGGGAAGTTGACTGCAGAGCTGCAAGTCAAGAGACCGTAGGGTTCTTACTGTATCAACAAACGTGTTTAACTCTGAAAATGTTTTCTCAATATGAAAAAATATACTTTTTCATGATTACTAGTTTGTAAATTTCCATTTAATAAAGTAATAACTCATTTAAATTAATGATGGAGGTGATACAATAAAATATCTTCCAATAATATTGAGCATTTATCATGTGCCAGGCACTATGCTAAGCTCTTTACATGCATTTAAAAAATCTTATTTAATAGAATGGTCAAAAGGAGTAGGTTGTGGTATCCCCATTTTATGAGTGAGAAATTCAAGCCTTAAATGACATACTTCCTGCCTATGTCCACCCTGCTATTAAGTGGCACAGTAGAACGTTAATCCAGGTTGAAACTCCAACCTTTCATTATAGGTGCAATTTCTTTTTCTTTAAAAGATACATACACACATAAGCATATATGTATATTTATTCATGTGTGTATATATAATTCATTAAAATTTGAAATAAACTGCAAATATTGAGATTTATACCAGTAGCTTTGAAGATAATTGAAATTTTATACTACAGAGAAGATCAGACCTTTCTGAATGACAAGTTACGTAGTTAACTATATCTTTTCTCCCTTTCATTTATTTTTCAACCGTATTAAGAACATGTAACGTATAGAATATTAAAATTCAATTAAATGACAAAATTGACAATGCTGTATTTACTTTATGTATTTTTCCATTTCACCCACAGTGTGTATTTCAGATTCATTTCCCCAAATGTGATTTTTTTTGTCCTGAGTGTCATCTTTTTAAATAATAGAGAAAGTATTTACATTATGCTATCCCAAATTTATATATTGGTTTGATGATATTAACAGATTTCAAAAATTAAACACAGGGCTGTCTATCTTTATTTATCAATCTATCTAATCTCTAACTAAAACTTGTAAGAAAATATAGCTTAAATATAGGAGATGGTGGCAGAGCAAGATGGCAGAATAGAAGGCTCCACTGATTGTCCCCTTGGCAAGGACACTGCTACACATAAAACTCACTTTTGTAAGAACCAAAAATCAGGTGAGCACTCACAGTATTTGGTTTAAACTTCATATTGCTGAAAGATGCACTGAAGAGGTAGGAAAAACAGTCTTGAATCACTGAGACCACCGCTCCTCCATTCCCCAGCAGTGGCCCCACAACACAGAAGAGAAAATCTGTTTGCTTGGGAGAGGGAGAGTGCAACAATTGTGAGACATTAAATTCAGTGTCGCTTGGTTATAGAAGAAAGCAAAACCAGACCAAATTCAGCTGATGCCCACCCACAGAGGGAATTTATTTATTTATTTATTTAAATTTTTTATTTTTTTGAGACAGAGTCTCGCTATGTCACCCAGGATGGAGTGCAATGGCCCGATCTTGGCTCACTGCAATCTCTGCCTCCTGGGTTCAAGTGATTCTTGTGCCTCAGCCTCTCGAGTAGCTGGGATTACAGGTGCCCGCTACCGCGCCCGGCTAATTTTTGTATTTTCAGTAGAGACGATGTTTCACCATGTTGGTCAGGCTGGTCTCGAACTCCTGACCTCAGGTTATTCACCCACCTCGGCCTCCCAAAGTGCTGGGATTACAGGTGTGAGCCACAGCGCCCGGCCCGGAGGGAATATTTAAACCATCCCTAGCCAGAGGGAAATCTTCCATATCAGTGGTCAGAACTTGAATTCCTGAAAGCCTCACCACCACAGGCTCAAGTGCTCTGGGGCCCTAAATAAACTTGAAAGGTAGTCTAGGCCACAAGGACTGTAACTCCTAGGCAAGTCCTGTGTTGAACTGGGCTCAGAGATAGTGGACTTGGAGAATATGTGGCATCTAAAATGTGAGCTGGGGTAGAGTGCTAGGGGAGTGTTGATGCCACCCCTTTCCTAAGTCCAGGCTGCACAGCTTGCAGATCCATAAGAGATACCTTCCTCCCACTTTAGGAGAGAAGGAGGAAGAGTGGGGAGAACTTTTTCTTGCTTCTTGGATACCAGCTCAGCCACAGGAGAATAGGGCACTGGTCATAGTTGTGAAGCCCTCTTTTCAGACCCTAGCTCCTGTATGACATTTCTAGACACATCCTGGGCAAGAAAGGAACCCACTACCTTGAAGGGAAAGACCCAGTCTTGGCAGGATTAATCATCTGCTATGAAAAGTAAAGGAGACTTTGTCTTGAACCTTAGGTACCAGCTCAGCCACAGAGGTGTAGAGAACTAAGAGGGCTCTTGGGGTCCCTGATCCCAGGAGTTGACTCTTTGACAGCATTTCTGGACCTGCCCAGGGACAGAAGGGAGCCCATTGCCCTGAAGGGTGAGTTCTAGGCCAGGCACCATTCGCCAAAAGCTAACTTAAGAGACCTTGGGCCTTAAGGGAACACTGGCAGTAGACTGGCAGTACTACCTGTGGGCTTGTGGTGGCAGTGGCCACGTGGTGAGGCTCCTCTGCCTTTGGAAAGGAGAGGGAAGAATGGGAAGGACTGTGCCTTGTGGTTTGAGTGTCAACTCAGCTGCAGTACAATAGAACACCAAGTAGACTTCTAAGGATTTTGACTGTAGTCCCTGGCTCCTGAATGGCACCTCTGGATCCGCCTAGGCCCTAGGGGAACTCACCACCCTGAAAGGAAGGACACTGGCCTGGCTCACTTTGCCACATGCTAATTGTAGAGCCCCAGGGCCTTGAGCAAACATAGGCAGTCACCAGCAAGTGGTTATAGCAGGCCATAGGTGAGATCGACTGCTGGACTGGCTTCAGGTCTGACCCAGCACAGTTCCAGTGGTGGTGGCCACCAGGGTACTTATGTCACTTCATCCCCAGCTCCAGGTGGCTCAGAACAGAGAGACTCCATTTGTTTGGGAGAAAGTAAGGAAAGAGAACAAGAGTCTCTGCCTGGTAATCCAGAGAATTCTTTCAGACCTTCTTCAAGATTATCAAGGCAGTACCTCTACTAGTCTCCAAGAACTACATTACTGGGCTTGGGGTGTCCCCTAAAGCAGATACAGCTAGATAACAATACGCAAGTCCTTTCAAATACCTGGAAAAGCCTGCCCACGAAAGGCAGGTTACAAACAAGCCCAGCCTGCAAAAACTACAATAAATGCCTAACTCTTCAATGGCCAGACACAGATAAATATCCACAAGTATCAAGACCATCCAGGAAAACACGACTTCAGCAAATGAACCAAATATGCCACCGGGGACCAATCCTGGAGAAACGGAGATATGTGACCTTTCAGACAGATAAATCAAAATAGCTGTTATGAGGAAAGTAAAAAAAAAAAAAAAAAAATAGAATGCCAAGAAAGAATTCAGAATTCTATCAGACAAATTTAACAAAGAGATTGAAATAATAAAGAGAATCCAACACAAACTCTGGAGCTGAAAAATGCAACTGACACAGTGGAGAAAGCATGAGTCTTTTAATAGTAGAATTGATCTAGCAGAAGAAAGAATTAGTAAACTTTAAGATAGGCTATTTGAAAATATACGTCAGACTAGACAAAAGAAAAAAGAATAATGAAGCACACCTACAAGATTTAGAAAATAGCCTCAAAAGGGCAAATCTAAGAGTTTTGGCCTTAAAGACAAGGTAGAAAGAGATAGGGGTATGAAGTTTATTCAAATGGATAATATCAGAGAACTTCCCAAACCTAGAGAAAAATATTAACATTTAAGTACAAGAAGGTTATAGAACACCAAGCAGATTCAACCCAAAGAACAATGCCTCAAGACAGTTAATAATCAAACTTCCAAAGCTCAAGGATAAAGAAAAGATCCTAAAAACAGTAAGAGAAAGAAACAAATAACATACAAAGGAGCTCCAATATGTCTGGCAGCAGACTTTTCAGTGGAAACTTTACAGGCCAGGAGAGAGCGGTATGACATATTTAAAGTGCTAATGAAAAAAAACTTTTACCATAGAGTATTATATCTGGTGAAAATATCCTTCAAACATAAGGAGAAATAAAGGCTTCCCAGACAAAGAAAGCTGAGGGATTTCATCAACACCAGACCTGTCCCACAAGAAATGCTAAAGAGAATACTTCAATCAGAAAGAAAAGGACATTAATGAGGAATAAATAATCATTTGAATGTAAAAAACTCATTGGTAATAGTAAGTACACAGGAAAACACAGAATATTATAACACTGTAACTGTGGAGTATAAACTACTCTTATCCTAAGCAGAAAGACTAAATGATGAACCAATAAAAAATAATAACTACAACAACATTCAAATACATAGACAGTACAATAAGATATAAATAGAAACAGCAGAAAGTTAAAAAGGAGGTGATTAAATTTAAGATGTAGATTTTTTACTAGTTTTCTTTTTACTTGTTTGTTTTGTTTGCAAACAGTGATAAGTTATTACCGGCTTAAAATAATTGGTTATAAGCCAGTATTTGCAAACCTCGTGGTAACCTCAAAGCAAAAAACTTACAAGGGATACACAAAAAATGAAAATTACACCATATCACTAGAGAAAAACACCTTCACTAATAGGAAGGCAGGAAGAAAGGAAAGAAGGAAGAATAGACCACAAAACAACCAGAAAACAAATAATAAAATGGCAGGAGTAAGTCCTTACTTATCAATAGTAACACTGCATGTAAATGGACTAACCTCTCTAATCAAAAGACAGAGTGGCTGAATGGTCAAAAAAATAATACGCAATAACCTGTTTCCTACAAGCAACACACTTCACCTATAAAGACACTCATAGATTGAAAACACAGGGATAGAAAAACATATTTCATGCCAGTGGAAATCACAAAAGAGCAGTAGTAGCTATATTCATATGAGAAAAAAATAAATTTTAAGACAAAAACTATAAGAAGACATAAAGAAGTTCACCATATAAAGATAAAGGGGTGAATTCAGCAAGAGGATATAACAATTTGAAATACATGTGCACTCAATGCTTGAGTACCCAGATATACACAGGAAATATTATGAGAGGTAAGGAAAGAGAGATACGCCTCACTGCAATAATAGCTGGAGACTTTAACACCTCACTTTCAGCACTAGACAGACCTTCCAGACAGAAAATCAACAAAGAAACACTGGATTTAATTTACAATGTGGACCAAATCGACCTAATATTTTCAAAACATTTTATCCAATGACTGAATACACATTCTTTTCCTCAGCACATAGGTTATTCTCAAGGATAGGCCATATGTTAGGTCACAAAAAAAATGCTCCTGAATGACCCATGGGTCAATGAAGAAATTAAGAAGGGAATTGAAAAATTTCTTGAAACAAATGATAATGGAATCACAGCATACCAAGACCTATGGGATACAGCAAAAGCAATCCTAAGAGGAAACTTCATAGCTATAAGTGCCTAAATCATTAAAAAAAAAAAAAAAAGAAAAAGAAAAACTTCAAATAAACAACCTAATGAGGCATCCTAAGGAACTAGAAAAGCAAGAGTAAACCAAACCCAAAATTAGTAGAAGAAAAATACAATAAAGATCAGAGCAGAAATAAATGAAATGAAGAAAACAATACAAAAGATCAATAGAACAAAAAGGTTTTTTTAAAGTTAAAATGAACAAATCTTTAGCCAGACTAAGAAAAAAAGAGAGTACACAAATAAGCAAAATCAGACATAAAAAGGAGACATTACATCTCACACTGCAGAAATTCAAAGGATCATTAGAGGCTACTATGAGCAACTATGTGCCAATAAATTGGAATATCTAGAAGAAATGGACAAATTTCTAGACACATACAACCTATCAAGATTGAACTATGAATAAATTCAAAACTTAAGCAGATCGATAATGTGTGATTGAAGCTGTAATAAATGGGCATCCAGAGGGAAAAAAAAAGAAGCCTCAGACTCAATGGCTTCACTGCTGAATTCTGCCAAACATTTAAAGAAGAACTAAAACCAATCCTACTCAAACTATTTCAAAAAATAGAGAAGGAGGGAACACTTCCAAATTCATTCTATGAGGCCAGTATTATCCTGGTACCAAAAATAGACAAAGACGTATCAAAAAAGAAAAAAAAAACCTATAGACTGGTATCACTGGTAAGTATCAATGCAAAATTTCTCAACAAAATACCAGCAAACTGAATTCAATAACACATTAAAAAGTTCATTCATCATGACCAAGTGGAATTTATCCCTGGGATGCAAGGCAAATTCAACATACACAAATAAGTCAATGTGATACATTATACCAACAGAATGAAGGACAAAACACCTATGACCATTTCAATTGATGTTGAAAAAGCATTTGATAAAATTTAGCATCTCTTCATGATAAAAATTCTCAACAAACTGGGTATAGAAGGAATATAACTCAACATCATAAAAATCATATGATGAACTCACAGCTAGTATTATATTAAATGGGGAAAGACTGAAAGTCTTTCCTCCTAGATCTGGAACATGACAAGAATGCCCAGTTTCACCACTATTTTTCAGCATAGTACTGGAAGTCCTAGCTAGAGCAATCAGACAGGAGAAATATATAAAAGGCATCCAAATTGGAAAGGAAGACATCAACTTTTTCTTGTTTGCAGATGATATAATCTTATGTTTGGGAAAATCTAAAGACCCCATCAAAAAACAATTAGAACTGATGAACAAATTTAGTAAATTTTCAGGATACAAAATCAACATACAAAAATCAGTAGCATTTTTATATGCAAACTGTGAACAATCTGAAAAAGAAATCAAGAAACTTATCTTATTTACAATAGCTACAAATAAAATACAACACTTAGGAATTAACCAAATAAATGAAATATCTCTATAATGAAAACTGTAAAACTGATGCAATACATTGAAAAGGACACAAAATAATAGAAAGATATTCCCTGTTCATGAATTGTAAGAAACAATATTGTTAAAATGTCCATACTATCCAAAGCAATCTAGAGATTTAATGCAATCCCTATCAAAATAACAATGATATTCTTCACAGAAATAGAAAAAACAATTCTTAAGTTTATATCAGATCACAAAAGAGCTAGAATAGCCAAAACTATCCTAAGCAAAAAGAACAAAACTGGTGGAATCACATTACCAGACTTTAAATTATACTTGAGAGCTACAGTGATAAAAACAGCATGGCCCTGGCATAAAAACAGACACATTGACCAATGGAACAGAATAGAGGACCTCCAACATAAATCCATACATCTGCAATGAACTTATTTCCAATAAAAATTCTCAGAACATACATCAAAGAAAGGACAGTCTCTTCACTAAATAGTTCTGGGAAAACTGGATAGCTACATGTAGAAAAGTGAAACTAGACTCTTATACCTTGCCATATAAAAATCAAATCAAAATGTATTAAAGATTCAAATCTAAGACCTCAAAATATGAAACTACTACAGGAAAACATTGGGGAAACTGTGCAAGACAACGGAGTAGGCAAAGACTTCTTGAGCAATATACCACAAGCACAGAAAACTAAAGCAAAAATAGACAAATAGGATAATTTAAAAAGCTTCTACACAGCAAAGGAAACAGTAAACAAGTGAAGAGACAACCCACAGAATGGGAGAAAATATTTGCAAACTACCTGTCTGCCAAAGGATTGATAAACAGAATATATAAAGAAGTCAATTATGTAGGAAAAAAAATAAAAAAAACCCAATTCATAAAATGGGCAAAAGATTTGAAAAGACATTTCTCAAAAGAAGACATATAAGTCTGAGCATATGAAAATGTGCTCAGCATAATTGATCATCAGGGGAATGCAAATCAAAACTTCAATAAGATGTAATTTCACCCCAGTTTACATGGCTTATATTCAAAAGACAGGCAATAACAAATGCTAGTGAGGATCTAGAGAAAAGGAAACACTCATACACTGTTGGTGGGAACATAAATTAGTACAACACTACGGAGAACAGTTTGGAGGTTTCTCAGAAAACTAAAAATAGAGCTACCATATGATCTAGCAATCCCACTCCTAGGTATATATCCAAAGAAAGGAAATTAGTTTATTGAAGTGATATCTGCACTCCCACATTTATTGCAGTAATATTCACCATAGCCAATATCTGGAAGCAACTTAAATGTCCATCAGCAGATGAATGGATAAAGAAAATGTGGTACTTGTACACAACGTAGTATTATTGAGCCATACAAAAGAATGAAATCCTGTCATTTGCAACAACATGGATGGATCTGGAGATCATCATGTTAAGTGAAATAAGCCAGGCACAGAAAGACAAACATCACATGTTCTCACTCATTGGTAAGAGCTAAAAATTAAAACAATCGAACTCATGTAAATAGAGAGTAGAAGGTTGGTTACCAGAGGCTGGGAAGTGTAGTTGGTAGTGGGGGTTGGGGGGAAGGGAAGATGGTTAATGGATATAAAAAAAAATTAGAAAGAATAAATAAGACCTAGTATTTGCTAGCATAACAGGGTGACTATAGTAAAAAAAAAAAATTAATTGTACATTTTAAACTGACCAGAAGTGTATTATTGGATTGTTTGAAACACAAAGGATAGATGCTTGAGGGGATGAATACCCTATTTATCCTGATATGATTACTAAGCATTGTATGCCTGTATCAAAATATCTCATGTAACCCCAAAATATATATACCTACTGTATACCCACATAAATTAAAAGTGAAATGTGTGCATAAAAATATATATTTGTATTATGATTTTGACATCCTAATACTAAGAAATTGGACTGAACCAATTTATCTTAGCTTTGCTGACTATCAAGAGTGTTTCTTTCCTTTTTTTTTTTTTTTTTTTTTTTTTGAGAGAGTCTCACTCTGTCACCCAGGCTGGAGTGCAGTGGTGCAATGTCTGCTCAGTGCAACCTCTGCCTCCCGGGTTCTCATGCCTCAGTCATCTGAATAGCTAAAATTACAGGTGTGTGCCACCATGCCTGGCTGATTTTTATATGTTTAGCAGAGATGGTTTTTGCCATGTTGGCCAGGCTGGTCTTGAATTCCTGGGCTCAGATGATACCTATGCTTCAGCGTCCCAAAGTGCTGAGATTATAGGCATGAGCCACCGTGCCTGACCGAGTATTTCTTGATGACCGGAAAATTCAAAATATACTCTTCAGAAAAATTGTAAAGAAAAATTCTGTTTTTTGGCATGCAGAAAAGGGGCAATTCTATGACAGAATAGTTCACTGCACTGCTTTGGAATTTAGAATATTCTATTAAATAAGTGAACCTTAAAGAGGCATACCACTTTCAATTCAACATCCCTAATGTGAGACCTTTTTTCTCCCAAGCAGCTCTATTTTCAAAGTTTAGTTGGCTCTTTAGAGCAGCATTATCTTTTAAAATACTGGATATGTACTTAATAGAGGCAGAGTGCATCATTTGAGAGGATGTCTCCAGACATTGGTGTCTCTTTAAATCTGTGCTGCCTGACAAAACAGGCACATAACTCAACACTTGGCTCAACACCATTAGTAGCTCTAACCCTATGTAGTACCACAGTACAGGAAGCATAAAGGATGCAATACAAACCTTCCTCAACTCACTTTCAAAGGAGAGTACTTCGTGCATTTTTCATGCTACTTCTCTTCCATAAGATTTTAATGGACTAAAGTATGTCATGTATATAGAACTCATGATAAAATAGAGACAGGCAATACATGATTGAGGTAGCTGCAGAAATAGAAATTCTTTTAAAATGCACAATCTGAATACACTTTAGCTTGAAATGTAAAAGTGATCTTGCTAAAATGCTTTTTAATAGCACAAGGAGATTCATACCATAAAAAGTTGAAAAGGATTATTCATCCCAAATGGATTATTTATTTTTGAAATGAATATTTATAGAGAGCCTCTGAATTAGTCAGTAATCTTTGCCTTTGTTTAAACACAATTAACAATATGCAAAGTAAGGCAGCGCTTTTTAGAAAATATGTGAGCATAAGTACTACTATTGGCAGTCATTTCAGTAGCTGCACAGTGAGTACATAAAATGAAGAACAACTAACCTGTTATGCTCTTAATTAATGAACACCTGTACACAATGAAAGCATGGCTGGTTTTATGGATGCATGAAAATCTAACCAGGCAATTAATGTTTAATTTAAAATTCATGCTATTGAAAAGGTAGCAGAAAAAAACAACTTATAATAGGCAAATCACAAAAGTGGAGAAGTTGGATTTTCTGTGGATGAACCTTTTCCAACATATTTAAGCCATTTTACCTTTTTTTTTTGGTTGTTTAATTTTTATATGGAAAAAAACTGAACATCTTTTGTATTGTTATTTACTTTTAATGTGATAATTTGATCATGTGGATTTTTTTGGCAATTAAACTTTTAAGTTCACGGGTACATGTGCAGGTTTGTTACATAGGTAAACTTGTGACATGGGGGTTTGTTGTACAGATTATTTCATCACCCAGGTATTAAGCCTTTGAGCACATACCCAGTAATGGGAGTATCGGGTCGAATGTTTTTTCTGTTTTTAGGTCTTTGAGTTGTCGTCACACTTTCTTCCACAATGGTTGACCTAATTTATACTCCCACCAACAGTGTATAAGTGTTCTTTTTTCTCTGCAACCTTGCCAGCATCTGTTATTTTTTGACTTTTTAGTAATAGCCATTGTGACAGGCATGAGATGGTATCTCATTTGCGGTTTTAATGTTATTGCATTTTGTATTTCTCTGAGGATCAGTGATGTTGAGCTTTTTCTCACATGATTGTTGGCCACGTGTATGTCTTCTTTTGAAAAGTGTCTACACATGTCCTTTGCTCACTTTTTAATGGGGCTGTTTGTTTTTTTCTTGTAAATTTGTTTAAGTTCCTTATAGATGCTGGATATTAGACCTTTATCAGATATAGAGTTTGCAAAAATTTTATCATATTCTGTGGGTTATCTGTTTACTCTGTTGACAGTTTCTTTCACTGTGCAGAAGCTCTTAAGTTTAATTAGAACCCATTTGTCAATTTTTGTTTTTGTTGTAATTGCTTTTGTCATCTTCATCATGAAATCTTTGCCTGTTCCTATGACCAGAACAGTATTACCTAGGTTGTTTTCTAGCATTTTGATAGTTTTGTATCTTACATTTAAGTCTTTAATCCATCTTGAGTTAATTTTTGTATACAGTGAAAGGAAGTGGTCCAGTTTCAATCTTCTGCATATGGCTAGCCAGTTATCTCAGCACCATTTATTGAATAGGGTATCCTTTCCCCAGTGCTTGTTTTTGTCAGATTTGTCGAAAATCAGATGGTTGTAGGAGTTAGTTCATATTTCTGCACTCTCTATTCTGTTCCGCTCATCTGTATGTCTGTTTTAGTACCAGTACCATGCTGTTTTGGTTACTGTAGCGCTGTAGTATAGTTTGAAGTTGGGTAACATGTTGCCTCCAGCTTTCTTCTTTTTGCTTAGCATTGCCTTCTCTATTTTGACTCTTTTTTGGTTCATATGAATTTTAAAATAGTTTTAGTAGTTCAGTGAAGAATGTCAATGGTAGTTTAATAGAAATACCATGAACTCTATAAATTGCTTTGGGCAGTATGTTCATTTTAATGATATTGAATCTTTCTATTTTTGAGTGCTAGCGGGTTCCTGGGTGCCTGTCTCCCTGGGGACATTCACCACAGTGGCGGAGGCAATGCAGTTGAGGTTGGGCCTGGAGCGATGGTGGTGGTAGCGGGTGCCTGATGACAACTGTGTGCCTGCTTGCACTGGAGGTGGTGTTGGCTGGGGGCAGGGCACTGACAGGTGCAGGTCTGGGTGCCTTCTCTGCTCTGCAAGCTGGAGGGGTCACTCAAGGTGGGGGAGGATCCGCTGTCATCTGCGCATTCTTAAAGCAAGGGTGGGGTACTTGTTGGGACAGGGCTTGCTGGCTCTGTACCCACTAAGACTCTGTCTGCAACGGTGGTTGGCAGGGGAAGGGGAGCAGACTGTACTACCAGGCGCTGTCAGGGCAAGGAAAGCAAACCCAAATCCCCACCCCTACCCCTAAGCAGACACGCCCAGCAAACTCATGTGGGAGTTGTCCCATGGAGGGATGTCGGGGACGCTGCGGCTGCAGTGTGGGGAAAGACTGTGCAGGCTGGTGAGTGGCCATAGGAGCCGCCCTGCTTAAGCTCTCTGCCTTTCAGTCAGGGTCTGCCAGAGGAGAAGCTATTGTGAGGCCTCTCAAGGCTCCCGAGGGCGCCCTGCAAGCAGGTGTGGCCATACTGAGGCTCGGGGAGAGGCCAGCAGACTAAGGTGTTGCTTAGGTGGGACTGGCCCCATCTGATGGGCAAAACTGCCTTACAGAGTTCAGGACAGACAGAAAGTTCCCCTAGGGCTAAAGTCTCCTATGGAGCAAATCGAACCTAGGGGGATGGCCATCCCTGACCATGCTTCACTACAGATGCTCTTGCACCAAACCCTCTGGGCTCCACATCAGCTGGCTTGCAGCTCCTACCACTTCTGTATGCAGCTCTCCCTGCCAAGTCCAGAGTCCGTGGTGGTCTAGGGGGTCTCCTTCTGCTGGGGTTCCAGAGGCCTGTGGCAAGAGTGGGTTGCTCCTTGCCAGTTCAACTCACCAATTCCCCCAGAGCTGTTGGGGGCCAGAAATAAATCCGGGTGTGCTGTAGCCCCGCGTAGGGGTCCCAACGTTTTCCCCCAATCAGCCCAACCTCTGTGTTTTCCCTCTGTCCACTCTCAGTGCCTTCCCTGTGAAGATCTGTTAGGAGCACTCTAGTCCTCTGGGTCCCTCAGTAGGAGCTGTTCCATTTGTCTTGAGTCTAGTGGGCCATCTTGGGATTTTTTTTTCTTTCTTTTCCCTCCCTCCCTTCCTCCATTCTCCTTCCTTCCTTCCTTCCTTCTGAGAGGGCCATAATATGTTTTAGAGAAAAAGTCAACTGTTTTGAGAGTTTATTTTAATGATTATAAGCTTTGTTTAATTTGTTAGAGGTCAAAAGTCATATTTTTGGTTCAGTTCTATAACTATAATACACAATGGACACAGTTAATTCTTAGTCTTGTATGTATATGTGTATCTGACCTATGTACTGGTGTGTGTAGGGGGACATAAAGGAAAAAATTGTTCCCTTTAAAAATATGACATGCTGAGTACCAGTACCAAACACTGTTCTAGGTTTCAGTATAGGGCAGTGAACATATATGACAAACCTTCATTTTCAGTGCACTTTTATTTGAGACTCATATATTATCATTGAGCATAAAAACATTAGCATTTGTTATTTCTTCCTCCCTATACCTATCCCTGATCCTCCTCTTTCTATTGTTTTCATATTGTTCTTATCAACATTCATGTTTGTGTTCCCCTAAGTAAATGTCTAACCAGATACTTTCTTAATATACAACATTAGAGGGACATAAAAGACCTCAATGAGACTTTGTCCAAAGTCATAAAAATCTACTCAGAAAATTTCTGTATTCCTTATTTCTTTATTTTTCTGCACCTTCCAGGTGATAGGCAAGATATCTTAAAATTCAAATAGAGCTGTTAATTCCTCAGTCATTAGAAACCTTTTATCAGATATGCTTTTTCTAAAAGCTGAGAATAATGTAATGTTTTCAAAGTCAAGGAGCAGATTGGTATTTATTTTACATATAGACTTCAGGAAGGCAGTAGGTCAAGGAAGGGCAATGTTTACTATTTGCAAAGTGTAATTTATATGGGTTTTGTGGTGAAGGGTAACATAAAAGAGTTCTAAGGAAGTACACTGTAATTCAAGTAAAGTATCACTGGAAAAAAAGAAGGTGAACCGATTTATTCTAAATCTTAAGTGTATGCTATATTGAATGAGTATATTATTAGAAGAATAAATGAACTGCTTTAATTTCATGGTAACCTGAAGATGAGTACAAGGATTGGGAGAAAATTGAAGCATTTAGATGACTGTATTTGTGGAAACAGGGAGAAAAAGTTCTGAGAACAAATAAAATGAAATAATTATTTTAAAGAAAATAATTTTATGATGTTTAGGTAAATGAATCAGGACAAATTATGCTAAAGCAAGCAATGGAGCAATCATGGTTAATTCAACTCACTTTCAAGACGATTAGAAGCATACCAAATCCAATCTGACTCTTCCAAATTTTTACCTGCTTCATTTGTGCGGATCATTCGAGATGGGGTGCTTGGATCTCCTGTCCCAATAGGGTTGGTGGCTACCACTCGAAATTCATATTCCACCCAGGGATTTAGGTCCACAGCCATGGCTGACTCCATGTCCCCTGTTATGATTTCTGGGACTATAGAAAGGAAGGAAATTTCATGTCATTATGAGGACTAGAAAAATGCTACAAATGGCAATCAAGAATATTAATGCTACTGACAGAATCAGAAGGCTAATGCATATTTCCTCACGACACGTGGTCATGGTGTCACCTCCAGTGTCATTAGTAAAATGAAAATCAATCTTCAGGGAGTAAGCACTTACATATGTCAAAGTTTGTTGGAGTTAATTAGGACTCTTTCATTTTATCTTTACACAAACCTCACCATTATGTACACTAATAATTATTTCATCAATCCCTCAGCCCCAGATAAGGGGCCAATTAGAACTATAATTTAAACAGTTTTCTTTCATTTTCTAGGAAATTTCTTGAGCAGTTTGCTCTCCCAGTTCTGGCAAACATGTTTAGTCACTTGGTAATTCCAAGCAGCAAATTAAGAATATATCTCTCTAATTTAAAAACACAGTTTGTGATATCTGAGTAGAAACATTGAATTCTTAGAGTGATTTTTGTACTACCTTTACATTTTTGTACTACATTTAAATTTTTGTCAGGGCATAACATTGTTTGTCAATACAATTACCATTAGTGAAGTATTTTTACATGGCATGCATGCTTTATTTGGGACTGCTTTTCTTGTTCACTCATCTCTGCTGTCTAGGAAATGTTTCTAAACATTTGTTACAGGAGTGAAAAGGCAGAATGTGGAGAATCTCCCTTACAGCATGCAAAGATCCTCTGGATTTATATCATTCTTGGATTTCTTTGTAGGCATGGCAGTAGAGCCGGGGTGGGAGTTGGGGATTTTGATTTGAGGACTCAATTCTGTTTTTACCACAGCAAGGTGGAATGAAATCGCCTTGGATTTTCCATGAAAATCTCTTCTGAAAGGTACCAAAAGAATGTTACCAAATAAGTAGCTCTGTGAAAGGTGAATGCTCAGAGCATAGGCAGTGTGAGCTGCCCGACAAATCTCACAGCACTGCAGGGCTGATGTGTTTTTTTAAAGCAGTGACATGAAGACATGGAAAAAAACAAACAAACAAAAAACAACTCTGTTCCCTCTTGCTGCACTGGCAACTGAGCAGTACGCTTGGAGTCTAAGAGGTGGGTGAGGGAAAGGCCACTGTCAGACCACAGCTTGGTGAAATGCCGAGCTATGCTTGACAAACATACAAAAGAGAAGAAGGCATTCCCAGATCATGCTCAGCCTTCTCTAGCCCAGAACCTACACTGTATCACCAACACTTGCATTGGGAGCACCAGGACTTAACATCACTGTTTCATTTACTTATATAAGTCATCTCAAGTAACTCCAGACATCTGGACCATGCTCAGCCCTTTTATTCTAACCTCCTGAGAATTCTGCCAATTTCCTCTTCTGCCCAGCACATATCTCTCCCTCATTCTTGAAGTTCTTCCACTGTGACAGTTGGAATTTATGATCTGTCATTAGCAAAATCCCCTATATACTTAATCTCCTCTCTGGGCATTCCTACAACTTTTTACTCCAATAGAAACTAAAGAAATTTTACCCTTATTAAGGGGTGGACCTCTTAAGATATCACGGAGAAAAAGAACCAGCCCTTTTTTCCTCTCTCTCCCACATCTCTAATGGATGTTTCCCATCAGCATACAAGCATGCAGGTGTTTTTCTCTGAAAAACAAAACTAAGGTCTCTTAACATTTCCTCTCCTTCCAGCCTTCGCTCAGTTTCTCTGACTCTTTTGAGAACTGTTTGTGCTATTACTTACTGTCTGCAATTATTTTTCTTCCATTCTCTTTTGAACCCATGCTATTCAGACTCTTACCTCCAGTTTTCCATCATACTGGCTTCTGTCAAGATTACCAGTGAATGGTCTCTGTTACTGAAACCTTAAGGCCAGATCTCTATTACTCATCTCACTTGAACTATCATCATCCTTTGACACAGTTGATCATCCTTTGAAACACTTTTCAAAACTTAACTTCTGTTTCTCTCCCACCTGACTACGCCTTATCAGTCTCCATTGCTGATTTCGTTTTGTCTTCCTGATGCAAATGGCTCTACTGTTTTCCATTTTCTTATTCCATGGTGATTTATCCAGCCTCATGGTTTTAGATACTCTCTATGCTGTTAACTAATATTTTTAATGAACCTCTTCCCTAGATTTCAGACTCATATGTTCAGTGGCATATTATTAATAGACATTACTATTTGAATAGATTTCTGCGGTATTCTTATACGGGGAATGACAATTGCTTTCTTACAGATGTTGTATCCCAAATCTTCGGGCCGTCCTGGACTCCTTTCTTTCTCCCCTGTCTCACTCCAATCCATTAGAAAATTATGGCATCTATGACTTCAAACTATGTTGATATCTCCACTTATCTTGGCAGAAAGATTTCTTGGAAGAGTTGTCTATATTAATTTTTCTCCTATTGTCTCTGGAACTCATTCTTGATGGACTTTGATGCTGATGCCTACCATTACATAAAAACTGCTATTGTCAAGGTTACCAATGACCTCCATATAGCTAAAACTAATGATCAATTCTCAGTCTTCATTTTACTTGACATCTCAGTAGCATTTGACACAGCTCATTAGGCCCTTTTCTTTGATAGGCTTTATTCCTTTATTTTCCATGGCATGACATTATTTTGGTTTTCCTTTTACCTCAATGATTGCTTTCATTCTGCCGCCTTTGGCTGGTTCTCTTCTCCACAACTTCTTACTGTTACAATGCTCCAGGGTGTTATTTTCATAATTTTTATTCTTTATTTTATACTTACTTTCTTGGAGTTGACATACAGTCTCATATTTTAAATTATTTATATGCCAATAACTTTACGCTAAACCTCTCACTTAAACACCATACTTATATATCCAAATGCCTACCTGAAATCCCATTTGGATGTCTAACAGATACATCAACTTAATGTGTCTCAAATGGAACTCTTTATCTCATTCCTACCCAATCTGTTCCAATTATGAAGGTTTCTCAGGCTTCTCCATGTCACTTAACAGTAACTCCATTCTTAAGTTGGTTAGGTCAAAAATCTTACAGTCATCCTTGAATTCTTTTTCTCTCATACTGTTTACATCCAGTTTTTCAGCAAATGCTGTTGGTTTTACCACCCAAATAGTTTCAAATTCTGACCATTTTTATGACCTCTGTCATAAAAGCATCAGTGACCTGCGTCACCAAGCTTCTGTCACATTGAAGCACCATCATCTCTCAATCATAATAACAGCTTCCTAAATAGTTTAGTCACTCTTCACTTACCCCTCCCATAAGTCTATTTTTTCACATAGCTTGAATGACTGTATTAAAACATAAGACTTAGAAAAGCAATCCTCCGACGTCTTATTTCTCTGACGGTGAAAACCCAAGTACTGTATGATCTGGTCTTGCCAATATCTCTCAAAACTCATCTACATTTCTCCCTAAACCTCATTCTGCTCCTGCCTCACTGATCCTCTAATGCTCTTGCATATCATGTTCCTAATACTTTTGCTCTAGTTGCTCCTTATACCTGGGCTGCCTTCCCCTAGATATTGGGATAGCTAAGTTCATACCTCTTATAAAATTCATGCAAATATACCTTCTCGGTAAGGCATACCCTGACCACTCTATTTCAAATTACAACCTTCCTGCTATGGACTAATGTGTCCTCCTGAAATTCATCTATTAAAGTCCTAACCCCTAATGTGGTTGCATTTGGTGATAGAGCTTCTAAGGAAGTAATTAAAGTTAAATGATGTCATAAGAGTGGGGCTGTGATCTTAGTGTCCTTATAGGATGGGACACTTGAGCTTGCTCACTCTCTCTTTCTCTCTCTCTCTGTGTGTGTGTGTGTGTGTGTGTGTGTGGTTGATTCATGTGAAAACAAAGAAGGCCACTTGATGTTGGAACTCCCAACCTCTAGAACTGTAATAAAGTAAATTTCTGTTGTTTAATCCACTCAGTCCATGGAATTTTGTTATAGCAGCCTGAGTTGACTGATACACTGACCCTGCCATAGTACTTCTGATTCCTCTTACTCCATTTAATTTATTTTCCCCCATAGTACTCATCAACTTCTAAGATACTATATAATTTACTTTCTTATTATGTTCTCTGTTTATTGTTTGTCTTCACCTGTAAGAATACAGTCTTCACAAGGGCAAGGATTTATTTATTTGGTGTTGTTCATTGATACACTGCATGTGCCTAGAACACTTCCTAAAAGGCGCTTGGTAAACTTTTATTAAATGAATGAGAGTTCAAATTGCCTAGTGTGATCAGAATTGGCAATATTAATTAATTCTGCTTGAATCTTGATGTAATTATTATAAGCTTTATGTAAAATACATATAAAAATAATCTTCCTTCCAAAGTTATGCATATTTATATCCTCTTGGTCATAACTAGAGATTTTAAAGACTCCCTTTCCAAGTCCATATCCTTTCCACCACCCTTCATTCCTCTCTTTAAAGTGAAAAAAAAAAAAAAAGATTTGGAAATTCTAAATTCCCTGTTGCTTGTAAGAGATATAAAATAATTATAAGTATTAATTGAAGGTATTATTATTTTTGGTGAAATATAATGCAATATGAAAGAAAGTAAAAACTTTCTCTTTTATACAATTAGGGTTTTGATTTGAAATGCAATATTATGGAGATTAAGGATAATGGAGGATTTATACCAAAGTAAGTATTTTAAAAGTCTTGCAGCATCTTTTTATAAAGTTATTATTTCCAGAACTTTAGGGACAACTTGGTTTCAAAGAAAACATTGTGCATCAGAGAGAACATGACAGCAACGAAAGACAGTGGAAGACCTTATAGTGACTCAGGGAAAGCATCTTTTTGAACTGCCTTTCCAAGCAAAAGAATCACATCTAAGACTGTTTATTTTGAGACAAGATCTCCTTCTGTTGTCCAGGCTCGTCTCAATCTCCTGGCCCTAAGTGATCCTCCCACCTCAGGATGTCCCAAAGTGCTGAGACCACAAGTATGAGCCACCCAAATCCAGCCACCAATTTAATTAATAAAATACCAAATAAATCTGTTCAGTTGAAAAATGTAACCAATCTGTGCAAAACATATCCACAGATAGAAGACATATCCACTGATAGAATATTTAAGAAGCATATCTGAGTTAAGTAAACAAAGACCAATGAATTCTATGATTATAGGCAATTTTATATTCCTAAGTAGACATAATCAAAAACTATGTCAGCTAATGCTTCTCAGTAATATAAAAAAGAAAGTCAGGTTTCTAAGTCAAAAGCCATTTGCTTGAGTGGAAAAGAGGTCTGCAAGTGAGATGTTATGGCTGTTTGCATACTTTTTTCAAAATAAACAAGTTATTCCCATTTACATTTTAGTCTCATTTGCAGGAGGCGGTATTCATACGTTAAATCCAAGATGTGCTCAGCTAGAGGGTTCATGTGGAACCTCTCACTTCATTTGCCAAAAATGAGACATTATTTTTTATGCTCATTTTGGTATATTTTAAATGCTTTTCAAGTAGTAGATTATCAATTGCATTAACTGTGTCAGCGAGTTTAAACTCCAGATTCATTTTTTTTCTAATGGATATTGTTAAATTAGAGTTAATTTTGATTGAAATTAATTTAGAATGAGGGAGCAACTATGAAACCAAAAGGCCCATGACCTAGTGGAGCTGGTGTGGCTCCAGAGAGACTTATTTCCCCATCACAGGCATGAAAGAAATTGTGAGAATGAGCATGGTACTAAAACCAGGAAGCATCTAAAAGAGCTATTTTGGAGCATGCAAACCTTGTGGACAGCTCCTCATCAGGCTTTCCCTGAGGACAGCATGCCTCTGCCAATAGCTGCAATTAATGGTGCGTTTTGGAGAAATGAGTTAGAAGAGGACACATCTAGTGATAGCCCTAGCACCATGAAGGGTAAATACAATTGATCACTTGCAGAAATCGTTTTCTGAAGGAAAACTTTTGTATAAGTACAGCACAATTCTTGGGTTTTTAGAAGTGTTGTTCTTGCTGAATTGAATTAAAAAAGAACTCTGAAAAATATCACCATCAAAAAGTGGGCAAAGGATATGAGCAAACACTTCTCAAAAAAAGACATTTATGTGGCCAACAAACATATAAAAAAACCCCACAACATCACTTATCATTAGAGAAATGCAAATCAGAATTACAATGAGATACCATCTCATGCCAGTCAGAATGGCGATTACTAAAAAGTCAAGAAAAAACAGATGTTGGTGAGGCTGTGGAGAAATAGGAACACTTTTATACTGTTGGTGGGAATGTAAATTAGCTCGACCCTTGGGGAAGACAGTGTGGTGATTTCTCAAGGATCTAGAACCAGAAATACCATTTGACCCAGCAATCGCATTACTGGGTACATACCCAAAGGAATACAAATCATTCTACTATAAAGATACATGTACACATATGTTTATTGCAGCACTATTGACATTAGCAGAGACATGGAAGCAACCCAAATGCCCATAAATAATAGACTGGATAAAGGAAATGTGGCACATATACACCACGGAGTATTATGTAGTCATGAAAAAAGAATGAGTTCACATCCTTTGCCAGGACGTGGATGAAACTGGAAGCCATCATCCTCGACAAACTAACACAGGAACAGAAAACCAAATGCCACATGTTCTCCCTGATAAGTGGGAACTGAAAAATGAGGACACATGGACACAGGGAGAGAAACAACACATACTGGGGTCTGTCAGGGGATGAGGGGAGGAGAGAGCATCAGGACAAACACCTAATGCATGTGGGGCTTAAAACCTAGATGACAGGTTGATAGGCACAGCAAACCACCATGGCACCCATATACCTGTGTAACAAACCTGCACGTTCTGCTCATGTATTGCAGAACTTAAAGTAAAATAAAAATTTAAAAATATTTCTAGCATTCAAATAATATTAGAAAGATAAAGATGCAACTTTACAGTAGGGACTTCTAAAACAAACACAAAAATAATTCAAATGCCTAAATCCTCCACATACATGATTATGTATGTTTTTATATACATATATATATACACACATATGTATATATATAAACAAAAAGTAAAAACAGGTGAACTGAGAAAGAAAACCATAGGTGAGAATCAGAACATAAGTGTAACTAGCGAAGCATGGATGTAGCAGGTAGAAGATAGGTACTGGATTGCTATGGGCATAGGATGAGTAGTAAAACACACATGTATTGCAATGTATCCACAAGGAAAACCTCTCCAAAAGTAAGCTGCATGGATAGTGTGGCAAGAGCAGACAGGGAGCATGGCTGTAGGCAAGAGGATGAATTAGATGAGTGCACAACACCAGATCTGAAGGTGAGGTCATCTCCTGGCTGCAGAGCCAAAGATTTAAGCTGTCATACTAAGAATAAGATTGAAGCACAGGGTTGAAGGTTATAAGAATTTTTGAGTAAATCTGCTCATGTGGTTTAAATGTGTCCTTCCTGAATTAACTACCATACCTAGAAATTCTCCAATTTTGAGGTCTTTAAAGGTATCACAGGGTTATAATGGATCCAGGAATGAGGCTGATATGAGCAATTATCTATAATACAAAATAAATATGTATATATGCATAATAAATATGTTTATAGACACTATAATGATCAAACTGAGGTCTAACAATGCAGGAGCCTAAATATCAAATAAATTCTGAATTAAATTCTGCATATAGATAAACAAATTTTCTCCTTCTGATATTACAGTGTTTCATACAAAAACTCAAATTTCATTTACCTACACAATAAAATGAACCACTTTACCCTCATAATATTCTGGTTGAGTTTTAAGGTTACTGCGTGCAAATATTTTACTGATTTCTATATTTCAAAACAGGTCAATAGAGGTCATTAGAGTTTAAAACAAAAACACAGTTGTTACTCAGTATGGACAATTGCTTCTAAAGATTCTCTTCTGTAGACTTACTGTACACTTTTCAAATACCAGTATGTTAAATAAGTGTCTAGTAACTATCCAGTAAGTGTGATTTTACATATCCCTGCTGGACAGCCACATTTGGAGAGAGATGGGAAGTTGTAAAATGAAAAGAAAATGATTAGAGATGAAAAAATTTTTAAAATAATGCAACTATAATGCAAACATCTTGGAAGTAGGCATTAAAATGCTGTGCAGTGTAATTTTATATCAGATTTTCTTTTTTTTATTATACTTTAAGTTCTGGGATACATGTGTAGAACGTGCAGGTTTGTTACATAGGAATACACATGCCATGGTGGTTTGCTGCACCCATCAACCCGTCATCTACATTAGGTATTTCTCCTAATGCTATTCCTCCCCTAGGACCCCACTCCCTGGCAGGCCCCAGTGTGTAATGCTCCCCTCCCTGTGTCCATGTGTTTTCCTTGTTCAACTTCCACTTATGAGTGAGAACATGTGGTGTTTGGTTTCTGTTCCTGTGTTAGTTTGCTGAGAATGATGGTTTCCAGCTTCATCCATGTCCCTGCAAAGGACATGAACTCATCCTTTTTTATGGCTGCATAGTATTCCATGGCATATATGTGCCACATTTTCTTCATCCAGGCTATCATTGATGGGCATTTGGGTTGGTTCCAAGTCTTTGCTATTGTGAATAGTGCTGCAGTAAACATACATGTTCATGTGTCTTTATAGTACAGTGATTTATAATCCTCTGGATATATACCCAGTAATAGGATTGCTGGGTTAAATGATATTTCCAGTTCTATATCCTTGAGGAATCACCACACTGTCCTCCACAAAGGTTGAACTAATTTACACTCCCATCAACAGTGTAAAAGTATTCCTATTTCTCCACATCCTCTCCAGCATCTGTTGTTTCCTGACTTTTAATGATCGCCATTCTAACTGGCATGAGATGGTTTTGTGGTTTTGATTTACATTTCCCTAATGACCAGTGATGATGAGCTTTTTTTCATACATTTGTTGGCTGCATAAATGTCTTCTTTTGGGGAAGTGTCTGTTCATATCCTTTGCCCACTTTTTGATGGGGTTGTTTTTTTCTTGTAAATTTGTTTAAGTTCTTTGTAGATTCTGGATATTAGCCCTTTGTCAGATGGATAGATTGCAAACATTTTCTCCCATTCTGTAGGTTGGCTGTTCACTATGATGATAGTTTCTTTCACTGTGCAGAAGATCTTTAGTTTAATTAGATCCCATTTTCCAATTTTGGCTTTTGTTGCCATTGCTTTTGGTGTTTTAGTAATGAAGTTTTTGCCCATGCCTATGTCCTGAATGGTATTGCCTAGGTTTTCTTCCAGGGTTTTTATGGTTTTAGGTCTTACGTTTAAGTCTTAAATCCATCTTGAGTTAATTTTTGTATAAGGTGTAAGGAAGGGGTCCAGTTGCTGTTTTCTGCATATAGCTAGTCAGTTTTCCCAATACCATTTATTAAATAGGGAATCCTTTCCCCATTTCTTGTTTTTGTCAGGTTTGTCAAAGATCAGATGGTTTTACATGTGTGGTGTTATTTCTGAGGTCTCTGTTCTGCTCCATTGGTCGGTATCTCTGTTTTGGTACCAGTACCATGCTGTTTTGGTTACTGTAGCCTTATAGTAGAATTTGAGTTCAGGTAGCGTGATGCCTCCAGGTTTGTTCTTTTTGCTTAGGATTGTCTTGGCTATGCGGGCTCTTTTTTGGTTCCACATGAAATTTAAAGTAGTTTTTTATAATTCTGTGAAGAAAGTCAATGACAGCTTGATGAGGAGAGCATTGAATCTATTAATTACTTTGGGCAGTATGGCAGTTTTCATGATATTGATTCTTCCTATCCAAGAGCATGGAATGTTTTTCCATTTGTTTGTGTCCTCTCTTATTTCCTGGAGCAGTAGTTTGTAGTTCTCTTTGAGGAGGTCCTTCACATCCCTTGTAAGTTCTATTCCTAGGTATTTTATTCTGTTTGTGGCAATTGTGAATGGGAGTTCACTCATGATTTGGCTCTCTGTTTGTCTATTATTGGTATATATGAATGCTTGTAATTTTTGCCCATTGATTTTTGTATCCTGAAACTTTGCTGAAGTTGCTTATCAGCTTAAGGAGGTTTTGGGCTGAGACAATGGGGTTTTCTAAATATACAGTCATGTCATGTGCAAACAGAGACAATTTTACTTCCTCTCTTCCTATTTGAATACCATTTATTTCTTTCTCTTGCCTGATTGCCCTGGCCAAAACTTCCGATACTATTTTTAATAGAAATGGTGATGGAGGGCATCCTTGTCTTGTGCCAGTTTTCAAAGGGGATGCTTCCAGTTTTTGCCCATTTAGTATGATATTAGCTGTGTGTTTATCCTAAATAACTCTTACTATTTTGAGATATGTTCCATCAGTACCTATTTCATTGAGAGTTTTTAGCATGAAGCGTTGTTGAATTTTATTAAACTCCTTTTCTGCATATATTGAGATAATCATGTGGTTTTTGTCATTGATTCTGTTTATGTGATGGATTATGTTTATTGATCTGCATATGTTGAACCAGCCTTGAATCCCAGGGATGAAGCTGACTTGATCATTTTGGATAAGCTTTTTGATGTGCTGCTGGATTTGAATTGCCAGTATTTTATTGAGGATTCTCCCAGTGATATTCACCAGGGATATTGGCCTGAAATTTTCTTTTTTTGTTGTGCCTCTGTCAGGTTTTGGTATCAGGATGATGTTGGCCTCTTAAAATGAGTTAGGGAGGAGTCCCTCTTTCTCTAATGTTTGGAATAGTTTCAGAAGGAATGGTACCATCTCCTCTTTGTACCTCTGGTAGAATTCGGCTGTGAATCTGTCTGGTCCTGGGCTTCTTTTGGTTGGTAGGCTATTAATTACTTCCTCAGTTTCAGAACTTGTTATTGGTTTATTCAGGGATTCAAATTCTTCTTGGTTTATTCTTGGGAGGGTATAGATGTCCTGGAGTTTATCCATTTCTTCTAGATTTTCTAGTTTATTTGCAAAGAGGTGTTTACAGTATTCTCTGGTGGTAGTTTGTATTTCTGTGGGATCAGTAGTGATATCCCCTTTATCATTTTTTATTGTGTCTATTTGATTCTTCTCTCTTTTCTTCTTTATTAGTCTGGCTAGTGGTTTATCTATTTTGTTAATCTTTTCAAAACACCAGCTCCTGGATTCATTGATTTTTTGAAGGGTTTTTGTTTCTCTATCTCCTTCATTTCTATTGTGGTCTTAGTTATTTCTTGTCTTCTGCTAGCTTTTGAATTTGTTTGCTCTGACTTCTCTAGTTCTTTTAATTGTGATTTTATGGTGTTGAATTTAGATCTTTCCCGCTTTCTCCGGTGGGCATTTAGTGCTATAAATTTCCTTCTAAACACTGCTTTAAATGTGTCCCAGAGGTTCTAGTATGTTGTCTCTTTGTTCTCATTGATTTCAAAGAACTTATTTATTTCTGCCTTAATTTCATTATTTACCCAGTAGTCATTCAGGAGCAGGTTTTTCAGTTTCCATGTAGTTGTGTGGTTTCGAGTGAGTTTCTCAATCCTGAGTTCTAGTTTGATTGCACTGTGGTGTGAGAGACTGTTTGTTATTACTTCCATTATTTTGCATTTGTTGAGGAGCGTTTTACTTCCAATTATGTGGTCAGTTTTAGAATAAGTGTGATGTGATGCTGAGAAAAATGTACATTTGTTGATTTGGGGTGGAGAGTTCTGTAGATGTTTATTAGGTCTGCTTGGTCCAGAGCTGAGTTTAAGTCCTGAATATCCTTGTTAATTCTCTGTCTTGTTCCTTTGTCCAATATTGATAGTGGGGTGTTAAAGTCTCCCACTATTATTGTGTGGGAGTCTAAGTCTCTTTGTAGATCTCTAAGGACTTGCTTTATGAATATGGGTGCTCCTGTATTGGGTGCATATATATTTAGGATAGTTAGCTCTTCTTTTTGCATTGATCCCTTTACCATTATGTAATACCCTTCTTTGTCTTTTTTGATCTTTGTTGGTTTAAAGTCTGTCTTATCAGAGACTAGGATTGCAACCCCTGCTTTTTTTTGCTCTTCATTTGCTTGGTAAATCTTTCTCCATCCCTTTATTTTGAGCCTATGTGTGACTTTGCAAGTGAGATGGGTCTCCTGAATACAGCACACTGATGGGTCTTGACTCTTTATCCAATTTGCCAGTCTGTGTCTTTTAACTGGGGCATTTAGCCCATTTATATTTAAGGTTAATATTGTTATGTGTAAATTTGATCCTGTTATTATGATGCTAGCTGGTTATTTTGCCTGTCAGTTGATGCAGCTTCTTCATAGTGTTGATGGTCTTTACAATTTGGTATGTTTTTGCAGAGGCTGTATGGGTTTTTTCCTTTCCATATTGAGTGCTTCCTTCAGGATCTCTTGTAAGGCAGGCCTGGTGGTGACAACATCTCTCAGCATTTGCTTATCTGTAAAGGATTTTACTTCTCCTTTGCTTATAAAGCTTAGTTTGGCTGGATATGAAATTCTGGGTTGAAAATTCTTGTCTTTAAGAATGTTGAATGTTGAATGTTGGCCCCCACTCTCTTCTGGCTTGTAGAGTTTCTGCTGAGAGATCCACTGTTAGTCTGATGGGCTTCCCTTTGTGGGTAACCTGACATTTCTCTCTGGCTGCCCATAACATTTTTTCCTTCATTTCAACCTTGGTGAATCTGATGATTATGTGTCTTGGGGTTTCTCTTCTTGAGGAGTATCTTTGTGGTGTTCTCTCTATTTCCTGAATTTGAATGTTGGCCTGTCTTCCTAGGTTGGGGAAGTTCTCCTGGATAATATCCCTAAGAGTGTTTTACAACTTGGTTCCCATCTCCCTGTCACTTTCAGGTACACCAGTCAAACGTATATTTGGTCTTTTCACATAGTGCCATATTTGCTGGAGGCTTTGTTTGTTCCTTTTCATTCTTTTTTCTCTAATCTTGTCTTCACACTTTATTTCATTAAGTTGATCTTCAATTTCTGATATCCTTTCTTCAGCTTGATTGATTTGGCTATTGATACTTCTGTATGCTTCACAAAGTCCTCGTGCTGTGTTTTTCAGTTCCATCAGGTCATTTATGTTCTTCTCTAAACTGGTTATTTTAGTTAGTAATTCATCTAACCTTTTTTCAAGGTTCTTAGCTTCCTTGCATTGGGTTAGAACATGCTCCTTTAGCTTGGAGGAGTTATTACCCACCTTCTGATGCCTGCTTCTGTCAATTCATCATATTCATTCTCCGTCCAGTTTTGTTCCCTTGCTGGCGAGGAGTTGTGATCCTTTGGAGGAGAAGAGGTGTTCTGGTTTTTGGAATTTTCAGCCTTTTTGTGCTGTTTTTTCCTCATCTTTGTGGATTTATCTATCTTTGGTCTTCGATGTTGGTGACCTTTGGATGGGGTTTCTGTGTGGACATTCTTTTTGTTAATGTTGATGCTATTCCTTTCTGTTTGTTAGTTTTCCTTCTAATAGTCAGGTCCCTCTGCTGCAGGTCTGCTGGAGTTTGCTGGAGGTCCACTTCAGACCCATTTTGCCTGGGTATCACCAGCAGAGGGTGCAGGACAGCAAAGATTGCTGCCTGTTTCCTCCTTGAAGCTTAGTCCCATAGGTGCACCCACCAGATGCCAGCCAGAGCTCTCCTTTATGAGGTGTCGGTGACAACTCCCTGCTGGGAGTTGTGTCCCAGTCAGGAGGCATGGGGGTCAGGGACCCACTTGAGGAGGCAGTCTGTCCCTTAGCAGGGCTTGAGCGCTGCGCTGGGAGATCTGCTGCTCTCTTCAGAGCTGGCAGGCGGGAACGTTTAAGTCTGATGAAGCTGTGCCCACAGCTGCCCCTTCCCCCTGGTGCTCTGTCCCAGGGAGATGGGAGTTTTATCTATAAGCTCCTGACTGGGGCTGTTGTCTTTCTTTCAGAGATGCCCTGCCCAGAGAGGAAGAATCTAGAGAGGCAGTCTGGCTACAGCAGCTTTGCTGAGCTGCGGTGGGCTCTGCCCATTGCAGACTTCCAGGTGGCTTTGTTTACACTATAAGGGTAAACCACCGACTCAATCCTCAGTAATGGTGGACACCCCTCCCCTGACCAAGCTCAAGCATCCCAGGTCAACTTCAGACTGTTGAGAATTTCGTGAATCTTATAGCTTGCTGGGCTCCATGGGGGTGGGATCTGCTGAGCTAGACCACTTGGCTCTCTGGCTTCAGCCCCCTTTCTAGGGGAGTGAATGGTTCTGTCTCACTGGCATTCCAGGCACAGCTAGGGTATGAAAAAACACTCCTGCAGCTAGCTGGATGTCTGCCCAAATGGCTTCCCAGTTTTCTGCTTGAAACCCAGGGCCCTGGTGCCATAGGCACCTGAGGGAATCTCCTGGTCTGTGGGTTGTGAAGACTCTGAGAAAAGTGTAGTATCTGGGCTGGTGTGCACTGTTCCTCATGACACAGTCTCTCACAGCTTCCCTTGGCTAGGGGAGGGAATTCTCCGACCCCCTATGCTTCCTGGGTGAGGCAATGCCCCATGCTGCTTCAGCTTGCCCTCCATGGGCTGCACCCACTGTCTAACCAGTCCCAATGAGATGAGCTTAGTACCTCAATTGGAAATGCAGAAATCACCCACCTTCTGCGTTGATCTCATTGGGAACTGCAGACCAGAGCTATTCCTATTCAGCCATCTTGCCAGCTGAATAGATTTTCTTTTTATAAATAAAAGAGATGTATGACTAGAAAGGAGTAGCAAAAGGAACTGAGCTAATGAAACTGATCTATATCCTGATTGTCTTGATGGTTACTTGAGTCTACATAATAAAATTTCATAGAATCTCATATAAGTACACACTAAAACAATTGCATATCAAAACTAGTGAGATCCTAATAAGGTCTGAATCTTAGTTAACATCAATTCACCAACATCATCTCCTGATTTGGTAATTGTACTATGGTTATGTAAGATTTTATCATGGCAGGAAGCTGGGGAGTGGGTCCACAGGAACTCTGTACTATTTTTGCAACTTATATGTGAGTTTAAGGTTATTTCAACAAACAAATAAGCCAACATGATATAGTTCCTCTTTGGGAACTGAAAAGAGGAAAGCAAGGTACCTTGCTCTTCTCAGGTTCATAAAAAGAAGCAAAGAATTGTCAATATTGTAAGAAATAACAAAGAGATTTCAGAATCCAAAAAAATCATAGTAAGACCTTAGCCAAATATAGCTTATGAGATAGAAGGCCACTCTGGTTATATCTGATGTTGCTTTAGTGCCTCTTACCTGTCTTTACTGTTTGCCAGCCCAGGGAAAATGGGCTGCGAGCTTGAAGGTTGTAGGAGGAGATTGGGCTGTGGTTGTCAGCTGCTGGGCTCCAGGACAGTGTGGCCGTACTTTCGGTTATTTCCTCAACAATTACTATCCCAGGTGGGCCTGGGGGTCCTATAGGTCAAAGGCAATGGATAAAGTTAAGCACAAATTATTATCAGGAGCCATGAGAAATTATATTTCCAATATGTAGCACATCCAACTATGTAATCACCTTAATGAAATATGAATTTAGTAATTAAAATTGACAACAAAAAGTCATGGATGCAAGTTGGAGTCTAGGATTTCTGGGGGAAACTTAATTGTAGATTTGATTTCTTTCTGCTACTTTGTGCCCAGAGGCAGTTACCAATTAGCATTATATTTTATAGAAAAAGAAAAAATAATGAGAAACAAACACAAAGATGTGAATGCCAGTATCAAATGCAGCTGCTGAAATCAATCAGTTTACAGAGGCAGCAACAGAAAATGATAGGCAGTGCTACAGAGACAAAAAAAAAATCTCATCCTTACTAAAATACTACAAGTGGCTAGAGCTAATGTTCATGTTCAGAGAACATACAATGTACAAGCCCTATGATGTGTACTATCAAGTACACATAGCTTAGACTCTAACAGGGGAGGTGCAAAAGGTTCTGAAATAATGATAGTATAGACAAGGTAAGGACATATGCCAGACCTGAGACATACATAAAGTTCTGTAGGGAGTTCAAAGGAGACTGTGATCTATGATTAGCTTCCTTTTTTCCTTGGTAGGAGTGGGGAGGTAGTGAATAAAGGAGGATTAATTCCCTTTTGATTATGAAAGAATGGTATAGAATATTATTGACTAATCTGTGTGCATATGGACTTCATCTTTAAGAACGAATTATAACCAGATTTGAGGAGAAATGTGCCATTGTGTTTTTATTTCTAGTGGTGATTTTGAATAGTATTTTAAAAATGCACAGGTATT
The DNA here is from genome assembly GCF_000001405.40 of Homo sapiens. NCBI lineage: Eukaryota > Metazoa > Chordata > Mammalia > Primates > Hominidae > Homo > Homo sapiens. Next base: position 100,254,918 of record NC_000011.10, on the reverse strand, counting down.
TATATTTTAGTGGCTACAAAGCAATGCCAGTTCTTCCATTCCATAGTATGGACAATTAAAGTCACAATAATGTTTTATTTTGAATTTCAAAAACTTAAGTATTTTAAGTATTTTCTGAGTTGGTCTTTATGTACAAATGCTCTCTGGATTTGTTGATTAAGAGACATGAGCTAAACCCTAAGAAATGGTTGCATGCTGAACAGATGGAGGAGTTGGTGAAGACCTTTGAATAGAGAGTATCAACAATACAGCTTCAGTAAGATGGAGAAAAAGTTTAAAAGCCTCATTGGGGCAAATGACATTTTTAGAAAATAAGGAACGAACTTTTTTTGTTGTCGTTGTTACCTGAGAAGAACCACCAGCAGATGCAAGAGACTAAAGATATAGAAGATAGAGACTATTCTATCAGGAAGGTGACCGAAAGTTGGAATCGTGGGCAAAGGTCTAGAGGGCAACCTTGAGAAGAAATGACAATTTTTTCCTCTAAGATAAATGAAGGAAGCAAAATAATTAAAGTTTTCGAGATGGTAAGGGGAAACGTTGAGAGAACTCATTTTGGAAGGTACTCATTTTTTAAACTTAAGAATATAATACTGTCTACAAGAGTTAGGGTGATTGCGGGAAATTAGATTGGGGGCTGGAGGATATAACAGGAAAGTTTTGGAATAGCACATGATAAAAGTGAAAGGGTGCAATGAAGAGAAAATACAAATATTCTAGAATAGTACTAGAGTTCAAATTTGGTTAGACGGTATCATTTTGAAGTGAAACTGACCAATTCAGTAAAGATAGGAAAGTCAGGACCAAGACCAGGAAAGCAGTCAGTAGGGTCCATTCAGGCTTGGGAGTTTGTAATTCTGATATTGTTTATCATCAAATATGACAATGCTGTGGGTAACCATGGAGTCAAGTCAGAGGAAGCCAGAATGGGGCTGACAGACTAGAATAAAAAAAAGGAGTCAAGGAGACTGGATTGTTATGGGAGGAAAATATAAGAGTAGGAATTGTGTTGCAAGAGAAAATTGACAGATTTGTGATTTTAGAGGTAGGGTGGTTTTGAGTAAGAAGTTGGTTTTTGTTTATCTAAAGCAAAGTTGAGAATATTATTACAGGGTTTATAAGGTCTAGGATTTATGAAAAAATATGTCTATTGCATCACCCAATATCAATGTTGAAGCCACTAAAATAGCGACTAAGGATAAGGTAAAGAAAATAAATGAGATCCAGGTGTTGAAGAAGATGTCTAACAAGTTTTTAGACTGTGGTGACAGGAATGTAGAGGAGCATCTACAATACATTATAATGATTTAATAGTGAGAAGAATATTAACTATAATAATACTAATAGCTGTGATAATCTCACTGTATTGTACTGTATTAAGGTGCTTACTAAGTGTTTGCAAACATTAAATTGTTCATTTACTTCTTCGTCACTGGGAGGTGGGCATTGTTATCCCCATTTCATAGAGGAGGTAATAGAATCTCAAAGAGATTACTTAGTTAATAAATAATAATAAATTATTTAGTCAATAACCTTATTATATGTTAAGTTTTATGGTAGGCACTGGGTATCAGAGAGTTCATTCTAATGAGAAGTTATTTGCTCAAATCACTCTGCTAGGGAACAGCACAGCTGAGATTTAAATTTGGATGTGATTGTAAATCCTAATTTGTGGAAGGAAGCAAGGAGTACAGAGACCTTTACTGTTTTCACTGTTAATTTAGAAAGTATCTTCAACTGAAGAAAGAAAGAGAAAAAGTATGTGTTAGGGAACACATACAGCCACACTTTATGTTGTAGAGATAGAGATGGCATTTGAAGAAAGCATTAATCACTTTGTGTCTGCCTGTGTGTAAGGTGGCCACTATCACTTCCTTTACTCCCTGAACATGCAAGCCATTCTGCCATTGAACGGTGGAGTCAATTTTTTCACCTCCTTAAATCTGAGCTGGCCTGTGACTGTTTGACTCAGTAGACAATGGTAGAAATGACTGTGTGTGAATTTTGAGTTGAGGTTAAGCTTTGCATCTTTACCACAGGTTTCCTGGAATGCTTTTTATAGGAAAAGACAGTTGTCAGTCCAATTACATGGAAATTGCCATTCTGTGAAGAAGTCCAAATTAGCTATTTAGAGAGGTCTGTGGAGAGAGAGATCCAACTTGCATCCAGCTATTCTAGCCATCCAAGTCCAGGCACCAGACATGTCAGTGAAGAGGCCTTCAGATCAGACCTCATTAGGGAAAGAACAGTCTTTTCAATAAATGGTTCTGGAAAAATTGGATGTTCACATGCAGATGAATGAAACTAGACTTCTCACCCCTCACCTCATACAAAAATCAATTCAAAATGTATCAAAGAGCTAACTATAAGACCAGAAACAATAAAACTACTAGAAAAAAATATAGAGGAAGTGCTTCAGGACCTTGGTTTTGGAAAAGATTTTATGAATAAGATCTCAAAAGCACAGGCAACAAAAGCAAAAATAAACAAATAGGATTATACCAAACTAAAAAGCTCCTCACAGCAAAAGAAATAATCAACAGAATGAAAGGACAACTCGCAGAATGGAAGAAAATATTTGCAGACTATTCACGTGAAAGGGGATTAATGTGCAGCATATATGAGGAACTCAAACATTTCAACAGCAAATAGACAAACAACGCTATTAAAAAACAGTCACATCTGAAAAGACATTTATCAAAAGAAGACACACAAATGACCACAAATATATGAAAGAAATGGTCAGCATCACTGATAATCAGGGAAATGCAAATCAAAACCACCATGAGGTATCATCTCACCCCAGTTAGGACGGCTATCATCAGCAGGACAAAAATAACGATTGTTGGTGAGAATGTGGAGAAAAAGGAAGTCTTACACACTATTGGTGGGAACGTAAACTAGTATAGCCACTATGGAGAACAGTACAGAGGATCCTCAAAAAACTACAAAGAGAACTGCCATGTGATCCCGCAATTCCACTATTATGCATGTATCCAAAGAAAAGGAAGTCAGTATATCAGAGACTTCTTTACCCTTATGTTTATTGCAGCATTATTCACAATAGCCAAGATATGGAATCAACCTAGGAGTCCAACAACAGATGAATGGATAAAGAAAATGTGATATATATACACCATGGAATACTATTCAGCCATAAAAAGAATGTAATTCTGTCATTTGTGGCAACATGGATGGAAATGGAGGACATTATGTTAAGTGAAATAAGCCAGGAAGAGAAAGTTAAACACCACATGTTCTCACTTATATGTGAAAGCTAAAAAAAAGGATCTCATAGAAGTAGAAAGGACAGAGGACATTAGAAGCTGGGAAGGGAAAGGGGGAGAATAGCATAGGGAGAGATTTGTTAAAGGATACAAAAGTACAGCTAGACAGAAGGAATAAGTTCTAGGGCTATAGACCACTGTAGGATGACTATAGTTAACAATATCCATAGTTTTAAATAGCAAGAATGAGGATATTGAATGTTCCCAACACAAAGAAAAGATAAATGTTTAAGATGATGAATATGCTAATTACCTTGATCTGATCACTGTACAGTATATGTACCAAAGCATCACTATGTACATCCTGGGATACATACAATTATTATTTGTGAATTAAAAAAATAAACAAAAGAAGCTTTCAGATGACTCCAGCTTCAGCCAGCATCTACATGAGAAAATCGAGCAAGAATTGCCTGGCCTGTCAGCTGCTAAAATCATGACAGAAAATAACAGATTGATGTTTTAAGCTAATAAGTTTTGGGGCAGCAATGGCTAACTGGAACTTGCCTAAAGAGTGTTTTCATCAGTATGAAACTCTGTCAGGAGGACCCTCAAATATTATGAAAAAGACTTGAAATTTAGCTAACGTGTCCATATAGGAATAATTGCCAACAAACTCATTTATTAAGCTCTTCTATGTTGTTACATTTATTCTGTTTCATTCCCTCCATTCTATTTATTCATCTCTTCAAAGAGCATTTAACAACCGCCTATGTGCAAGGCTCAGTGGGAGACACTGTGGAAGACAACTCTTTGTTAATTTAAATAAAATAATTTGCCTCTCTGAGTATTAAAGTTCTATGAAAATGTTTAAATTAGCCATCTTAAAGAAGGGTATATTGCTTTCATAATAGGTAATAATTAAATAATTTTTAAACTTTCAGCTGGAACAAAAGATATAATTTACAACATAATAAATCCTCTTTATTCTTTTTGATATTTGTCTATTTGCCCAAATATGGTTCTTAGAAAATAATTAGTGAGAGGGACAAAGATTTATATAACCAAGGTACTGATTGTGGCTGTGTAATTATTTATAATTATAAACCATTGTAAACAACAAATTGCCCAATAATCACGTAATGTTTAAATTCTAAATTCTTATAATGAAATATTAGGCAGCCATTAAACTGCCTATTTATTTTTCTGTAACTTCCACTTATCTGAACGTCCAACATGGTACTTGACATACAATTAGACCCTCAATAAATATTTGTAGAAGGAAAGATGAAGAAAGGGAAAAAAAGAAGGAAAAATAAATAAAGGAAGAAAGGATAGAGGAGTTATATTTTGAGTGTGGAATGTTGTATAACAATTAACAAGTAAAAGAATGTTTTAAAATATAATTATATTAGACGGAGATGCGATTTAAGTTTCATTTTTGTTAAATCAAACTATATTTGGGTTAACAGGGTTTTTTTTCATCCAAGTTTAGAGTGGTAATAAAAATGACAGACAAGCTCCATGAATGAAGAAAATAATCCTTTCATATGATTTAATAATAAGGATGATCCTTATTAGAAACTGAGAGCGTTATAGCCTCTGGACAGCTAACTTTTCTAAATGATGGTAAATCTGAAATACTTTTATGAACATATTAACGTACAGATATTCTGAATAATTGGCAGCGTGATTTACCTTCTAAGAGACATTAAATTTTAACCATAAAAAGGTGAAAACAAGATTTACTGTTATAATATTAGAATTGGCTTATCGATACTTTATTTCTGAAAAAATATTTTTATACATCATATACTGAATGCTGCCTGGCATAAGCTTCTTGTATATATTTAGGAGTGAATTACATCAACCTATTGATATAGTCAGTATCTTTGTTTTTTAAGGCCTGTTAATGATTCTACTTTTGCTATTTTTTGACTTTTTAAAATAAATCAGGGAGGAAAGGTTCTCCTAAAAGGCTTTTTCAGCTAATTTACATAAGGCATCATTGAAGATAGATTAATAAGCAAACGTCTCAGTGATGACAAATGTGTGACAGTCCAGATGATACACAAATGCCACTCATTCAGTAGAAATCTCATTAAATTTTATACTTGGTTATAATGATTCAGTGTCAAATGGCCAGTAATCTGACAACTGTTTTTTCCTCCTCAGGGACAATGCTATTATAAAGGATCACTAAATTAAATACTGTATTTGGAAATAGTCAATTTTGAAAAATGGGCACAGTGTGTTCATTTCTTCATGGGGAGGACTGCTGAGCAAATGACAAATCAAAAGCCCTGAGCAGAAGCCATGTTCTCATGGATTCAATCTAGCCTCAATAAAGGGTTCCCCAGCATTGCAGACTGATACCAGATCAACTCTTTCTGTTGATTTAATGTTCAGTTAGAAAATCTTCCTTCGAGAAGCAATTGTCTTTTAAAGCTGAAAAGTGAATAAAATGTATATGTGTACATATATATATATCTCCTTGGAATCTTTAAAGCTCTTACTATAATACTGGTAATATGAAATAAAGACCTACAATTTCATATACTAATTTAGCAGTGTTACAGAGTCATAGAATTTTTAAATTAATTGGAGTCATCTAGTTTGACCATATTATTTTTCAGATGAGGAAGTAGTACTTGAAAGTGGAAAATTCCTCCCTCAGAAACAGAGGCAAAAAGAGTCTTCTTGCTTTGAAGGTAAAATCATTGAAGCAAGAACAGGCTTTAGTCTTGATAACGGGTCAAATTTGTCCAATTATGATAAATTCATGTGCTAACAAACAGAAAGTTGTGTATTGACTTCTTGTGAAATTATTGCTCATTCTCCTTGTAGACAGCAACTAGTGGTGCCAGGCTGTAGAGTCCTTATGGTGTGATTGTTCAGTCCTTCATGAGGAGTGCTTCTTAGAGCCTCTGCACAATGCTAAGATGAATTCTCCGTGCCAAGCAACTTTTCTGGCTTTTTCTCACATAGATAACATCATATTTTCTGTGAAATTCTGAGACTTGCTGATTCAACAAATACACCTATTGTTATACATTACTGTTTGCTTTATACGTCTATTGTTTGTTTTCATTTTTATTTGATTTTAAGGACTTTCCTGCTTTTTTGTTTTTCTTTTTCTTTTTTTAGAGACATGGTCTCATTCTGTTGCCCAGGTTGGAGTGCAGTGGCATGATCCTAGCTCACTCTTGCTTTGACCTCCTGGACTCAAGCGATCCTCCTGCCTCAGCCACCTGAGTAGCTAGAGACACAGGCGCATGCCACCATGCCCAGCTAATTTTTTAATTTTTTTATAGAGATGGGGTCTCTCTATGTTAACCAGTGTGGTCTCAAACTCCTGGCCTCAAGCAGTCCCAAACTTGGCCTCTCAAAGTGCTGGGATTACAGGCACGAGCCACCCTACCTGACCCCTGTTGTTTCTGCTATATAGTAGTTTTAAATGAAAAGTGAAATTTGCTGGTATTCAAAACATTAAACAGGTCTTTGTTTTAAATCATTTAAAATTAAAGTGAGAATTTTGATCCCAAATATGCTCGTTATCCAGTTGTTTTATTTTTAACCCTATAAATACTGTTTGAGGACAGACACTTCCAAACACATGCAGGAATATGCTCTGGAGAAAAGGGAAGCAGGCATGGCAATCAATCATGGAAGCAATGTCCTAAACACATCCTAATACCAAGTGAAAAGGAGGTTTAGCTACTGTCTGGAAGATTAGATTAATGCAGAGAGATAAATTGAAAAACTCAGGCCATGGTGACTAATTCTTATTTTTATCATGCGGTTTACTCATCTACAATGAACCATCCAGTACAAAGGACCAGTTTGTGTTGACTCAATGGAAAAGGATATGTAGAAATAGTCATGAAAAAATATTTCAATAAAAAATAATATTTAATAATGTGACTAGACTTTTCATAGTACATTAGCTATTAATACCTGCAAAGCTGATGTATTCACCTTTATAATAAAGTTATGAAGAATTATGGTATACCCTTATTTAGGAAGTATGGTATTATTGATAGAATATTTATTTTTATACAAGATGATGTCTCCTGATATACTCTTGACATCCCGGGCTGGCAGAGTTCAACTTCACGTGGGATTGGGTCATTCCTTCTTTACCTTCTCCTCAGATACTTTCTGACCACCATTACGTTACTCATGAAGCCTAGAGGGCTTTCTTACATTTGTTTGCTATTTACTAATCTAATCTAAGTGACCTCTTCCTACTGTTTTCAGTCTCATGAGAGTAACCAACCCTTTATACCAGGGGTAGTCAAGAATGGAAATGAGAAACAAACAGTTATACTTTCCTTTTTTTCCAAAAGCAATTTTGCTTTCAATTAATTTGATCGAGCTCAACTTTTATTATCTGTCTATTCATCTGTTACCATCATCATTATCTATCCTTCTGCCCATTCCTGTATCTAATCTATCACCTACATAACCTGATTCCTCGGCATGAAACTCCTGTCCCTCCTTACTTTGCCTATTTAACACCTATTTAGGCTTCACATTTTGAATCTATGCTCAGGGTTCACTTGGAGCAGACTTCTCTGACTGCCTTGCCTAAGTAAAATTCCTGTATTGCATACATTCATAGTACCATGTCCCTCTCATTCATACAGTAGTTGAAATCACAGTGAAAACTTTCTATTTATTTGTGTGACTGTTTTACTAGTGGTGGCTTTCCTCTTTAGATTTTAGGTACAAGAAGGCTAGAATTGTGCTTGTATTTTTTTCTCACTATTGTATTCTCAGGTCCTAGGGGACAGTGCATGGCACGTAGTATGTTATGAAATAGATTTATAATAAGTCATTGAATTAATAATTTTTATTAGCTTAACAGATTAGTGTAGTCGTTGACTTAATTTTTATACATGTTTTTACTTTTGGCCAATCAAAATCTGAGAAAAAGTAATACATCTTTACAAAATTACAGCATTATTCTGAAAGAAGACTCTAAATTTATGTTAAAAATAGGATTATATTATGCTGCTTTCTCAAATTTGTTAAATGTTACTAATTAGATATCCACCTTTCTATGCTGTTTTCCTAAACAAAAATGAATAGACTCTTAGTAACTTTCAAACTGTGATGAGCAACAGAATTTCTGGTATGTTTTAAAAAAAGAATGTAAATTTTATGAGCTGTACCCAAGAGCTACTGAATTTCAACTTCTATGACTAGAGCCCCAGGATTTGTATTTTGTACAAGATGCCTAGAAAATGTTTATGTACTCTATATTTCAAGAAAAAATGATCTAAAGAAAAGAGATTTGGACAAAGAGTCAGAATAATTTTATTTCAGTACTATTTCATGCAAAAGGTTTAAGAAAATTTCTGAACCTCATTAAGTCTCAGTTTCCTTGCATTTTATAAAGAGAATGATAATGTCAACCTTATATCATTATTGTGAAAAATACATAGGGTGATGTATGTACAAAGTACTTTCTAAATGACAAATACTATTTTAGCACTGACTGGGCCTCTCACTAGTCTGTAACTTTGACAATATCAATCTCAAACTGCTCCCTTTTTTTAAATCAATGAAAACAAGAACGCATGTATCACATTTGATTTTAGCAAAATAGAAAATATGTGAAACATTCAAAAATGAAAAAATGTACTATCATTGGAATATTCAATAATCTCTACCATCTGGGGAGCTTATAATGGAATGGGGGAAAATACTGAAATAATAATGACTTAATGCTCATCTATCAAGTAGAAGGCATTGTGCTAAGTGTTATATATTTTCTAATTTTTATAGTTAATTTGGTACTGATACCCCTTTTCCAAAAATGAAAAGCAAAGCCTCAGAAAGTTCAGATAACTCACCTAAGGTAATGTCAAACAACATTCCTTAAGTGGCTCCGGGGTTTTATTCTGATTCTTATTTGCATATGAATATGAGCTTTAACTCCATGATTTTCATTACTACATAAAACTGCTTTACATAGTTCAGCACAGACAGGACATGTAGATTTCAGAAGATTAAAAATTATGAGCAGGGGCAAATAATATTTTTATTGATTGAAAATGAATTTCGAGGTAGCTTTTCTACCTCTGCTTGCTAAAGATAAAGTAGACTTTGTGGTTGACTCCCTAATATTCACTCTACTTGTCTCAGTGTGGTATAAGGACTTAACCCCTCTGCCTCCTCCTCATTATATGAATGGCCTTGATTAGCCTATATCAGTCCTGCCAATCTCATGTGCCCCTGCTAAGGATTGGTTCAGGAAGCTAGGCCTAAGCCAATCAGATCACGGCAATCTTCTTGTGACAGAGACTTGTTCAGGAGTAAGCACATTCTCTAAAATGGTATAACCAGATGGTTCGATGCAAGTTTGTATGAAGTTTGGGAGAAATACACTAGCTCCTTCTCCTGTTGTATGTGAACAAGAAAGATTTAGCCTCTGTTATTCCTGGAAGTCAATCTGTGATTACAGTGGAAACCAGCCTTAGTGTAGGGCCAAAATTGTAGATGATGGAGTGGAGAGACAAAACAAACCTGTGGGCCCTTGCATAAAAAGTTGAGCCACTAGATTAATCAAACACCTGCTTAACTTCCTGTCATGAAAATCAGTGGATTTCTTTATTGTTTAAGTCAATTTGAGTTAGGCTTTATATTATCTACAAGTGGACACATTCTAAGATATAAAGGATAACTGAGAAATCCTTTAGTTGATAAAGGATTAAAAGTGGTAATTTCTTATATTTGCTAAGACTGGTTATATTAGCATAAGTAACCTGAAAGAAAGATCTCCAATTATCTAATTATTCCAGATAAATCCATTAGAATTTAAAAGTGACAAATCAACTGGGAAAACTGACAGAAAAGCTAGCCGAAACAAACAGCCAGATAGGTAAACAAAATATGCAGTAAAATTTCTTAAATGATTGAAAATTTTCCAATAGGATAATGAAATTATCACTTTTAGATAGACACTTGGGACATATTACAGATATCCTATTATAGCAATATATTCCTATGACCACAAAGTTCAACAAAGTATTGGAAACCAGAAAAAGAATTTTAGAGCAAAAACATCCCCATTTCACAAATCATGACTGAATATTTTGTGTGCTCCCCACTGCTACCTTCATTTTAAAAAAGGCCTAAAAGGATTGTAGGAACTATCATGTGAAGATAGAAATAAAAAGTTAAACTTGAAGGTTTTGAAAGATGAAGGCTGAGTAGCTACCATGAAACATAGGTTTTCATTCAGGCCTTGCCATTTTCCAGCTAAGTGACTTAGGAATTCACTCCATATCTCTTGGACTCAAAAAGTTTGTTAGATATTGAGGCTGGAGGGATGAGTTTTTCAGTGAGGATTCCAAGAAAACAGTTGCTCTGGGCTAGCAGTTAAAGAGGAAAAAGATGACTATTTTGTTGGTAGAAAAAGGGAATAAGTAAACAAATATTCCAAAAGACTGAAAAATCTAAGGCATTTTGAAGAGAGGAGAAGCTGATGGCTTAAGTTTGATCAGAGAACCAAGAGTCCATAAAGGTGTAGGAAAGTTGGTTAAGGGAAGACCTTAAACACCACAGCAATGAGTTGGTACTTAATTATGTAGATAGTGGAAACCAGTACATTTTTTTTTGAACTGGAGGTGGACTGAGACATTAGGCTTAATAAAGGAAAAGTAAATAATGAGAATGAAACATTATTCCAAAATTTCATACTTGGATAAATTGGAAGAATATTGGCAGAATAAAGGGAGAGTCTGGAGGAGGATCTCAGAAGTTTTATTTTCAATTTAATAAAATTAATTTTTATTGAAATACATTCTGATCATACTGAAGTACAGGGGTGAGAAGATGCTAATTTGGAGACTGAAGAGGGTTCAAAAGGTCAGGAATCATTGTGATGACTACATGATGGGGAATCAGTCATGAACTGAGATATTGATGAACAGAAATCAAAATCTATATGAAGTGAAAAACACAATTTTATTGGTGCTGAGTCAGTGCTGTTTCATTTGATTCTTTATGCCTTATGGTTTGCTCATGTGCAGAAACAGAAGTAATTGAGTTTAAAAGTTGGCATGAGAGGTATCATGGAAGTCAGCAGTTTCAGGTAGGAATTTAATTAGGTGTAGCTGGTGACCACACAAATTAAATGGAATCTATGTGACACTCAGGGCAAGGCTCCATAAATGAGAAGCAGCACCTGATGAAGTAGATTAAAGAAGCTGTTGTCAGAGGTTTCCTGTCCCAAGGTGGAGATCAAGGTATACATGGCAGGGCTTCTAGGCCACAAGTTAGGGCCACTGTAGCTGCAAATTGGGCAAGATTTTAAGGTCTTCAGCTGGTTGATGTATCAACTGATAGTATAGCAACTCCCCTCTTGCACATAAAATGTCAGTGAACACTGAAGCCTTTGGTTTAGATTTTCTAATTTCTTTGCTATACACTCCCTGTAGCCAGAATTCAGCATCTGAATCGTTCTTTGCTATCTGCATTTAATTTTTAATATTTGGATCATGTTTCTTGTGGGAGTGAGTGTATATGTGTGTGTCTGTGTGTGCACACGCACGTGCACACTACAAAGAACAGGGTGAGGTGGAAAGTAGGATGCAGCGTGAGAAAATTCTGAAGGATTACAGAGGTGGAAGTGCCAAGCTTCAAAGGGAATTCCTAAAAACCCTCTCCTACCACACCATTCTCAGGTATCTTACCCTTTTATTTCGCGGTATCTGCTGGTCTGTCTTATTGACAAGTTATCAGACATGACAATACATTTAATATTAAATGCCTATGATTATTGTTTATTCAATGACTGCTCCATGTTCTTTCCATGTTTCCTCCTTTGTCTGATTTTTAAAAATGTAATTAGTCTCTTTGGGGAAAAGGGGTTACATATTCATTCATTTGTATAGTTAATCTGGTTTAGATCTGTGTCCTCACCCAAATCTCATGTCAAATTGTAATCCCTATTGTTGGACGTAGGGTCTGGTAGGAGGTGACTGGATCATGCAGGCAATTTCTCATGGTTTAACACCATCCCCCTTGGTGCTGTCGTGGTGGTGAGTTCTCCTGAGATCTGGTTGTTTACAAGTGTGTAGCAGCACCGCCATCACTCTCTTACTCCTGCTCTGGCCATGTAAGATGTGCCTGCTTCCCTTTTGCATTCCACCATGATTGTAAGTTTCCTGAGGCCTCCTCAGCCATACTTCCTGTACAGCCTGTGGAACTGTGAGCCAATTAAACCACTTTTCTCAGGTTAAGGTAGTAAACAAGATAGGGAAGGTGACTGCTTATGACTTTTAAAGAGAAGAAAGTCAATAAACAAGTGAAAGATAATTTCAGATAGTAACAAACGCAATGAAGAAAAAAAAGTGGTGAAAATTGGATGGGGAAGAGGTAGGCAACATTTGATAGGGAGTTGAGAAATAAATAAGAAGGAGCCAGCCAGCCACATAAACAATATGGGCAAGAGTTTTCCAGGCAGAGAACAGCAATGGCAAAATTTGTAAGTGTTAATGAGTATGGCAATTGGAGCATAGCAAAGCAAGAGGAGAGTGGAGGTGATAATGTCAGAAAGATTAGCAAGTGCCAGTTTATACAGGGATTAGAAGGCAATAGCAAGGAACTTGGATTTTATTTTGAGTGTGAATCAGAAGCCACTGGATAGCATATGAGAGAAGTCCAAAGAAAGAAGCCATTGAAACGATAAGGCAAACATTTGATGAAAGCTCTCAAAGGCTGTAGGACTGTTTTGGGGAAAATCTAAATCATTAAAAACATATGAGTATTTTTTCTTAGCAGTAAGGTTTTGTAACAAATGTAAATTGTGATGCTTCAGGCAGTTACTTTTTCAGTAGATTCTGTCAGCATGGTTTCAATGACAGTGATAGTTTCTGAGGATCCTTTGCATGCTGGTCTCTTGCGGTCTTACTTAGAGCATGATTATTTTTCCATTTGCATTGTAAGCAAAAGCAAAAATTAAACCATCCTTTCCCCACACAAGCCTTATACAAAGAAATTTAATGACATTGATCCTGATAAGTATAATTTGTGAATATGTGATTGTCGTTTGAAGACTTGAACTCTGATGCCTTCATTTTGTATGTAGCTCTGTAATAGGTTCAGACTAGTGAGTTGTGAGCCAAAAGGACTTGTGTCATTTTTGGCTGAAGCTTTTAATTGCCAACGTAAGACTCCCTAGAGCACTATGTTTAAAAGTTTATTTAATAATGTTTTTTCCTTTTTATAAAAACAAACACTTCCTGGTCAGTTATCACAAACTTCAGGTGAAAGGTAAATTAATCAAGATTTCCAGGCAGTAAAGTAGGCATAAATATTTAATGTAGTTTTACATGAGTTGAAGTTGTAGACACTTGTAGACACTTTATATAGTCCACTATAAAAGTAATGCTGTCCATCCATCGAAGGTGATCCTGAAATGGAAAACAGATATTTTAGGATGTATTTTTACAAACTGGTACGAATAATTACAAATAGGTAACTTGTTTATTTAAAACTTCACGCAACCTAGATGCTATCCTGAAATTTATTTATTAAACTACTATTGCATAAACACTAAGAACAGATGAGCTAATGAAATCCTGTAGGAAAATACCATATGAGGTGCTAAAATATGGAAAGTACCATGTTTGTACAAAGTTTTCTATAAATCCAATATTGGGTTTACTGTGTATGTGTCATTAGAATTCTGCAATGCAGACTAACATCAAGAAAATAAAGTGTGGCTATATGGACTTTTACATTTGTTCAGTCTCACTATTCACTTATTAATGATTAATAGATATCCTTGTAACTTATTTTCACAAACCTATCACAGAGTAAATTTGAAATTGTTATTTCCAATGACACACTAGGACAACACATTTATAAAGTCATTCTCTTTAAGACAGGTGCAACCTTGACAATATATGGGTAAACTCTAGGGCACTTTAAAAAATATTCTTCTTCTGCAGTATAAATTTGTACTTGCTTTATTTATTTAGATTCTCATGATTTTTCTGGAAACCAACATGTTCTACAAGACATGTTTCATGATCATGGAAATAAGCCAAAGTTGACAAACATGTATCTGGGCTCATTAATTTTATATTTAACTAAATGAGCAAATCAATATTCTCCTAAGGACTTGAAAAACAATGAATATTACACACTAAGTGCTTAACTTAGGCAATGACTGATATATAGTGGAGAAAGAACTGTCAGTGGTTTCCTGATGGCTACTAGCTTATGCTCTGAGGATTTCTGCTATACAACTGTAGGAAGAACATTTACCATTATGCAGTGTGCCATTGGAGTTCAGCACAGACTGAAAGATGACTGCTGTCATACGGTGACAGTGAACTTGGTACTATCCCGATGCCACCATCTAACTCATTTGGAGAAATGGAGACAGTGGGTTATTGCAGAAGCACTTAAATAGAGCAGTCCCTGGCGGGGGTCGGGGGGTGTGGGGCGGGGTGTTGATAATTTGTAACAGATGTTCCATATAATGGATGGATTACAGGGAGAGTGTCTGTAATGCAGACTATCTTGTTCAGTGAGGTATGATTGATGCTGCTTATTATCTTGACTTAACATCTGTGAGCTGAAGTTTTGAAACAAATATGTGAGCTTTGATTTACTGATTCATACAGATCAGGTGATAAAACATCTTTGCAACAGTGATTAAGTATTTCAAATGAAGTTTACTAATAACAGTTCTATTTCTTGAGTTAGTATGAAAGAAATAATTATATGAATCAATAACCTCTTGAGCAAAACATATAATTCAAGCAGGCTTGTTTTATGCCATTCTTTTTTTGTGATTAATGAACATTTAAATTAACCAAATCAGAGTGCTGACAAATGAGAATGCTGACACTTCAGTATAATTACCCTATGTAACTTGCAAAATATTTCCTTTTCTTGAGATTTTGTATGTTTGTCCTAGAATGTTTTACAGTTAAAGACAATTCTAGAATAACTTGAAAGTCATTCACACTATTCGGTTTTATTGTTTAAAAAATCTGACTATTTTATTTGATTATTCTACTTTGCAATTATTTTCAAATCTTTTAGTGTCATTGGTGGTGTTTTGAAAGGCTTTCTACTCTTTATTATAATTTTTGCATTGCTTTACTGTCAACTGAAGGTATGGCAAAGTCCTATGTAAACATTAACAGAATGCATATTTACATTTTATAAATATTGAATACTGTGATTTAGCTCCATTTTATAATAAATATTTATTTCTTATTTTATGTGATATAAACCTGATGACTATTACATAGGCATATAGTGATGATTATCACTGATATGAAAGCAGTACCCTTGAACTATGACCTCTAAATATGACGTGGTCTACACATATTATCTAGAAT
Source organism: Homo sapiens (assembly GCF_000001405.40). Taxonomy (NCBI): domain Eukaryota; kingdom Metazoa; phylum Chordata; class Mammalia; order Primates; family Hominidae; genus Homo; species Homo sapiens. The sequence continues at coordinate 100,239,317 of NC_000011.10, read as the reverse complement.
GAAATATAATTTATATATTTAACTTTCTTTTTACTCAATTATATCTTCTTGGTGATTTTGTTTAACTACACTTGAAGCTCTTCAGTGTTTACTTCACACATGAAAAGTCCTTCTGTAAACTAAGATATCCATTACAATTTTGCTCAAGGATGGATGTCAACACAATGGAATATTTAATAATATAAATAGATGTTAATATGTGCAACCAACTTCAGGAAACGAATGCAAGATTTCATCAGCTCAGTTAACTGAATATACTGAGATGGCCCTAATGGTGATTCACAGCTCATCCTAATGACAGCAAACTGACAGAGAACCCAATTATGCCAAGCCTATCAACGTGCCAATCTGAGACATGTTCAGTATTCAAATGCCTGAGGAAGGAGAGGTAGTCAAAATGTACTCTATCACCATTAGAATGTATTATCAAATTGTAATTAAATAAGATGGACACAACAATCAGAATATTATTGGATATTTCTGTCAATAGATAATGAGCTTAGATCACCTATTGGAGAAATATAGACTATTTCCCTCCTATGAATACCATAAAGAACAATGGTTCAGCTATTTAATCTTAAAGATAAGGGACATGGAAATTCTTCCTAGATTTGAGAATATCAACAATATCTACCAGTTACCAAAAACCAATTTACTGTTTGTAACCTCATTTCATTCTTTTATGTAAACCAGAAAATTAAATATTATTTTCCCCTCTTCTTCTTCTTCTTTTTCCTCTCCTCTTTCTTCCTCCTCCTCTTCTTCCCCCTCCTCCTCCTCCTCTTCTACCCCCTCCTCCTCTTCCCCCTTCTCCTCCTCCTGCTGCTGCTGCTTCTGCTTCTCCTCCTTTTCCCTCTTCTCTTTCGCCTTCTCCTTCTTCTTTCTCCTTTTTTTTTTTTTTTTTTTTTTGACAAGTGAGGAGATTAAGTCCAAAAGAGGTAGGATGACTTGCCTGATTATTTAGTTAGTGCCAGAGTGAGAATAAAATCCCATCCTGGGTTATTTTTCTAATGCTATACTGATTGGTTGGGTAAACAGATTATCAGGCATTTTAAAAATTTTGAGTCATTTTTTAATTAAACTACTGAAATTCAACTAATATTTACTAAGTAAGTATCAGCAATAGACTAAACCCAGTGCTAAATGTTCTGGTAATCCAAAGACCTTGATTCTACATTTGCAGCAAAGATACAAGCAGACCTTTTCTCCACTACTTTTTGCTCACCTTGAATTTATGCACCTTTACTTTTCCACTCCCATAAATAACCTGAGAATTACCCTTTATATCTCATCTTTACAATGCCTACCCATTTTGAATCTTGTAGAGGTTTCTTTCATAATGAACTGTTTTTTCTAAAGCTAGGAACTATTTTTCCCATCTTCCTAATTTGTTAGGTACCCCAGCAGATTCATAAGTTTCTAAAGGTAAATTTACTGATATACTCAATCAATAATACAGAGTAGAGACCTATGTACTCATGACAGCCAATCTTTACATGTAATGTTCTATGAAATCAGATTTTTCCCATACATACTAAGCAATAATATTTATATATTTTAGTTTTGTAAAATGAAAGAGGAGAGAAATTTATTTAAAAGATTTTTAACCAAGAAAAAGCCTTTTTTTTCTTGGCATTAAAAAGAATCATCTGGTGTTCAGTTTTTTTCCCCTACTCTTTCACCTCACTTGCTGTAACTCATTAGAGAGCTAATCGTCTTTGTAATTCCAAATTAAGGAGTACTTAGTGAAACGGAGACATTACCTTTGCCAGGTGTTTGGGAGGACAAAATTCAATCTGCAGTAAAAGTCAGCAAAAGTTTCTTCCAATTAACGCTAGTCCTTCCTCTGTTCAATCTGCATGGATTTTGTATTGTTCAGTGAAGAAGCATTCTGGGACCAGACTACATCGTATGTAGTGTTACACCAAATCAAGAAAATAATTAAGAATTTAGTATTTTGGAACACAGACTGAAATAAAGTACGATTGGGGAATAGAGACTAGAGTGAACTTACCAATTTTACTTTTGTCTTCTTAGGAGATGTGACCAGTCAGTCAGTGGGTTGCCTTTCAGAGTAACTTCTACTTGGAACTTGAATTCTTTCTTTTCTTTTTTTTTTTTTTTTTTTTGAGACGGAGTCTTGCTCTGTCGCCCAGGCTGGAGTGCAGTGCTGTGATCTCGGCTCACTGCAAGCTCTGCCTCCCGGGTTCACGCCATTCTCCTGCCTCAGCCTCCCCAGTAGCTGGGACTAGAGGCGCCCACCACCACACCTGGCTAATTTTTTGTATTTTTAGTAGAGACGGGGTTTCACTGTGTTAGCCAGGATTGTCTCCATCTTCTGACCTCGTGATCCACCCGCCTTGGCCTCCCAAAGTGCTGGGATTACAGGCGTGAGCCACCGCGCCCAGCGGAGTTCTTTCTTGGTGACCACATTTGGGTTGTCAAAAACAGGCCATATGAAGTGTATATTCCCTAAAAGGCTGTACATTCCAGGCTTTACAATTGTAGGAGATCAGTGAGAGAGGTGAGAGAAACTATAGGGAAAGGAGCAGGCCTTCTGAAAGGCCAGAAGGCTCTGCATAGCTTCGGGGGAGAATAGCTGAAGGCAATGCAGGCAATCAGAGGAAAGGCAGCTACAGTCGGGGAACTTATAGGAGCATGTCAGCTAGTGGAGACTGAAACACACAAAGCCAGATATTGGCTGTGGCATTAAAGCCTCCTAAAGTGAAATGGGAGAAAAACCCAAATTGTTTTCTATGCTGAGAGCCAGGTCATGTGAAGCAGGAATGCCCCAATAGTAAAGACCAAAGTCACTCAGGAAAAGAACCCCCTTTTATATGCCCCCAATGTAAAAAGGGGAAACATTGGGCAAATCTCTGCAAGTCAAAATTTGATAAAAATGGCAATCCCCTAAGCAGTCAGGCGGGAAACTTCATGAGGGGCCAGCCTCCATGTCCTGTTCCAAACTGGGGCAATGCCAGCGGCTTTCCTCGGTCAGATGGAAGGCCCACAGTCCTCTCTCTCAGAGCAGCCAGCTCTGGGAGTGCAGGACTGGACTTAACGCTGCCCCAATGAGTGAGTGCTTAAAGAAGGAGTAGGTACAAGGGAGTGTGGGGGAATTTATCTTAAACAGCCTTGTTTATTTATGTTGACTAGGAATTGACCTTTGATCATCCGTGCACGTGATGTTCCCTGAACAGGGAAAAATAAATGTTAATTACCTACAGGTTATATGGACTCCAGGTTTTTGGCATTGTGCCTGCACTGAATAAAAGCAAGCAGCTCCAGCTTCTCAGGGCTCCTCTCTGGCCACTAGAGTCAGGCAATCACCTAGCTGCTCTTACACTGCATACCTGTGTCTGAGTACTCATTTCATTCGTAGGCCAGGGTCTGTGGGACAGACCTGGCAGGTGGTGCCCCATGTGAGGAATGCTGCAATGGATTGTGACGGAACCCTCAAAAAACGAAAGTGAAGTGAGTGGGCAGTAAGTAATTGGTACCCACTGGGGATTTCCAAGTTCGAGGGCATTCATCATGGGACAACAGTATATAAAAGTATTGAAACAGCTGCTTAAAGCTAGCAGAGCCTTGGTCTCTGAAGCCCAATTAAGCGACCTAATGCAAACTGTTGTTTTTCCATAACCCATGGTTCCCAGAAGAAGGCACACTAGACCTAGAGCTCTGGGAACAAGTGGGAAGAAATCTTAAAAGACATAATGTACAAGGGCAATGGGTCCCAGTAATATCTTTAACATTATGGGCCTTAGTTAGGGCTGCTTTGGCCCTGCTCTACACGGAAGAGCCTAAAAAGGGAGGGGAGGAAGAACCATCATCTACCTTACCGCCTCCTCCTCCCTCAGCATACTCCTCGCCCTCTGCCTCAGGGTCAGAGAACAGCTGCCTTCAGCTATTCTCCCTGAAGCTATGCAGAGCCTTCCAACCTTTCAGAAGGCCTGCTCCTTTCCCTATAGTTTCTCCATCACTCTGACTGATCTCCTACATCACATGACAGTAAATTACTACTCAGTATTCAAAAGGCACGCCAAAGCAGTCTAGGTGACAGTCACAGGAAACAGAATGCGTTCAGAAAAAAAAGTCTGATTTTAGATGTGTCTGTACAAAATATATAAATAAATGGGATGATTTTTCCAAACAATTCAAACAAATGAACAGATACAATGTACTTCCAATATTTTGCTTAATATTTGTGAGTTTAAGACCATCTTTTTTAACATTAAAGGCCATTTTGTTTTGTTTTCATGACACTTGGTATAATTTACAGATAAGTAGGCAAAAACAACAAATATCAAAGAGTTAAAGAATTTTAGCAATGGGAATGGTCAGGCACATTTTCAGGCATGTGGGAGTTTTGGTTTTGCCCCAGAATTGGGGCAATTGCAAAAAATTTAAAAATGAGAGAATGAGAAGAGATTATGCAGAAAGAAGTCTATCGGTGCTCAGTTTTCCTGGTGGCATTTTATTTAGAAGTCCTTCTTCTTCTTTTTTTTTTTTTTTTTTTTTTTTTAAATTCTGGGATACATGTGCAGAATGTGTAGGTTTGTTACATAGGTATACACATGCCATGGTGGTTTGCTGCACCCGTCAACCTGTCATCTACATTAGGTATTTTTCCTAATGCTATCCCTCCCCTAGCCCCCAACCACCCCCACCCTGCTGGCAGGCCCTGATGTGTGAATGTTCCCCTCCCTGTGTCCATGTGTTCTCATTGTTCAATTCCCACTTATGAGTGAGAACATGTGGTGTTTGGTTTTCTGTTCTTGTGTTAGTTAGCTGAGAATAAGGTTTCCAGCTTCATCCATGTCCCTGCAAAGACATGAACTCATCTTTTTTTACGGCTGTATAGTATTCCATGGTGTATATATGCCACATTTTCTTTATCAAGTCTATCATCGATGGGCATTTGGGTTGGTTCCAAGTCTTTGCAATTGTGACTAGTGCTGCAATAAACATACATGTGCATGTGTCTTTATAGTAGAATGATTTATAATCCTTTGGGTATATACCCAGTGATGGGATTGCTGGGTCAAACGGTATTTCTGGTTCTAAATCCTTGCAGAATCACCACACTGTCTTCTACAATGGTTGAACTAATTTACACTCCCACCAACAGTGTAAAAGTGTCCCTGTTTCTCCATATCCTCTCCAGCATCTTTTGTTTCCTGACTTTTTAATGACCACCATTCTAACTGGCATGAGATGGTATCTCATTGTGGTTTTGATTTGCATTTCTTTATTGACCAGTGACGATGAGCTTTTTTTCATGTTTGTTGGCTGCATAAATATCTTCTTTTGAGAAGCGTCCATATCCTTTGCCCACTTTTTGATGGGGTTGTTTTTTTCTTGTAAATTTGTTTAAGTTTCTTGTAGATTCTGGATATTAGCCCTTTGTCAGATGGACAGATTGCAAAAATTTTATCCCATTCTGTAGGTTGTCTGTTCACTCTGATGATAGTTTCTTTTGCTTTGCAGAAGCTCTTTAGTTTAATTAGATCCCATCTGGGCATGGGCAAAGACTTTTTGACTAAAACACCAAAAGCAATGGCAACGAAGTTCTTCCTTTCTAGCAAAACCCATGGCACCTAGATAAGAAGTCCCACAAGATGTTCTGAGGAAGTAGTCAGTAGAATTTACTATTTTGGATGCATGGCAAGATATGGGCCATCAGAGGAAGTTCAGACTTTTCAGTAAGGTTTGTGGTCATTTAGGCCAAGGTGTAACATAGAAAGTCATTACTAATACTATTGTCTCATGGTCATGTGGTCAAAGATTAGTTACTTTTAGAGGATTTGTGAATGTGAGACCTATCCTTAGAGATAGATGGTAATGACAAAGTGCTGTCTTTACAAGCTAATGTAGAATATCTTCATTCTTTCTTGGGCTACCAAATGACAACAAATCCTTAAGTTGCGGTGAGTATATCATCTTGATAGAAATTCTCTGACTCCTAGGCAAAGTTTGTCACGCCATTCTCTTGTTTCTTACAGTACTCCTTTCTTTCTTCCTCCCTTTTACCCTACTCTTTCCCTACCTCTCTCTTTTTCCTTTTTTTCTTCCCTTCCACAAACATGTATTATTTTTCAGGAACTATAGTGTATCAGAAACTAAATGGTTCTAGGGGATATCATGATCAATGAAATTGAAACAATCTGGCAATTGACAGTGGAAGGCAGTATAGTAATTTAAAATGCTGGTCTGCCTGGAGTCTACTCACTATTCTTCTACTTGTTAGTGACATTCAAACATTTTGTGGTTTAACATAGAGAGGTTTAAGTGACATTCTTAAACCTCTCTATGACTTCCTTATCTTCAAAATGGAACTAAAAATAGTACGTTTTTCATATTGTTTTTATGTGATATGCTAAATAAAGTGAAATAATTATTATAATATGGAGCCTTTAGTGCAGTGCCCGACATATAGGAAGAACCTGATAAATGTTAGCTATGTTTATTATTAGTAATGAAGCTGATGGTCAGAGAGCAAAATGTGCTGCTCATACATGGGTAACAGCACATCTCACATTATGCTGTAAAAAGATGTGTTTTTCCCTAAAATAAAGTTGTTCATGTTTAGCTAGATCATAGCTCGATGCCTGCCACATACTATGTGCTCTATAAATGTTTGATGAGTAAGTACTGAATGAACGAAGGGATAACAAGGTTAACATTAAATGACTTACACAAAGTTTCACAACTAGTAAGAGCTTGTGGGTATGTGACCCAGTCTGTTGGACTTAAAAGCCAAGGATTTTCTTAAGATTCTGCGCTACCTTTCACACATAATTGCTTGCATCTCTCCATCTACCATAATTTGGTTATTACACCCATCATTCCTCTGAACTTGCCCTTGCCAAGGCCATCATTTACTTCCAAGTTTCTTAATTCACTGATATGTGAATTGGTTCGTATTTCACTTGGTTTTGACACTGTTGTCCATTTTCTCCTTCCTCTATTTCTCTTGTCTCTTTGTCCCCATGATTTATATTTACTTGGGTTTTCACACAGTAGCTCTTGGTCTCTGACAGCAACTTCACATCTCCTTTTCAAATTCCTCTTCCTCTTCAAAGTTAATGTTTCTCAGCATTCCATTCCAGCATTTTCCCCTTCCTATGCTTCACAGACTCTTTGTTTTGTTTTTTGTTTTTTTTGAGACAGTCTCACTCTGTTGGCCAGGCTGGAGTGCAGTGATGCAATCTCGGCTCACTGCAACCTCCCCCTCCCAGGTTCAAGCAATTCTACTGCCTCAGCCTACTGAGGAGCTGGGACTACAGGTGTGCACCACCATGCCCAGATAATTTTTGTATTTTTAGTAAAGACAGGGTTTCCCCATGTTGGCCAGGCTGGTCTCGATCTCCTGACCTCAAGTGATCTGCCCACCTTGCCTTCCAAAATGCTGGGAATACAGGTGTGAGCCACTGTGCCTGGCCTTCACAGGCTCTTTAATTTAATTCCCACCCGACTTTAAAATGTGAACAATGCTCAAATCTGGATGTCAAGGCCAGTGTTTCTCTCCTGAGCTCCACAGCTACACAACTATTTGCTTAGAATAGAATAGAATGGAGAACCCTAAATGTTATTCCTTTACTACAAATCCACTTATCTCCACATCTTTCTGATTATATAAACGTGATCATGAATGACTATGATTGCATGATCATTCTCTATTAGGGGACCACAAAATTTATCTTCTAAACCAGGACAATTTTGAGGATAAAGGGGCCTCATTAATAACTACTTTGACACTCTAAGTATAACTTGGAACTCTGTTAGTCTAACTAACTAGAGTATACGGTGTCCCTCTGATGGGCCACTCAAGCATTGCAATTGGCAATCTTCTTTGCCTTCTCGTTCTCATTTTACATAACCAGTGGGCCATCAAGTTCTATAGATCCTGCCTCCTTCCTATCTTTTGAATATATACACACCCCTTCCTGTCTCTATTATTGCCTTTTATAAGACCCTTCTTATTTCTTGTCAAGATTACCGTTATTGTCCCATCTGCTTTATTAGCAAGCCACTAGTCACAGTGTCCTCTAAAACACTCAACATTTTCCTGAATGGTCTTTTTAAAGACACATCTTATCCTGTCCCTTTCCTGCTGTGATCCTTTGATGGATATGCATCACTTGTAGCATAAGAGTTAAACTCCTTCCCATAGCATCAGAAAGCATTTATTCCAATCCTGTCCCACCGTGTCTCCCTCTCGCACTCTAGAACTGTCCTGGCATGTGGTAAGCACTCACTAAATAGTGAATGAAATTGGATTTTAAAATACAAGCCCACACACTAAGAATTTATCTCCACAAACTTACACAGATGTGAAGTGACTGTATTTTTATATTAGGATGGATGTGTAAGAAACATAGGTTAAGTCTGTGGGACAAAATATAGTGAAATACAATTTCATCTTACAATTTATAAATCCAAATGTGTATTACATAAAACTCAGTTGATTAGAACTTTTCTCAAATTTGAAGAGTGAAGTCAGAATATTTGTTTCAAAATGGCAAAATACTCCCATCAAGAAACCTGAGAATGTCTCAGTCAGTTGACGGAGATATCAGTGCCTAAAAGAGTCTGGCTTTTGGCAGGCACTCAGTATTTGGGGGAATAAAATACAAGAGATTTAGTTTGTATTGATTGGTTGTCTGTGTGCAATGACAATTCATCTGTTTGCTCATTTCATATTTGCAGATATATATGTACATGCATGCAAACTGCTTTAATCATTTTGGCCAGTCAGATCACTTCAGGTAACTATTATTTCAATGAGCCAAACTAAAGCTGGTGCAGAAAATCTGAACATCTGACTGACAAAAAAATGTTACTTTTTTGTCAGTTTAAGAGTTCTACAGGTTAGCAAGCAACCATATGAAAAGCATAAGAGAAAAGAAACAACTGCTTTTCAGTGTCTAAAAGAAATTTTATAAGTGTCAATCACACTAATTAGAGAAAGTCTAAGATAGAAAAGTGATTGGTATAAGCTATTTAAATAATCCCATACAATAATAGCAATAATAGTGATCTAATATTTCTACAATAGTGCAGAATATTCCAATAAGAGATAGCGTGAATGAAATTAGCTTTTCTTTAAGAGGAAGGACATTTTATAGCTGTGTTTTATAGTTTTCAAAAATATTGAAAAATAATTATGTTAGCTGAATAAATTTTATTCTTCTCTAAAATATTATTTGCAAATGTATTTAGTATTAATATTAACTAGGATTAAAAAGTTATACTGAAAACATTTGTCATTGTCTTTTTGACTCCAAATACCAGCATATTAGCAAAACAAGCTTTGTTTTTCATAACTACTGGATTTTGTCTTTTTCACTGGAGACTCTCTTGCGTTCAAATCATTACTCAACCATGTGAAGGCTTATGCACTCTCCAAGCACAATAGGCTCTTACATATTAGATCAATGGTGGAAAAGGAAAACTACGCAACCTCTATGCTCCAAAGATGTTTGTGTTGAGTATTTGTGCATTTTAAAGCTTGGAAACATTCAGAAGTGGCCATATGCTAAAAATAGACATTTACATCAATTTAGAATCTAATTGGATCACAAGGGTAGTGCAGTGAGAGATGTGAAGATACAGCACATTAATACTGCTTTAACTCTCAAATAAACTAACAATATATTAGAAACATGCTCAAGGTTTTCACTGAGCTTTATTTTCCCATTGCATTTGGGAAAGTGATAGTACTTGCATCTTTTCCAAGGGTATAGGCAGAAAAGTCAAACTTTTCTCTCTTGCTAGTGAGAATCACTAAAGATTAGCACTTGGACAGAATTTGGAGATATTTAATCAAAGATTCCTAAATTAGTTTCTATCCAGGTAAAAACTGGTGTCTTCAGGTTACTTTCAACCATTTGAAACAAACAAACCAATAATACTTTACAACTAGCTAAAAGGTAAGTCAGCTTTGATGTTGGCTGGAATTAAATTATATAGTTTGGTAACATTATCTATCTTATGATGATAGAAGGCTTTGGCTGGAATTCAAATAGAAACATAAATTAGTGATTACATCAACACAACGAACAAAATCTTTCAACATATGACTCATGGGGTAAAATAAATATTTTGTGTGTGTGTGTAAAAAGCTAATAAACTGCTGATGTAGGCTTTGATATTCTAATTTTATAGATGAAAAAACCTTACTTTGTTGTGATTTGCCCCCTCTGTTTGCTAACATGCTTTTATTTCTGTAGATGAATATATAATTAGTTAGCGCTAGCTTCCTTGGTGTGTGAGCTGTGTAGTTCAAGATCTGCGAACTTGCAAGTTCGGGGCCCTGTGCTTAGATTAATGCCTTTCTGTCACTGTCTTGAAATTATTAATAATTTTGAACAAGGGGTCCTGTGTTTCCATTTGGCATTGTTCTTCACAGATTACATATCCAGCCCCACAGCTCTGCTTATGTTTTATCTTAGTCTCTCACTATTTCCTCTGTGACACTGAGAATGTACGCAGGTGAACTTCCATGGTACACCTCACCCTAATTCCAAAGGCATCTCACACTGGAGGACTAGAGGATGTAGAGCCAGCCGAGGGCTGAGACCTCAGCTTCCTCATCTCTCCACTCTGAGTGCCGACTTCAGTGCCCGACACAGAGCAGGTGCTGAATGAATAGGTGGGTGAACAAATGAATAGCAAATTATAAGCAAATACCTGTAGACTTATTTTATTGACAAAACGGCCAAAATTTTAATGATTTTACTTTTGCAGTGAAAAGTGGTTGAGTTGGGAGAGAGTAAAGTTAGATATTCAAGGAAATAAATAATTATTGGAAATAATAAATGGAACTGAATTGATTGGACAGATGAAGGAAGTTCAATTGAAAGACAGGTTGAAATCTGTTAGCAATAGGAAGTGATAGGGTGGGGTTCAAGGTGGATGGTTGAAAGCAGTTAGATGTCTCCCAACAAGTGACATCCTGAGCTTAATTCATTCGTTTCAAATTCAACTATTAATACACTTTGGATTCATCATGTAAGTTGTAATTCAGGAAGTGAAAATTGTTCAAGTTTGAGGAAAGGCTGTGTATTCAGAAGGACTCGAGAGATTATTGATTATTCTTTGACTATTCCCAAAGTTTCTTGACCTACTGTTTTGTACTAAGAAGCAGAGTAATACAAATAGAGAAGTTGTATGAGAAAGTGAATTTTTATCACTTCTTCTGAATAGAAAGATAGTGCTATCACTCCTAGTTACCCTAGTTTAGCTAAGCACATATTATTCTTTAGTTTCCTACCCTTATAATTACTTTAGAAAACATACTTCTAACATTAATTTCTATAAAATAAAATAACAAAAAACTAATATTCCTTTCTCCAGAGTCTTTTACTTTGTGTTTGATCACTTCTGATATTGTCTGGGAATACTGGTTCTTAACAATTTGTATATCCTCCTCAGTGAGATTATCTCTTACATATCTACCTCCCTTTCCTTAATAGCATGATCGAGTTCTACTCATCTTTAAAAAGGTTCCCTATAGCAGTATTTAGTCATGCTTTCTCTATTGTTATAGCACACTTAAGTGACTAAAATGGTGCACAGATGTCCAGGTGTGGCTTTAATTTCCTTTTATATTTCAGCAAAATAATTTTTTCTAACATATTCATTCTATTATGGTTCTCCAGATTATGCATGGTGCTGTGATAATGCTGGTTCACTGAATATTAAATTTGGGAAAGCAAGTGACTTTATGCTTCAGGTAATTATTTACGAAAAAAGCAATCTTTGGAGAAAGGTGATCATGGTGGAATAGAGGTGAATAATGGCACTGACATTCACAAGCAAAATGAGGAGAAAGTGCAAACGAGCAGTTGAGGAAAAAATAGTCCTTAAAGTAGTGAATGGGGAGAGTATCAGGGAACATTACTACTCAGAAACACTCAGATTCTAAATAGGCAATGATGAGGCCATGTGGCTACACACCTGTGCTCCAATTTAGTGTTCATGAGCGGCAAGGTTGAAGAATTGCAGGATTTGGTAAAATGTATAAAATAATTTTATAGACTATCTCTCATGGGAAGGAAGACAATAAAAAAGTTGTTCCCGTCCATCAAAGAGAACATAGATTTTTTCCCTTAAATTTCCACTGAAATAGAATCATAAGAACATAATCCTTGCCATCCAAGTACGTTCCTTGTGATGAAGACATTGAGCAAAGTGAACTGCTCAGCCAATCTACTTTTAGTATTCTACTAAAAGATGAATGGGGAAATTGTTTTTAATATTCCCATCTCTCTGTGACACATATTTGAATAATTGTGCTTTAAGTATTCTGCTGCCAGAATTGTAGCCATCATCAGAAAAGCTCCATCTAGAATGCTCAACTTTGGTCCTGTGGCATATACTATTAGAATACCATGAGTTTACAGACCAACAAATGGAGGAGTGTGAGAAGGGAGACTGGCAGAGTAAAACTATTTCAAATTTTATTTCGCAAGCCAACATTAAAAACAGCAATATTCAAACATCAAAGCTTGTTGAATTACCAGGAGCTGTAAACTTACAAAATTTTTTAAAAGAGAACCAGAACTCTTAGTTCAGTGTTTAAATCTGTCTAAAACTCACCAGGAAGAAATGACAAGATATTTTTACTAATTTTAGAAAAGTAATGCAAATATATAATAGAAAAGTGGTGACTTGATCAAACTCACTTCAAGTGAAAGCTTGGGCTGAATGTTACATGAATATTCAGACAATAGCAACCTGTTTGAAATTGCTATTGGGTATAATCCGAAAATTTATGCATTTTATCATCTCCTAGGCATAAAGCCAAAGGCTAAAAGAGCAGAACATGAAAGCTGAACCTGAATTATATTCTAAACCCTGTTGAGTTTAATTTTACTTACAAAGCAGAATGTTAGTTTGCCACTTAAATTTACCCCCTATAGTCCAGTAAAAATACCTGGTTTCTTATCAGTCTCTAAATTGTGATATTGATTTGGAAAGCTCCAATTTTAAGAGCTTCATTCTAAATTACTAGGCAAGTGCAGACAATAAATATACATAATCTAAAACAGATCATAGCAAGAGAAAGCAAATTTCTATGAATTTGACTGAGTGTAGGGTTTGCAGTTCCATGAGTCTTGTAACTTCAGAAGGCACAAAGAGAAATTTTTAGCTAAATGGAATAGAATGTATTGAAAGGATGAATACTTTAAAAAGTTGGTGTTTTATAATAAGGTAACACAGATATACATGCTAGATATAAATTTGAAGAAAAGATCAAGTAGCCTTCTGAACAGAAACACACAAAAAATGAACAAACTACCAATCACCCAATAACACACTTCTTTAAAAACAACATTTTACTTGAACCAATGATGGATGCACTACCAAAACCCATATACATTCGGTGATATATATAACTAAAACATAGAGATGATGAGGCTCACTCTATGCCTTATGTTTACTGTTCAAGATTTTTAATATTTAAATTGTAAGAGTCCAGATGAATAAAAGACCAGTTAATCTAAAATATAGTTTCTTGCTATAGATGATAATGTTTTTATCTGTACAGACCATACAAGGGATCTAAGCATGCAATACTCATACTACTCAAAATATAATCGTATAAGATGAAAAATGAAGAGGTACTTGGTGGGATCTTGGTAATGTTCTGGTTTTTACTTTGAATGATAGTTATATGGTGTGTTTATTTTGTCATTGTTCATTAAGTTATACATCTGTATGCTTATGATTGGTGAAAATGTAGAAATATTGTACTTCAAACAAAGCTAAAAGGAAAGAAGGAAGGAGGAAAGGAAAGAAAGAGGCAGGGAAGAAAGAAGGAAGGAAAGAAGGAAGGAAATGCATGCTATGATCTCTATTTCCCATACTGTGGAATACTGTGCTAAAGGAAATGGGTGCTCTAGTCATTTGCTTAAGATGTAGCTTCCTAGGATTGCAGAATTTGGTGTACTGTTTCATAACTGGAAACCATTTAACTGTCATTTCTGCATAGAGAGGTTGTATGTTGACATTTTCAGACTTTAAAAAAATCCTTGTCACTTAACAATTGCAAATGCCACCATCTTACACATGCAGTTTTTCTGTTTTTGGAAGCCCAACTTAGAAGTAGTAGAAGAAAAAAATGCCTGGGGGTTCCACTAGCTTTTCATTTGCAAAACATATATACACACACACAAATTTTATCTCTGTAGTCCAAGTGACTTAGTAGCTCAACTGTTTAGATTATTTCCTTGGCATTAGGTTAAACACTTAGTGACAACTTACTACTAAAGGTGTTTTGGACTCTGAAGTTAGTTTGGTGGTTTTCATCTGTTACTAAGGAGGAGTTTTCCATGTAATTTTTTCAAAGGCAAAAGGTTAAGCGAAAATAACATATATTGTAAAATTGAAAGTAAAATGCACAGTACTGATGTGCTCAAAGTCCATGCATTTAAATTCCTTTGTATGATAATTTATGGTGATCATGTCTTCAGACTGCACTATTAGCATACTCACCCCTAACAAGAAGTTCTGCCTCATCTGACACACTGTCTGCTGTGGTCTGTACCCTGCAGCCATATCTCCCAGCATGCATCAGAAGGATGTTCCTGATCATTAAATCTGCAGAGGATGCTTGCTGAAAGAGGGATGAAGTGCCAGTTTAAAATGTTGCAAATCTGCCTAGTTCAAGGTGGCTTAAGGGGGAACTTTGCATATTCAGTAAAAGGGCCCATTTTTGGCCTTACAGTTTATCTAACAACAATTCAGAAATCAAACATGCCCTTTTTTAAGGAACACATAGAAGTTTTGTTTTTAACAATTGCTAATAAAGGGGTTGAACATTTAATATTGCATATAATGATTTAGCAGCTAAGATATTTAAAAATATTTAAGTATGCACAAACTCATATATTTAAAAGTATAGGAGAAATAATCCGTGAGCAAAAATGTTGCTTTGCTATTCAGAGACAGGTGTATTTTGTGGCAAGAAAATCGTATTGAAAGGAACAGCAACTTGTGGGAAATGAATTGTGAAAAGATAGCAATCAAAATATTATCTCGTGACTTTATTGAATAGCTCTTTTCCTAAGAACACTGTAGGCAACAGAATGAGACAGTGCTCAGTTGAAAGAGTGCTGGTCCCAAAGCCATGTGTCTTTACTTAACAAAGACATATTCCTCCCATAACCACTACCATCATGGATCAGGGTCAGCCTGAATCTTTGTTAATCAGTGCAGTTACAAAACACAAAGGAAGCTCCAAATACCTGATTCTTGTTGGGGGCAAGATGATTAGAACACAGTTGAAGAAAAACTGCAGTTAGGGAGATCAATGAGTACCATGGAGGATATCTTTTAAATGTTTTAGTTCATGGGATAGGTGATGTTCCTATACTTTAAAATGGCTGGTACAAACCTTCCATTACTTAGTGTTGTCTTTAATTTACTCTATCAGGAAAGATGGATTTCCTTTATCGTGATCATGTAAAGATCTGGTTGATATTTACAATAACTCAGGAGGTTTTTATTTTTCAGGTAATGACATAGCAAAACTCCAATATTCCCTTCAGTTTCCATTTTGTAATCTAACGATGACTGGAATAAGATAAGATGCATGCTGCTTGAAATGACATCAAAGAACTCAAAAATTTTCTCTAACAGTAATTGAGCACATGAAATAATATGTAATGAAAGTCATAGAGAGGCATCCCAGATTACAGACCTTTAAAAAGTGATGTGTTTGTTCTTAGTAGTCAGTATCCTGATAATTATTTAAGAATTTAGTTGTTTGCCTTTATTTTGAGATAGACCAATGGGTTTTATGAAAATCATAAAAACTAGACAAATTTCCAGATATCTTTTGAATTTTCTTTTTCTCTTAGCTTTCATAGAAAGGGTGCAAAGTCATTGTGAACTTTTTATCACTCAAATCATAAATATTTATTTCAGTGAATTACTATATACTATGTTTTAGATCATTTCTTTCTGGTATTTAATTTCTGTTGTGTTTTGCTTTTTGCCTTCCTGTTAGTCTTATAATCTGAACTTCTGAGGGTATTGAAGTTTTCTCTCATGAAATAATTGTTAAGACATGGTCTGGTTTAGTCATTTACAAGGACATGCTTCATAGTGAGAATGCATTAAAATGTCATAAGAATTCTTTCAAGGAATGTGATATTTGTCCAGTAAATGTCCTACACTGCTAATTTCTTTGGGATAAATTGCTACTTTTAAATCCTAACTGAATTCATCTTCTCTTCTTCACTAGACTAAGTGCTTACTTCTCTCAAATCAGAAAAAGCAACTTTAAAACCTTTGATTTTTTTAAATGGGGAAATAAAAGCAAACTCTAAATGTTAATAAACAATAATTTAGTTTCAAATCAATATAATTTAATACTGTATGAATGAGCTTTTTTATATTTGCCACTGTGGGTAAGATGGGCCCACTTTAGCTTCTTTCTCTCTGGATTTCTTAGGTCTTTTAATGGGGTACTCAGTTAATCAGGAATGGCTGTGCACACTACAGGCCCAGAATAGGACCTATGTCTAAAGGTAAATCTAAGGTGAGGCCTCACAAATCAGGGAGGATTTGATTTTTTTTCCTGGAAATAGCACTGTCTGAAAGATAGTGCCTTTTGTTGTTGATGTTGTTTTGTGGCTTTTTTTTTTATTTGCTTGCTTGTTTTTTAATATCACAAACCATACTGGTGGCAGTTTAGTAGAAAAGTACTGATTATAAGTGATTTTTCAGGCTCACATTTTTGAAAAATGTCATAAAATCACATTCCTGTAATTAATAACTGATAGTCTCATTTTCCAGACTTTTGTCTTCCCAAATAATTTATTTATATATCTCCTGGACAAAATTCCTCAAACCTGTTTGTTTCCATGGAATTACAGTGAAAAATAAGTTTAATCAGATAAAGAAGAGATGTAATTAAAATTACAAAAATGTCCAAGGAATTCAGGAGAGCGAGATATAGATTATCTTTTCTATGTTGTCCTTTACTTGGTTCTTGAAATTAACAGTGTGCAGTGCTCTATAAACTGGCCAAAGTTACATCACCATCTATCAGAAGCAAAAACTCTACAGCCTGTGGCATAGCTATCAATATCAAGACCATTTGAGGAGTTAAAATCGTCTCATTTTGGGCCCAATTCTTCTCTTTTAGATTCTATCTACATCATATTTTTAACATCCTAAACAGGAAAGATTAAAAGTTAAAAAGAATAGATTGTGAACACTAAACCTAAATTACCCTTTCAGTAGATTTACTGATCTTTCAAGAGAAGTAATGAGAGGAATTCATGTGGGAGCCCATTATACTAAATCTCAGCTCACAGTATGCAGTTCCTGAGAGAGAACCTCCACAATTTAGTGCACTTTTAATGAAATGGTTACTTAAAGCAGATGCTTGCTTTCTTAAACTTAAACCTCATTTTCACTTTTTGTCTCTTAGGAATTACCCTTTGTTTTCTTGCTTTCTTTGACACTTGCTTTATTTTCTGTCTTTTTTTTTTCTGCTTTCGTTGACCTTATGAACAAATCCTGCTACTTGTTGCTTCAAATGAATTTTGCCACAACCAGTGCTTAACACAACACGCCGAAACCTTGCATAGTACCTGCCACATAGTGGGAGCTTAATAACTATTTGTTGAATGAGTAAATAAAGGAAGGCTTTTTAAGAAACAGGATGTATGTTCACTCTCTGTTAGAGCAGCAACAGGGGTATGTCATTTACATATCTTGGTCAGATCGTTTCATTAGAGCAACTGCTAGATTACTGTGACATTTACTAATGACTGAAATAAAACAGGAAAATGCTGTCTTTCCACCCAAGTCGAATTCTTTCTTAGCTCGCATTTTGACTAAGTATCCTGCTCATCCAACGTAAGACTGCCAATTATATTCCTAAATAATGAAAGCTCATTTAGCATTGCTGTTCAAAGTGTCTGCTGGCTCTTGTTGCCTTTAGAATACAGTCCAAACTTCTTATTTTGACGTAGCTCTTTAGAGCATGATTCTACCTCCTGCAACTTAATCCTGTCATTCTACAACACCAACCTTACATTCACCTAGACATAGGCATACTTCCCATAGCCTGTTTGCATAGCTTTTTTGTTCTGTTGCAGGTGCTCTTTCTTTTTTCTTTTCCTGGAAAGATTCTTTTAGACACAGCTCAGAGGTTTTTCTGGACTCTCTCTCCCTAGGCTTCCTTAGCTTTCCCTCTGTTTATGCTCCAATGTCACTTTGTTCATGTCTCTGAATCAGCACTTGCTATTCGTAGATGTCTCCCCCAAGGTCCACGATGGGCATTCCCAAAGCTGAGCTAGCACTAGTGCAGCCAAGGATCATTAAGCGAGATGATGAATGCATGAAGGCTTGCTTCCTTTCCTGTGTGTAGCTGACAATACCTCTGGCCCTGCTGCCCCTTTTCCTCTCTAGTAAGTTAGGAAAAGAGAAAAAGACTATGGAAAAAGACAGTGGAAAAAACACCTCAAGAGTATATGTGGGTTCTAGAATGACAGAATTGTGTGAATCCCTGCTCTACCACTTATTAGATATTCACCTTGGGAAAATCACTCCATTGCTCAGAGCTTCTCTCAGAGTTTCAATATGATAATGTGAGTAAAGCCCATAGCAGTGTGTCTGGCATATAGTAAGTGTCTGATAAAATTTATCTGTTGAAGGGCACTATAATTGCACTCTTAGCCAAGAGGAAGGTTTTTAAATTGGTATTCACTCTCTTAGCAAACTGGGTATCAATATTTTCCATAGCTAGAGTAAGCTATGGAAATACCTAGCTTTATTTTAGATATAAATATTCCTCACATCCTTTCTGTCTTATTGTAGAAAAGCATTAAGCATTTTATGTATTAAGCATTTTTAGTTTTCTAAATCTTATCTAGCATAAATAACTGGGTATCAGCCATGAGACAGAGATTTTTAGATAAGTTTAATGTTACTGACGTAAAAACTTGGAGTTAAAATATTTTCCTAGTAACAGTATTTCTTCTTCCAAGAGGATAATTTTTTTTTTTTTTAATTGAGACAGAGTCTCGCTCTGTCACCCAGGCTGGAGTGCACTGGTGCAATCTTGGCTCACTGCAAGCTCCGCCTCCCGGGTTCGCACCATTCTCCTGCCTTAGCCTCCCGAGTAGCTGGGACCACAGGTGCCTGCCACCACGCCCGGCTAATTTTTTGTATTTTTAGTAGAGACAGGGATTCACTGTGTTAGCCAGGATGGTCTCGATCTCTCGACCTCATGATCCACCCACCTCAGCCTCCCAAAGTGCTCAGATTACAGGCATGAGCCACCACGCCCAGCTGGTAATTTGTTTAAAGTACCCTACTATGATAAGGAAATAATACATAGACAGTCTTTTTATAGTTTTTTCTTTACTACTCATAGAATAGGGTTTAAGGATGATATGGGTTTTAATATTGTTTTTAGAAAATAGATGATATTTAACCTACATGCTTGAATAACTGAACATGTTATCAGAAGTAAAACTATTAATCACTACTAGTGAAGAAAATAGTCAAAATAATATTTGACAAAACATTTATGTGTATTATGATGAAGTATTAAACATAGCCAACAACACATTGAAGACTCAAAATGAGTAAATAGGGCTGTAACATCCCAAGACTGGGATCTTGATATTTAATTTTCAATCCATATTCTAATAATTTAAGTCCTAAGAAAAATGCAGAAACAGTTCTATTTGTTGACATAGATTAAAGAGGAGAAACAATTGTGTTTTCCCTAGCCACAAGGTAAATGGGAAGTTCTTTATCTGACATTAACACAAGTGAGTAATGCAAAAGGGCTGGTAGCATTTCTGTATTAATCTAGTGCTTCCAAGGTAAAGAGAGGGCTGAAATAGATAAGGTCACATAATTTATCAATCTCATGTTTTCCTGGGCTGACTTGTAGCTCCATTCAATCTGATGGCAAAAGTTTGTGTTACCTGATGATGAGACTGTTTAACTCATCTCCCTTTATTGTTTATTCAGTATATTACTAATTACAAAAGGTATTCATTTGTGCTGTGCTAAGATTTGTGGATACAGGCATAGAATCTGTGCTCAAGGAGTTTCCTGTCTAATTCAGCTTTGACAGAAGACACATTGGCAGGGAGTGTGGACCAGCTTTCCTCATACCTACATCTGAGCTTTGAAGAGACATGGGGAGAGATGGATCTGTTATTTGATAGCACAATACTCAGGCTTAGTCCGGAGAAAAGTATTTTCTCTTTTTGTGTGCCTTATATAGTTTTAGCAATCATTGTATGAGCACTGATTCCTAAATTTATATTTTTAATAGTAGCTTTGAAATGAGGTCTTTATATCCTCTTTGTGATCAACTCTCTGTCTCACATGCTTATCCATCTGCTATGCCAATGCTAAGTTAATCCTTTAAAACTGATTTTATTTACCACCTCAAAAATCATCACTGGTTCCCTTTTGCCTACAAGATGGTCCACGTTCTTAATCTAGCATATGAGGCTAGACTCAACCTATCTTGTCTCTCACCATGGTGGAAAATGCAGTCTCTGAACCTTCAAGCAGTTCCCCAGTGATCCACCAAAATCTACAAATTATATCTCATATGTTAAGACCTTGTTCAAGTCTTATCTCTTTCAGAAAGGTTTCACAGACCACCAGGACTGGCTACGTAATTTGTGGGCCCCTGTGCATAAGAAAATGCAGGATTCTTTGTTTTAAAATGAAGACTTCAAAATGGTAACAGTCAAGCACTATATCAAGTATGAGACCCTTCTCAGTATGGTGCCCAGTGGGTTACATGCCCATGAGGTTGGTCCTGCTCACCACTCCAATCCACATTGATATTTCCTGTGGTCTTCTGAAACATTAGCCCATTCTATGAAACATTGGTCTTTGAGATAAATATCGAGGAGCTGGTATGCATCTCTTTGTAAATTATAGAACACTTATCCTTTCCTGCTTTAATGTTTATACTTTCTCTTTTATGCTTTATTGACTTGAAGTCTTTTTTTAGCGTATGCTGATATGTAAATACAGAAATAGAATACATCTTCTTAAGGCTTGTGTTAGAAACTACAGTGATATATGTTACATTTTATACTGAATGTTTGGTGTAAGGCTATCCAGGCGTTGGTATATTTATGTGTTATTTTCTCCAAATATTCTTTCTACTTTTTTCTTGGACCTCCAATGCAAATACAAAGCTCATTGACGCATATCATTAGATTCAACCTGTTCACTTTATACTGGTTTGTTAATGACAAAGGAAAGAGGACAGTATCTCAGT
This sequence comes from Homo sapiens, assembly GCF_000001405.40. Lineage (NCBI taxonomy): Eukaryota > Metazoa > Chordata > Mammalia > Primates > Hominidae > Homo > Homo sapiens. The sequence continues at coordinate 100,218,025 of NC_000011.10, read as the reverse complement.
TGAAAGAATGGAGGTGAGGACTCCTCTAAACTTTACAGTCCTAGAGGTAGAAGGGACCATGTTGGGACTCTCAACCTCACTTTTAAATTGGCAGTTTTGTAAGTACAATGGCAAACCAGTTTAAGAGAATTCTAGGCAGGAGTAGTATTTAAACTCACATCATTAAAGTTATGAGAAATTCCTCTCTAGTGTTTGTATGATGGATCAACTTTCTCTTGAAATCTCCTCAGTAATAACATCTTCTAAGCTGAATAACAGCTGGTCCATAGGTTGGCTCAATGAGGCAACGCTGGTAGGTAAGAAGATTTTAGCAATTGTGACAGACAATACACATTTTTGCTTGCAGTGAATTATCCCACTGTCTAGTAATAGAATAATCTTACTATCTTTCACTAAGTCTATGCTCCATAAAATACCTCTCATTGAAGTTACACAAAGGCGATAGAACTAGTCAGAAAAAAATTGTACATTTATGCATTAGCTTGTGCTTTGTAAATAGCTAGTAATACATGACCACCAGGAAAGGTCTAGAATTATAACATTCTACAGTAGCTATACATTTTATGGATGCTTATAGCACATGCACAATTATGTAATTATTTAACAAGAACTTGGTAGACTGTCATTTTGTCTAGACAGAAAATCACAAATATGTGACACTTTTGCAACTATGTTCTTCTTTATCATAGCAAGCATGGCTGTACTGTGACCCAACCAATAGATTCTTCTTAACACAGTGACTAGCATAAAAGTCACTGTGTTAAAAGAAGCTGGCATAAAATATGCTATCTTTTTATCATACTTGATCTACACATGCTACAAGATAAAGAGAAAAGATAAATTATGGCTTTGAGAAACTCACAACACAATGTTAGAGGTAACAACCAGCTGTAATGTGATGTGTTTTGTTGAAATAGGTAATAGTACAAAAAGTCATTGCAGAAAAAAATGATTTTAGTGTGGAAAGATAAATAAATTATGTAGCCTAACCAATTCCCATAGCAGTTGAGAAAATGGGGCTGAAGAGTTTAGGTAACTTGTCCATGGGCAAGCTAAGTGTGGAGGCAGGAGTAAAGCTTTGGGCATCTGATTTTTGATCAGGTATTCCTTCTATTCTCCTGTGCCATCTAGGAAACCCCTCCTTGTTTTGCTTGAACCTATAGGTAATTTCATTCACTTGCACTAGTTAATTCAAATTTGGCAAGTGTAGTAATATAAAATGGCTTCATTGAGTAGTAATGACCATAAAACTATTATTAGAAATTATTTCAATGAACCATAGGTTTATTTGAAAAGCTCATGCTTTTATGACTGTTTTCATCAACCGCATCTAGGCATAAAAGGCTGCATAGCTCTATGAAATGTCAGTATCACCTTTCCGATAACACCCAAGACCCATTTAGTTCATTTGCTCATGCCATCATTTACTTTTATTGTGACACTTATCTAGTATCAAGAAAATTTTCAATATGTGACCCACAACTGACGTGTCCTCAGTTAGTCATGTGTAATTTATAATAACACAGCTTTAGTGGAAAAAGAATTGGCCAAATTTTACTTCCTAACCTAAGTGCATAATTTAGATGAATTGATATTTTACTGATATATCTTTTTTATTCTAATTTAGAGATTGTTTTGTCATATTTCCAATTTATCTTTTAAGATTAATATTATTTTGTTACACTGGCTTCCAGGATAAATTACATTTTATTCTGCTGCTATTTTTACATTGCAGAATAGTCAGTGTCTTAACACAAATCTGGTCTCTTCCTGGCTGTGTGGAAGAATACTCAGATACCTGCCTGTAGGTTTTCTAACTCCTCCTTGAAATAAGCAGAGCCCAGCCACGGAGAGTATGAGTAGCTTCATCTCACTCATCAGTTAAAATGAGTATTGACCTGGTATTGTGAAAAATCCAAAATCTTGGGATTGTAGTAGACCACTCTGTGCTTCATTGATTTTTGTATGGAACTCTAAGAATTAGCATGGAATGAGGCCAGTTTGTTTGTGTACCTCCTTTGTGGTTTGGTCTCACAGATAAAAGCAATTTCTTTTTCACCTTCGATCTCTGGTCTCATAGAGGAGGGAGGCTGATGCTAAGTCCCATAAAACTAGAAGAGCTCCACCTGTTCATTCTACTTCCATTTCTTTCCTCCTCTCATTGATTAATGACCAATTTGCATATTATTTTGCCTTTTATTCCTTCCAGGGCATTGATTCTGCCCCTGCCCTGTAATCCACAACCTCTCTCTAGAGTACAATACCTGCCAATACTTGGAATGGAATGTCAATGCTCCATATGAATTACATTTAATATCCCCAGCTTCTCTTCATTTCTGCTTGCTGATACTTATTCTTTCCTATTACTTATTCTTTCCTGTTTCCATTATAGTGACTAAGCATTGCATTATGGGGTATTTAAAATTTATCTCTAGAGCCAATGGTGAGATATACTCTATTTTATTACGGCTGAACATGACACTATTGCATAATGAATCATTCACAATCTGTTTTACACTGCATTAGTTGCTGTGCTTTATGGTAACACTACTTGTATGCAGTGTTGTACAAAGAATCTGTTCGGCCTAGGATATAACTACTTGTTCACTGTGGTAGATTAAGAATGTCCACATATGTTTTGCCATTTGACTTACTGGGAGGTATACTCTAATTTCCTACTCCTTGAATCTGGACTGGCCTTGGTAACTTTTTATGCCAATATCATGTGGAAAAAGTGAGGTACTGAAAATCCTATGGCTGGATCATAAGAAGGCTTGTAACTTCTTTCTAAGCCCATTGGGACATCTATTCTGGGGAATGTAAGAAAAATTGTACTACATTCAGACTGTCATGTGAAAAAGGCTAAGCTAGTGAGGTGGGAGATTACATAGATAAAGAGAGAAGGCCAGACATTTCCAGTTATTTTAACCATTCTAGCCCAGCTATACTTGTGAATAACAAAATCACACTGGGGATTCTAGACTTGGCAGAAGCAACATGGAGAAGATCTCGGGAACCTATCCAATATCCACAACTGAGGCTTCTGGCATATAGCACCCCCTGAGCCATCCCAGCCATCTCCAGCCATTTGGCTACCCCAGCTGAAGGCTTAGCAACTGTGAAGCATATTCAAGCCATCCTTGCTGTTATCTGCCTGATTTACTTGCCCACAAAATGGGAAGCAGAGTAAAATCTTTGTAGTTTTATACTGCTAGGTTTTGGAGTACTTGTACAGCAGAGAATAACCATAAAATAATGTGGTACCTACAAGTGGGGTACTGCTGTTAACTAAAGCCAAAACACTTGACGTTGGCTTCGGGGTTAGGTGTGCAAAGGTTGGAAGGGTCATGATGACACTACTAGTGAAAGCTGGAAGGGCCTCAAGGAGACTGTTGAACAGGGACTGAAGGACAGTGAGGACATGGGTATTCATGGTTGAAGAAAAGGTGACCTTCCACGTAGTGTTGGAAAGTTTGGCAACATTGTCACCTGAGGTCATGTGGGCAACACATTATTCATCATGGATGAACTTTGGGTTTATGTAAGGAGATTTTCAGGAAGAAGACTGATGGTGCCAACTGGTTTAACTGTGTATTTAGGGAGATGAGTTGTAAAGACAGAATTACTCATTTTTCAAGCACAATTGTAGCAGTGGAAAGAAGGCCTAGCACGACTAGCTCCATTTTGCTCCTAATGCCCCTACCCTTCAGGGATATATTTTAGGCTAACTGCTTTTGCTATGGAAATACACAGTTTTCTATGGAATACGCATATTGGCAGACATTTTAAAAGAAAGAAATGAACAAAAATGGTAGAAGAACTTTCATACATTTTTTTTTACAAAACTTAATATTACTAATGAAATAATTAATTTTATATCAGCATTTCTAAAGACTATTTTCCAGTAAATTAATATTTGGATCTTTCAAACTTTTTCACAATTCAAGTTTATGAGATACATATTTGTCATCTTTTTTGGCAATACTAGTAAATATTTTAATAAGCATAGTCTTCAACAAGTAGCTGTATTATTTCAACTATGTGCTTTAAGACCAAATACTGAGTATTCTTTTGCCAAGCTTGCTTTGAAAGTTTCTGATGCTTAGAAACAAGTTTCTGAATGAAAAAATACCTGACTGCAAAAGAAGAAAATGGGTGATAGCATCCATTTTAACACTATCTTTCACAATCAGGAAGATTCTCATCAACTTCAAAAATACTTAGAATTGAGGCAATTAAAACACATCAATGTCAGAAAAAGCTAACTATTCAAAGCAATGCTTACATTGTAGAGTACAGCAACAATCTTCCAATGAACATTCAAATAGAAGAATAGTTCAGTTTAAAAAAAGGTCAATTTGAATAGATGTGTCAATCAAAACCAACTATGAAAAGTTCAAGGTCAAGGACACTCAGTCAAATTTAACTGACATTTTGAAAGTGAGTCAAGACACAGCCACAGAAAACTCATTTTAAATAACAAGTCTTAGCTAGGCATTGAATTTTATGAAAGAGGATTCACCATTTATTGAATGTTCAAAAATCAAAGTCAAGTCAGATTGATACTGAAAAATCATCGAGACCATATTCTACTACTGCTCATTGTTCTCTAACTGTATAATACAGCTTCCAGTATTACAAGAGACCCTGTAGATTATTGTCTTCAAGCTAGCAGAAATATGTAAATGCTGGAACTGAAGTCATTGACAGGTGCATTTAGAATTATATTTAAAAGACTTTCAAAGTTGTACACATTTGAATTTATTGCAACACCAATTATCATATATGCTTATATATTTGATCCAAGATTTCATATTGATAGGGCTTGATTGTTTCATTGTATGTGAAATTTGGAGGGAACTAGTTATACAAAATAAAGGATGCTGATCTATTATACAGAGAGAATGGCATTTTTTCATTCTATAAGCTTATCGTTGCTTTTAGAGAAAATCTTTAACTTTACAGGAATCTTTTATTATTTAGTAAGATATTACAGATACAAATGTTGTTTCTGCCATGGGGAATAATTCTGACTTGAATTTTTTTCCAGTTTGAAGTTCCTCCTGCATTGAGAAATTCCCAGTACTAAGGGTGCCATGAGACTGAAACATCTTCCAAGATTAAGAAAGTTTGCAATATTTATGAGAGAAAAATATGATTTTAGAGCTAGCAGTAATCCCTCCTAAAACATGGTTGGTGTCCACTAAAATTTTTTTAGATCATTTCATGATTTCAAGTTATTGGACATTATATCTGGAGAGTTGCTGAGATTTTACTTTTTGAATATAAATGAAAAAAATCACCAAACTTTAGAACTAGATAAAGTCATTAGGAATCATCTACTCTAGCCTTTTAACTTTGAAGATGGAGACCTAGACAAGGGACATGACTTCCCCAAGGTCGTACAGCTAACTAGAAACAAAGTTGGGCCTACACAAAGAACTCTTGCCCCCTGTCTAGTAACTTTTACCACATAATGCTGTAATGCAGTAATGTAATTAGATGCTGCATATTTTTATGCAATAACAAAAATTTGGCAGCACCCATTTAAATTAAAAATAGTTTTGTTCTTTGACCCTGTCGTCTATTCCTGGTAATCTGTCCCACAGAAAGGAAATTGTTGATATACAAAGATACAGATGTTTAAAGATGTTTTCTGTAGCATTGTTCAGAAATCTCTCAACAAAGGAAACAAAGTTGGTATTTAATAGGGAAATGGCTAAATACATTGAAGTATAGTCACATTATGGATTATTATGGATCTATTGAAAAGAATGCATTAGAGCTATACAAGGTGACATAGAACAATTTTCAAGATTATTATTGAGTGATAATTATGAGATTCAGAAAAAGAATGTAAAATATGATTTAATTTTTATAAAACAATTATAAAAATATTCCCATTCATATGTAAATCTGCCCAGGACTACAGTAGGACAGAGTAAAATACAGAAGGACATACATGAGGATATTAGCAAACTAAACTGGGTGTGATAGATGCCATTATGGGGAGATAAAAGTAGGGGGAAAGTCATCCTTTTAAAGCATTTTAAACATCCATGATATGATCTCACCTGTGTAAAGTGTGTGTCTATATGTGCTTGAAGGGACATATGAAAACATGGTTACAAACATTACTGGTGAATATATCCACATAATTTTCCAGGTAGTTTTTATTTTCTTCTTTCAAGTTTTAATATGTTCAAATGATCTACAATAAACTTTTAAAAATTTATGTTAGAAAAATTAAATGTACCTTCATTGTGGTTAAAAAAACAAACAAACTGACTTAGAGCTGAAAGCTAGGGTTATGATGGAGAAGTACAAAGCTAAGTGTTTACCATCAACTAAAGATTATAAACTAATCAACTTGTATGGCTAACATGATCCATACCTGATAAGCAGCTCTTCTTAAGTTGTGTCCAAGTGAAGATTGCCTTCTATTTATAACTACAGATGGCTATTTAGAACTTAGTCTGTTTAAGATTCTGCCTCTATGATTTATGGTCTTTCCCAAGACATTGGTAAAAAAAAATCCCCACTTTTTTTTTTTCCCAATATCAGACTGATCTAGCACTGTGGTTGTCTGCTACAATCTATAGCTCAATTCCGTTGGTCTTCATTTGACATCGTTCTTCATACATTATTTTAAAGTTGCTTAGCAAAAGTCTTATTTTAGTTGTTAATCTTGGGGAAGCTGCTACGATGTTGTCCTGCTATTAACTATTCATCATACCTTTTCAAGCTAGCAGAAATACGTAAATGCTGGCAACTGAGTTCCAAAACCTCAAAAGCATGTTACCTTTACTACTGGTGGGCATCACCCACCAGAAGTTCTTAATGTTAAAAGTAATTGTAATAGCATAGTAAATGTAATGCTTATAATGATAGATGAAACCTCAGTGGCTGATCAAGGACTTCTAGACACATGGAGGATGACATTTTACAACTGGTCTCTGGATCTTAAAGGTTTGATTCGAGCTTTATGCAACTAGGATGGCTCAAGCTAACTACAGACAGTTTTTATTTTTGGCTTAATCTAGCACATTGTACAATGTGTCAACTACCTAGAAATAGTTATATTACTTCAAACTTATCTTGGCAGCACATTGGGTTTCTGTGAAGACGAATACACAATCTATATTTGAATTATCTTTTGGCATATCGAGCCATATAGTTAAGTTGATTTCCAAAGTCTTTTTGATTTTATGTATTGAGATTATCATCATGACTGCATACACATTCTTGAAAGGTTTCTTGAAGGACGTTGATGGGGTTCACATTATTTTTTGGTATTACTAGCTAAAAACCTACCTCATGGGAAACAAATTTTCTAGCATTGTGTTCACAGATGGAAACATTACTGTTGAATACAAGAAATTCAGCAAAACTGCCTAATGTAATCTATCATCATTATAAACTTTGTCAAGTCTCAAATGCATTAATCAATATACATTAGTCATCTTTGTTTTTATCTTCAAATATCTTTTGAAAGCTCCTAAATCTTTGAATTATCAAGTCTAATACTTGAGTTACACATTCACATCCTAAAATGTGTATACCTATTTTGTACCTCAAAGCCACCCATATAATCTATATAAATAAGTTTCATAGGAAACAGAATTATTGGAGAAGTTGAAAACAATATAAATCTGGACTTTTTTTTTTTTTTTTTTTTGAGATAGTCTCGCCCTGTCACCCAGGTTGGAGTGCAGTGGCAGGTTCTTGGCTCACGGCAACCTCTGCCTCCTGGGCTCAAGCGATCCTCCCACCTGTCTCCCTTGTAGCTGGGACTACAGATACATGCCATCAAGCCTGGATAATTTTTTGTATTTTTTTTTTTTTTTTTTTGTATAGAGGCAGGTTTTCACTGTGTTGCCCAGGCTGATCTCGAACTCTTGGGCTCAGGTGATCCACTGGCCCCGGCCTCTGAAAATGCTGGGATTTCAGGCTTGAACCATGTGTGCAGGCTGGACTATTTTTTTAACCTCTACTATTTTCTTAGATTAACCTACTGTTATCACAGCTTTATATAATAAATGCTTAATGTAATTCTAGATTAGCTACAGGTTCATAAATATTTTCATTCTCTCCACTAGTTAAGCTCTGCAGCAAAGTCAGTGATAACACAAATAACAATACCCTTATTCATTAGTGAGGAAACAACTGGAACATGCTGGTTTAAAAGAGCCTATGAATTCATTTTGTGTATGTAACATGCAGTATACTTTATTTTTGCTTCAGATATGCCCATAGTCTCTTTATAGTAGTTTATTAATAAATATACCTGCTTTTGTTTTTATCAAAATGTGGCTGAGGCACTGAGATCACTAGAACTAACATGTGGTAGAAACATTTAACAAGGATTATTTTAGGACAGATGAGGTAGCAAATATTATGACTGTCTTCTAGACATGCTATTTTTGTGAAAAACCAATTAACCCATTTATGTTTTCATTAGAAATTAATGTTTCCCTGTTAATTTCTAACTGTTGCTGATTTTCTATTAACAAGTAAAGTGATTAGAATTTTCTAACATGTTAAAAAGAATGTTAACCATGTAAAATGGAAAAATGACTCTCTTTAACCAGATTAAGTGCTTTGTCTGGCTGAACTTAATTCAGTAAAAAAGGATCCATTCAAATAGTGGCTGGTTAATTTGGTAAGAGCAGTTTACCTAGTTCATGTTGATAGTGACAATATATGTTGACTTTTAGGGTTGTACAAATGATTATTTTTTGAAAGGCTATCTCCTACACCTCTCTCCTCCACATCACACCACACATAAAATCTAAATTTTAGTTTAGTATCAAAATGATATCACAGCTAAAGTATCATTTAGAGGTTGTGTGGTAGATTGCTACAGTAATGGTCCTGGATCCACATCCTTATATAATCTCCTCTCACACTCACTCTGTGCTTCTGTAAGTGACTTGGATAGGTCAGTGAGACATGTGTGACCATGGAGCAAACAGACAATTGCATTGCGTGCGTGCACTGGAGATTCCTGTCTTGAAATTCTGTGATAACCACGCGACATAGCTTGGACTAGCCTGCTGCAGAATAGAAGACCACTTAGAGTAGAGACAAGCCATCCTAGCTGCCCCCTTCACCAAACAGCTCCCAGTTGACCTGATCGCTGACAGTAGATGCATTTATGACCCCAACTGAGACCACCAGCAGTCACTCAACTGAGTCCAGATCAAGCCACTGACCATTAGATTTGAGTCATACATTTTGGGCAGTTTGTTTTGCAGCAAAAGCTAACTGGAAAGTAAATTTGGAGCCATGATTGAATGAGACTTCTGTGGATTCTGGTATGAAAGTTGCAAGTTGGAGAAATGTAAAAATTGTGGGCAGATGGTGGTAGGTTGCAAAAATGGCCACAAAATTTTGCAGTTCTTCCCAACCAGAGGTGGAGCCTATTTCCTTACCCTTTAAATCTGGTATGGCCTTATGGCTTGTTTTAACCAGTAAAATGTGATGTAAGTTTCTTTGAGCAAGTTCTGAGTCTAGGCCTAAGGAGTCTTAGCACTACTGCTCTTGGTCTTAGAACCCTGAGATCTTTAATGTGAACAAGCCTGGGCTAGCCTGGTGGATGATGAGAAACATGTGGCTCACTTCCTCCAGCAGCCCCAGCCAATGGCCAGATGATGCCCGAAATGAATGCCTTGAAGTTGATAGGCAGCTGATTGCAGATGCGTGAGTCTTGGTGAGACCCATAGATGTACTCTGGCTGAGCCCAACCCACATTGCCAACCCACAGAATCATGAACTAAATAAATGGTTATTTGAAGCCACTAGGTTTTTGCAAGGTTTATTTTGTAGTGAAAATTGATAGAGACCATATTTAATTCTTACCTCTATATATTTAGGATAACAACTTCTTATTTCCTTTCCTATAGTTACAGCAGATGAGCAAAAGGTATTCATTGATACTTAAATGTAGTTTTTTCCTCTAAAAATATTTAAATCTCAATGCCTAAAATATAAAAATGAGACAGACTAATGAGTTATTCCAGTCAGAATTTTGGTATGAGACTAAATGTGGTTGGAAACAGCAATGTGGGCAAAACCCAAAAAAAGTTAGCAACAAAAATGAACTTTAAATTCTCCTGCCTGATTATTTTACAAAGCAAATGGAAGCATTTGATATTGTCATATGATATTGAAATGTTTGCAGTTTAACATGGTAGAGCTACAGTAATTTTAAACACCAGAGACACCATAGCAGACTGTTGGAATGATTAGTGATGTGACGAGCTCAGTGAGCAAAGCATGTCACAGGGTCCCTTATTTTGGGGAAAGCCATAAGTATTTAACTTTTCTTGCAAATGATAAATAATGGCAATTGAAGTACAGGTTTCAAAAATGCTTTTAGGAAATACTATCACTATATTTAATAGGTACTTTAAAACAAATTTTGTAAATATAATATATTTATTTATGGGGCTATCAGTAGTTAGAAAGGATAAAATGCAGTATTTTTTAGTTTTAGTGAGGCTTCTTAAGATGTCTTTGAACAAGTTAGTAATGTTATATCTTCACTGGTAAAGCAATCTAAATTATTTTATCTAATTTTGCCTGAAAATAGTAAATTCTTTGGTTTTATAGAATGTGTAAGGTATATAAAGAAAAAGAGTTGATTTTAAGGTAATTCAAAAATTATCAGTCAGATTATTACCTTAGCTTATGCTAGTTGGTTGAACAACCTTTAGTAATGAGCTTAGTTGAATTCAATTAAACATTAATTGTAAGAACAAGCTTTTCTGCTAATGACATACCTATTTATTAAGTCAAATTTCTCCTCGAGTTTATTTCTCTCATCAGTATAATATCTGAATACTATAAAGCTTATCATGTTAAATAGTTGTTTAAAGGTCCATCTATCTGTTAATAGACAAACAGCTCTATGTAAAAGGGTGACACTGGCCTGGTCTTATTCAACCATACTCTGGTTAATGCTGTACACATTACAGGTAACCATTAAGTGTTTGCAAAGTGAACAAAGTTATCACATTTTTCCTGACATTGATATATTTTTATTTTTTGGTTGGGTAGTTCAGCAGATAATAAGGATATAAAAAAGTGCTGATATATAAGGATATACAATTCTATTTGTTTATATAATAATTAAACATTTTATTTAATATATATTTTGTTTAGCAAATATATCTGCCAGGCATGATGCCAGGTGCTGGCAGTGGTTGGCAAAATAGATATAATCCCTGTCCTAAAAAAATTTATTGTTTAGTATGAGAATAAATGTGAAAGGAAGCAGAAGTTCTGATATTAGTCCCTGTTTTCCCGAAGTACATTTATTCTTAGAACTGCCTTTAGAATAACAAGCAGCCTCACGAAAAAAAATCATACAGTCCTCAGGGAATTATCTCAATGACCCTAAAAATTGAGTGTTACAGTTGTAATAATTTCTATTTTATCTATACCACAGAAAGCTTCAAGCAACATCTAAATTTATGTAAAACACGTATACTTATGTTAAGCAAGATATAGTTTATCCCTGGATTTAATTTGGAAAAATCTGGCAACTTTACTTTTGCTATGTATATGTACCTTGCTATAATTGAAACCAAGAATAATCATGGTCATTTACTTAACTCTCATAGGGAATTTGAGAAGCCCTCTTTAATACAGAATTACTATAGTAATATATTAAATGAAGTTTAACTATAAGATCATTATTTATTATTGGGATTTAGTAGACAAAACTTCAGTATCTCCCATATTTCATCATGCTCACCCTCTACCTGTAAAGTCTTTTTCTTTTGTACTTCCTCTCTCTGCTTTGTCTGCAAAACTTACTCTGTTTTAAGAGTAGGCACAGGTAACATTTGGTTTAGGAAGTCTGCCCTGCTTCCACGGGTTGGATGATGTGTACCTTTGACTCAGCTTCCTGAACATACTTCCTTCATTACAATTGCCATATCTCTATATGTATGTTCCTCTGTAAGACTGACCCTCAAAGACAGTGCTTTACTTCAGTTGTATTCGTATACCTCCCATATAATGTTTGTTATTGATTAATACAGAATCCTCAGCTCCTGAATAGTGCCTAGTGTGTGAATGCTCCACTTATTTCCATGGAACTGAGATAAAATAAGAACTTATGTATAGTTGCCTTCTGTATCCATGGAAGACTGGTTTCAGGACAGCATAGCACAATGCATGCTTGCTCAAGTCCCTTATATGAAATAGTGTAGTATTTGCATATAACCTAATGCATACTCTACAGTATACTTTAAATTATCTCTAGATTAGTTATAATATCTAATATAATATAAATGCTAGGTAAATAGTTGTTATACTGTACTGTATTTTTTGTTGTATGCTCTTATTGATTTTAAAGTGTTTTCTATCCACATTGGTTGAATCCATGGATACAGAACCCGTGAGACAGAAGGCTGATTGTATTGTACACTGATAAATGCTCAATAGAGGCTTCAATTATTCATTAAATAAAATGGTGTCATGCTTCTCAAATTCTTTAAAGTGACCTTTTCCAGGTCTCTTATATAATGGATACCAGATGGAAAAAGGAAGTGAATAATAGTCCAATAGTCTTTTCTAAAATTTCCTCTTCCTCCTTTTCTGAGAGAGAAAACATATTTGAGATGCTACCTATTATTAATTCTAGACTCCTAAAGCTGATTTTTGTGCTGTAATATGATAAAAATAGTCCATGAAAGAAACTAGAGGATTCTGAAAAGCTGAAAACTAAATATATCATAACACTTAGTCACCCTTTAGAATTTAATACAAAACAGATGCCGAAAGAGAAATTGCAAAATGAAGGTAGAATTTTAAAGATGTCTTAGAAATAATGGCCTCTCAAAAACCCAACTCTTTGAAAATCACTTTGAGAAATAACATAGGAGTCAATCTAAAAACACAATACTTACATATCAATAGTATTTCAAAATGTAAAACTGAACTGTTTGCTTATATAAATCCTAAACCTTATGTGGTATTAAATAATAGGAACAATCTTTTATCTAAGAAGGCTTTCAAAAAACTAAAAAGAAAAATCTTTTTCATATATTATTCCTACAAGGTAAAAATTCCAGTATTCAGGGCCTTATTATATTACGCATTTCATCATTCTCCAGGTTAAATTATATCTCCTAGATACATACATATATGTAGGGCATTCTCCTTAAAATAATGCAATGCTTATAAAACATATCAGTATTTCTTCAACATGAAAACTAGAATCCATTGTATTTTTCTCTTTTATGAGCAACTCCTGTGATTATTATCTCCAGAGAAAATAATTACTTTTAGGACAACATTAAAAATACTTAAATTTTTATGTGAAGTAAAATGAATAAACATGTTTATCACTGATAATATTCTATAATTACAACAGAAGTTAGAAACTTCCTCTGTTAACTAAAACTCTTTAACTGGAGGCTGAGGTGGGAGGATGGCTTGAGTCTGGGAGGTGGGGGCTATAGTGAGCTGAGATTGTACTACTGTACTTTAGCCTAGGCGACAGAGTGAGAGCCTGTCTCTCTTCTCTCTTTCTTTTCATGTGTATCTATATTTACAGATCTATATCTATAGATCTATAGATATCTATATATCATCTCTCCATATAGATCAATGAGAGATATATAGATATCTATATAGAGAGCGATATATCTATCTGTCTGCCTATAATTATATATATATATATATATATATATATATATATATATATATATATATTAGTCAATGTTTGTTTCTTGGTGAGCTACTCTAAATGGCTAGTTTTTAGTTCATATACTCCTATGTCTACTGATTCCTTTAATGACTACAAATATTTATTTGGTCTTTACTGTGCACCAGGTACTGTGTTAAGCCCAGCAAATAAGTATGTTCCTAACTAACTTTCAGAAACATAAAGACTAGAAGAGGAAAAAAAACTGAGCAAATGTTTAAAGCAGCATAGATCCTGGTGGCGGGATCTGTAAGGTATAATGGAAGCACTGGGAAAGGACTTCAAGTTGCCTGGAGGCAAATGCTGCAGTTTGCAAAGCTTACAAGTCAGGGAAGAGTATTCTTGGCAGTGGGTCAGCATGTGAGAACATGATATTTTCAGAGAATTATTATGCTTTGCTGTAAAATAATAAGAGAAAAATGTTGGAAGATGAAGTTTGATATGTAGGCTGGAGTTAGATCCAAGATAGGGGCAGTGTGTGTGTGTGTGTGTGTGTGTGTGTGTGTACGTGCACATTTATGTAATTGGATGGGATGGGGAGGGGCAGTATGATAAAATCGGCTTGTTAGAAACATGGTAATGATAGTCATTATAGTGTAAAAGGTGGTGAGATGACAGCACTAGAAATAAGTGCTGGGAATAGGACTTTGACTCCAGGAATGGAGAAAAGGAATCAACAGATTCAAAATGGAATTAGTAATATTTGAAAATTTGATGGATATATGGGAGTAAAGAAAAGAATCTGAGACACTGCCAGATACCTGACTTGAAAACTGGATTTTGGTGGCCAAAACTGCATAAAACAATGCTGTAAATGCATACTTATTAAGAACAGGTATGATTTTAATGTCCAAAATGTGGATACCAATTATTTTCTTCAGAAGAATGATTGAGACCTTTGTACTCTACATTCTTTGCATCCACTTCAGTTGTTAAAGCAATGTAACATACTGCATCTCATATCCATTTTGAGAGAAGCTTCAAAGCCTAAAAAGGGATGTTGATAAAAATGGGTTCACATACCATAAAATGAAACAATTGCAGCAGCCAGAAGAATGAGCTTTAATTAATGGGAAAACACACCCACAGAACATCTGAAGAGGCAAGTGTAGTAGGATATTTTAAGATGTTTTTCAAATAATTCTCAGTAACTTTTATGGGAGAATTTTAAACAATTTGATGATTTTATCTTACTGAACATAATTTTAATTTTAATGTTTTAATAGTGATCAAGTAAGTATAGTAGTAACAGATGTAGTTACCCAGCTAAAGAGGTAAGACTTCAGAGAATAACACCATCTTTTTTATCATCTCAGTGTTAAAAGACACAATGAAGAGTTACAGCTAGTTTTAGTTCTCTCTGTGCTTTACAACAGCAAATCAGATTTGGAACATCGTTCATGGCAATGAAGTTTTAAGTTCAAGGAAGCCCAAGTGATGATGGGGGCTGTTGCGTAAATGGGCCTGTGTTGCTCAGGTCTTCATTAGGGAGGACCTTTACTTGTCTTCCTTCCTGGGGCTCAGTGTTCTCATTTATATATAACTTGGCTGACTAACAGTGTAGTTACAGGAATCCAA